>NC_000023.11:153263484-153566515 GCF_000001405.40 Homo sapiens
GTTTCACTTACTCATGTTAAACATTGCCTCAGATTGATCTCCGTCACAATGGCACGTTACTACTGGAAAAGGCATATAGTAGTCTGAAAATATCTGGAGATTTCACCATGTGCTCCAAGAGGTAATACATAGATGTCTACGTACCATAGATACATCAAGATTTCATAACTCATCTCAGTGCTAATTCTAAGAACAGCACATTGCTAATACTACTCCACCTTGATCACTGCCAATTTACTCCTTCTGATTACCTAGACTCGTGACAAAACATTTTCTCACTGTTTTAGAAGCCCGTGGTGTAGAATTTTCTCAAGGCCATTTGACAGCCTAAATATCACGCTTTGTTGTTTCGTTCATAGTCTCAAAGAAATCAAGGTGAGAGTCTGGCTTTTAGAGAAGCACTCAGCAGACTAAATATTGCTGATCGATATTGAGATGTGGGTAGGAGTTTAACACATGAATGAGGACGGAAAAGATGGCCCATGCAATAAGCAAAATAGGATCCAGGCATGTGCAAGGGTACAGGGACGGAGAACATAGGCTCAACGTCATTACTCTTAGGGAAATGCAAATCACACCACAATCCTACCAGCTAACCACCCCCCAGGTTGTTTACTTTCAAGAGGAAGACAAAAATTGCTGCTGTTAAAGATGTGGAGAAACTGCAAGCCTTATACACTGCTGACGGGAATGTAAAATGGTGTGTGGCTGCTACGAAAAACAGTTTGGTGTTTCCTCAAGATGTTAAAAGTAATGAACATATGACACCATCATTCCACTCCTAGATACATGCAGAAAAATTTAAAACAGACATTCAAGCAAATACATGTGTATGAATGTCCCTAACAGCACCATGGACAACAGCCAAATAGGAGCATCCCACATTACCACCAACAGATAAATGGATGAACACAACATGATGGATCCACCTAACGGGATACTCCGTAGCTGTGAGAAAGAATGACGCTCTGATACATGGTACGACGTGGGATGAACTTGGAAACCATGTTACGTGAAATAGGCCAGACACAAAGGGTCACATACCCTATGATTCCATTTCTATGGAATGTCCAGAAGAAGCAAATGTTAAGGATTAGCGATACTTAGAAATCAGGTTGTTATCATGTCATCTGATTACAAAACGGATGAGTGGATGCCAGGGAAGGAGGGAGGCGGGAATCAGTAGTGACTGCCTCATGGGTACAGGGTTTTCTTTGGGATTGATGCAAATGTTGTGTAAATAGACAGAGGTGATGATTTTGCAATACTGTGAATTTACTTTATGCCACCAAACGGTATGCTTAAATATCTAATTTTATGTTATCTGAGTTTCACTTCAATAAATATTTCTTTCAAAAATAACAATTCTTAGACCCATGCAATATATGTTCAAGTGTTTTGAAAAAACCTGAGCTATCAATTAAATGAAAATTTCAATTTAAAAATAATCTTCAGCCCATTCATGTTTACATACAAATATGGTCCATGAAAAATAAGTCCATTTTTGACAACAACACAAGTATCGAAAGAAATATGCCAAAGAAATTATCAACAGAGTAACAAGGTAACCTGAAGAATGGAAGAAAATATTTGCAAACTGTGCTTGCGACAAAGAACTAATATGCAGAATCTACAAGGAACTCTACAAAAACAGCAAGGAGAAAGAGCAAATAATCCCATTAAAACGTGGGCATATGACGTGGACAGACATTTCTCAAAAGAGGATATACAAATGGACAAGACATATTTGAAAAAATGTTCAACATTGCTCATCATCAAGGAAACACCAATGAACACCAGGGTGAGATAGCACCTTACCCCGGCCAGAATGACCACGATTAAAAACTCAATAAACAATAGATGTTGGTGCAAATGTGGTGGAAAAGAATGCTTTTACGCTGCTGGTGGGAATCAAAATTAGTCCAACCCCTATGGACAACAGTATGGAGACTCCTTAAAGAACTAATAGTCGATACACCATACGATCCAGCAATACCACGACTGGGTATCTACCCAACGGAAACGAAGTCATTATGTGAAAAAGACAGCTGCACATGTATGTTTATCGCAGCACAATTCACAATCGCCAGCGTGTGGCATCGACCTAAGTGCCCATCGACTGATGAGTGGAGGAAGAAAATGTGTATATACACCATGAAATGCTAGTCAGGCGTAAAAAAAAGAACAAAATCGTGTCTTTTGTGGCAACTTGGATGCAACTGCAGGCCATTATCCTAAGTGAGCTAACTCAGGAACGGAAAACCGAATACCGCATGTTCTCGGTGTGAGCTAAGCTATAGGTACACAAAAGTACCTGATCTCGTGTGTTCTGGCGGTGGGAAAGGTGGCCCCTCAGGGAACCTGGCTCCCACGTCCCTGTGCCTCAAGGGAGAACAGAACCTGTGACGCCTTCACTTGCCTCCCTCCATGACCCGTTCTGTGAAACTTCCCCTGCCCCCAGCGCCTAGGCCAAGGAGAATTCCCAGCCCTGTTGCGAATCCTTTCTTGGTTCCCGCGTGAGATTGAGCGGGGTGCCACTGAGTGAGCTCCAGATCGACGCTGAGCCTCGGGGGATGTATTGGCGCTTCCTGCTCTCCGTAGCAAGTCGTCATCCAGCAGAACCTCGGGACGACACTTCGGTTTCTATGACAACCAAGGTAAACGTTTCTTTCCTGGCGGCAGACACACATCGCAAGGATATTTACAGAGCGGACAGCTGGAATAGCTGTAGGAACGTCAAGACTAGTAGGTGTCTGCTATCGATGTGACTGTGTCGGGGGCGGGGGGGAGGTGAGGGCGTATGTGTGAGGATGTGTGTCTGTGTGTGTGTGTGTGACGGTGTGTGCGTGTGTGGGTGTGTGTGTGAGGATGTGTGTGGACATGTGTGTATGTGTGTGCGCGCGTGTGTGTGGATGTGTGTGTGTTTGGGGGTGTGTGTGTGGATGTGTGTGGATGCGTGTGCATGTGTGTGCGTGTTTGTATGTGAGGATGTGTGTGTGAGGATGTGTGTGTGTGAGGATGTGTGTGTGTTTGGGGGTGTGTGTATGGATGTGTGTGTGTGAGGAAGTATGTGTCTCTGTGTGTGTGTGAATGTGTGTGGCATTGAGTTGACTGTCCTGACTCACTGTCCTGAGGTGACACCTGTTGAGCCAGAGCATTGTCACCCGAGTCAGTCCTTTAAAGCAGAGATCCACAAGGATTTCTGAACTCAAAGGAATGTCGCAGGTCTCCTTCAGGATGGAAATTTGCTCGCCTCCTCATTGTAAGAACGTACGATGCATACATTAGGAGAGGGAAATCTGATGCCGGCAAATGAGGAGCTACCATGGGTAGGACTGGAAGGCCTCCTGTCACTTTGAGCAGGCCGGGACTCATGCTGGGCTCATCCTGCGTAGCTGACCCTTGAGACCCATGTTCTGTAAAAGGTGAATTTCCTGGTCTCACTCCGCTAACTACGATGAGGTGAATTGAGTGAAAATCAGTGAGGGCCCCTTCTCGATGACAGAAGCGAAAAACACAGGCTCCTTCACCAGGGCGGGCCATTGTGTTCCTATTGTCTACCAAACGGCTCTGCTCTCCAGGTCGGAGAGCGGTGCAATTGTTCACTAATTGCATCCTCTACTGATGCATGCAATTAGTGAACAGAATAAGGGGAAAACTGGACCGATACCAATTCTCACCCAATGGTGCTACAAGTGCACTGCAAACCCTAGGAAAGCGTAGACCTGTCTCTAAAGTTACGTTGAAAGTTTATGTGCAATTCACCAGCGCAAACGGAAGGTGTAGGAATACACAAGAATGTACTTCCTTTAGAGAAACCATTTAATACACGGTGCCTTTATTGTACTAAAGGATGCCGCCAGCTCATCCTTTGAAGGAAACACCTGTTTGGGGGAAGGTCTAAAATCACACACCCAGCAGCCGACGGGAGCTCCACAAAGCTCTGGTAATGCTAGGGAGGGGTGCTGGAGGGAGGATGCATGCCTCTCGGTGGGAGGGGGACCACGTCAGGAAACGGACCCCACTTTGAGAAGAGCTGCTGAGGACTGTGTTCTTTTACTTGTTCCTAAAAAGTAAATGAACCCTCACTTGAGAAAGGAATTAACACAGGGCTTCCAAAATAATTATCCCCCAAATCATGGCTGTCGTTGGGAGAAATAAAAGCTCACGGTCTTCTAGTTCCTTCATCCCTCAACTAAAGAGCAAATGGAATAGAATAAAAGTTATATACCAAAAATAGAAAATGCTCTACTGATAATGTCTTTAGGGACCTAAAATGGACTGTGATGTTATAGATTGTAGACTCACTATTTATCCTGTCTTCCTTTTATGTTCATCTGCTTAGTCTCATTGTGCAGGTGGTGTTTGATTTCATTTTGAAGTAAAATATTCAACACATTGTCCTACTCACTCAATAGTCTGAGAACTTGGGTTCACTCACAAAACTGAGTTGGGCTTAGTGAATGTTCCCTTTTTATCTCATAGATCCCGGTATGCGGAAGTAGATCAATATTTGCACATCGTGATCTAGCTGGATCTGCAATATAGACAGGTAAAGGTAAACCTAGACAGACATAGATGTAGACCTGTCTAGCTATCTTGCTCTATCTCTAGCCACTCTGCTGTCCATCCATCATCTCTCTGTCTTCATCCATCTCTATCTTTATCTCTATCCATCCATCTATCACCTATCTATTCTTATCATTCTTCATATCTATCAAGCCGCTATCTTCTATAAAATTATATTTATCTATCTCTATATCCAACTGTCTTTCTCTCTATATATCTCTTCATCATCTGTCTCCACCATCTATGTCTCTATCTCTGGCTCTCTATTATTCTGAATATCTATAGACCTTCTAGCTAATATATATCTTTATCTATCTCTATCTTTTATCCATCTATTTTTATCTATCCCTATGAGTCATTCAACCTCATCAATCTATATCCATCTCTACCTGTATGCATCCATCTATCTATCTGTCTATCCATCTGTCTATCCCCCATCTACCTGCCTACCTACCTACCTACCTCTCTCTCTCTCTCTAGAGGGAGGGAAAACAATTGTGTTTCCCTTAGTACAAAATATGGGGAGAAAGTCACCAGCAAGACTATATGCAAACCCTTGATAGAAGGTATTTGGGCGATGGGCCAACGCATGTGGTGAGAGAACATTTCATATTTTGATTTCACACACTTCCCTTCTGATGATCTCTCTTAAGGAGGCATGGCTTTGGCCATCCGAACTTAGCTGCAATGGATATTTTGGAGGTCTGTAGGAGGCAGTCCCTTAAACTGTTTCACACCTGTAAAGATGTTGCCAGATGCCAATACTGAAGAATATTCAAATGGCTGTGCAAACTTTAAGCTTTTAAATATCTTGTAGAAATATACATGTATAAACAGGACAAAAATTCTGGAGTGTGTGGACTCATATACTTGCAATAAGCATTTCTGGGTGATGGGATTGCTGATGCTTACTATATTTCCTATTTAGAAATTTTAGACATCCCTTTAGATGTTTCCCTGTCTATGTTTAAAATAAGAAACTAAATGGAGAAGAAAACAGCATTTGTACTGGAAGCAGAAACATTTGCAGGAATGTGTAGAGGCAGTGAGCATGGATTCTATGCATCAATGCCAGGCTCCTTGAGTTTCCAACGTGTGTGTGTGTGTGTGTGTGTGTGTGTGTGTGTGTGTGTGTGTGTGTGGAGAGAGAGAGAGAGAAAGAGAGAGAGGAAGAGAGGAGAGACTCTGCATTTGGGGATGTGGGTAGGCATTGACTTGGGCTTGAGGGTGCCCAGTCACACCTGTTTTGTGACATGGGCTGGCAGGTCCAGTTAAGGGGAGATTGAAGTGCCAGGGTCATTGGTGATTCCTTCTCACTTTTGTTCGGGGTCCTCAGTTGACACTTGTGCTTGACAACCCAGTACTCTGAGTTCTCTAAAGAAGAGGGCATTAAACCTGTACGTTCATATACCCTCGTCTAAGAAAGGTTTTGTACAACTTTTCCCTAAAGTATGTATATCTCATCATCATTATACATTTCATATTACATCTACCAGTGCCCGTGAACAAAGACACACATACATGCATTTATTAAGAAAATAATTATTGGCCTATGAAACCTGTAATTTGAAGTCCACAATGCATGAGCTAAAATATGTAAGTGAGCTATGATACCCAATGTTGCACAGTACCAAATATTGTACAATGGCTATAGAAAACAACAACAGGCTAGCAGAGTATTTCGATGTGGAAGGTGGGAAGTGAAGGATTGACAAAAGAGTTGCATCTTCGGTGCACGTTTCTATAATATGGGACATTTCATTAAATAAAGTTTGGAACTAGCAGGGAAACCTCACTGTACAGACGTTCACACAAATGAGGTAGGAACACGGGCATTCACAAGACAATGTATCCAGTTATGCTCTTAGGTTAGGAGCTCCAGTTGAAGATGATATGTGCATGTGTGTGTGCACATTGGCGCATCGGCAATGCCTTGGAAGCGGGCACATTATCATGTAGACTGAGATTCTGTGACGTGATGTCCTTTCACATGTCTGTCTACACATCTCATATTCTATGCTAACCCATTTCATGTTATTTGAGAATCAGAAAAACACAATAACATGACAAGACTCACCTGTCATGTTTCCTCATTTTATCAATCTCGTTGAGCACATTTCATTTCTCTCTCTCTCTCTCTCTCTCTCACACACACACACAGAGAGAGAGAGAGAGAGAGGAGAGAGAGAGAGAGAGAGACTGCTAACATGGAATCCTTCTGTCTTAGGGGGATGCTCTCGGGAAAGCACTAGTTCCCAAGGTTCTGAAATGGAAAAAGACTAGCATACGCTAAGTGGCATAACAGGGAAATTGTTTGAGATGCAAAAGAAGGCAGAAAACAAAGATGACAACTACGTGATGCCTGAGATGAAGACGTCAGTTCTGTTTCAAAAGGGCATGCATTCAAGAGTTGGGGAGGGGAACAGGATAAATCACTTGATTGGCTTAATTTCCTATCTGTGTTTGTGTTTCCAGGTTGACATTAGGAGTGCATAGGTCCTGAGCATCTACACGCGGTGCCACTGGGTCGCCAGAAGAACAGCGCACTTCAGGGGCACAGAGTGGGGTTGAAGGGTCTGCACACCAGCGCTTGCAGTGTGAGCAGCAAGAGATCCAGCTCACAGAACCAAACCTGCTGCGATCCATGTGACACTGGGTAAGATTTCCCCATTTACTAAACATTCACTTGCATTCACCTCACGCTGACATTTCACAGTGGAATTTTCCTTGCCCATCGTTGTACAGACACTTGTTTTCAGGATAAGAGTCACTGATTTGGTGTCGGCAGGCAAAAGTTTAAAACCACGGTAGAGAGGTGCAGATGGCAGCCAGTGACCGCTGCCTGCAGCGATCCTCACGACCGATGGTAGCCAGTAATCACCAGGATGATCGCCACGCAGCTCTGGGTTCTGGGTGCTCTTGCACATGACATGGTGCCGACACCCAGCATCTGCATGTGGGAGACCTCCTCGGGCTTCCTGGGAAGCACAGGTCCATACTAGCACCCTAGAAATAAAAACATGAAGCATTTCCCCAGGTTTCCGCCCAAGGAGCCCAAAGGCACAGAATACTCAGTAAGAAACGTGGGGTCCCTGCTGGTACACCCACCTCCCCATGCAGGTGCTCCTCAAGACGGAATTGTTAAAATTAGGAGAAGGCCTTGGGTTTGCTGTGTAATAAAGCTTCTGTGGACCTTCTGTATGATCCCAAATACTTGCCATCTGTCTATCCCTCTGTCTAAGACTCACTTGTCACGTTTCCTTATTTTATCAACCTCACTGAGCAGGGTGCTTCGCGTTTCACGAAAGGATGCTTTCCTGATACATTTCCGCTCTCCCTTTACCATGTTGCAGCATACTCCAGAATTGTCCATTGGAAACACGAGTTCAAGTGCCTCAGGGAGATTCAGGAGGAGGAACACAGCCCACCCACACTGCACCCCCTTTGCAGTCTGAAGGCAAGGGATGCTCTGAAGAGCAGCTTGGTTTAGGAGAGACCTACGGTAGCAGAGGGTGTGGCAGGCAGACCCCTCGGCCTCCCTTAGCTACCTTTTCCCAGCTCATCATGGACTCGGAGTACGTCCTATGCTCTTGGAAAGGCCGACTATGGCCAGCAAAGGTTTTGTGCACACGTGGGACTTCACCAAAAACGAAGCCTGAAAAGGCGATTTCTCTAGAAGTTCAAATCCTCGCAGTAGATGAAAAAATCAAGGTGAAAAGCACAGACGTGAAGACCCCAACTAAGTTTGAGATGGAAGACATTGCCGCCTCTGCAGCAGCACAGACGAAGCTCGGTGCCCCACTCAGAGAGAAGATGGGGTACAGAGGAACCCTTCGGGTGGCCCTGGAGATTCTGAAAGAGAGAACAAATCTGGGTGGAGGAAGGAAACCACATGAACTAGAGAGCACCACACCCTCTCAGCTTTCTCAAAAGGTGCCCGAAAAGCCAGCCAGTTCTGTCCCTCGTGAAGATGACTGGAGATGCAAAGGCGACCTAAGGAGGAGTCTTGGGAAGAGGGAAAACCCAAGCTCACCGACGGTCCCTTCAGAGAGTAAGCGTGCCCTGCGGGATGACAGGTCGCAGGAGCCCACAGCCATTGCCCCTACTCCAGGCGCCCTGCCCGGGGACAGGTCAGGGGCGCCCAGGGCCATTGCCCCTACTCCAGGAGCCATGCTCAGTGGCAGGTCACGGGCACGCAGGGCCATTGCCCCTACGCCAAGCGCCCTGCGAGGTTACAGGTCTTGGGCGCACAGGGCCATTGCCCCTACCCCAGGCTGCCTGTACAGTGACAGGTCACGGGCGCACAGGGCCATTGCCCCTGCTCGAGGCACCAAGCATGGTGGCAGGTCATGGGCATGCAGGTCCATTGCCCCCAAACCAGGCTCCCTGTGCGGGGACAGGTCACAGGCGAGCAGGGCCATTGACCCTACCTTAGGCGCCAGGCGCGGTGGCAGGTCACGGGCCCACAGAGCCATTGCCCCTACTCCAGGCTCCCTGTGCGGCAACAGGTCACGGGCTTGCGGAGCCATTGCCCTTACTCCAGGTGTCCTGTGCGGTGTCAGGTCACGGGTGCCAAAGGACATTACCCCTACTCCAGGCGCCCTGCGAGGTTACAAGTCATGGGTGTGCAGGGCCATTGCCCCTACTCCAGGTGCCCTGCGCGGAGACAGGTCAGCAGCACGCACGGCCGTTGTCCGTACTCCAGGTGCCCTTGGCAGGGACAGGTCACGGGCACGCAGCGCCATTGCTTCTACTCCAGGGACCCTGCAGGGAAACAGGTCATCTGTGTCCAAGGCCATTGCCCCTACTCCAGGTGCCCTGCGTGGAGACAGGTCAGCAGCGCGCACGGCCTTTGTCCCTACTCCAGGCGCCCTTCACAGGGACAGGTCACGGGCCCGCAGCGCCATTGCTTCTACTCCAGGGACCCTGCGGGGAAACACGTCATCTGCGTGCAAGGCCATTGCCCCTACTCCAGGTGCCCTGCGAGGTTACAAGTCATGGGCGCGCAGGGCCATTGCACCTAACCCAGGTGCCTGGCGCGGTTACAGGTCAACGACAGGCACCGCCATTGCACCTAATCTGGGCGCCCTGGGCGGCAACAGGTCAGCGGCACGCACGGACATTGCCCCTACTCCAGGCGCCCTGCGAGGTTACAGGTCATGGACGCGCAGGGCCATTGCCCCTACTCCAGGCACTCTGAGCAGTTACAGGTCACGGTCCCGCAGGACCATTGCCTCTACTCCAGCCACCCTGCGTGGTGAAAAGTCACGGGCGCACACCAGCCTTGCCCCCACCCCAGGTGCTTTGCGCGGTGACGGTTCACGAGCACGCAGGGCCATTGTCCCTACTACATGCCCATTGTGCGAGATATGGTCACGGGTGGGCATAGGCATTGCCCCTATTGCAGATGCCCTGCGCCGTGACAGGTCACCAGTGCGCAGGGCCATTGCCCCTACTCCAGGCACTCTGAGCGGTTACAGGTCACGGGCACGCACGGCCATTGCCCCTACTCCAGGCACCCTGCGAGGTTACAGGCCACGGTCCCGCAGGGCCATTGCCTCTACTCCAGCCACCCTGCGTGGTGAAAAGTCACGGGCGCACACCAGCCTTGCCCCCGCCCCAGGTGCTTTGCGCGGTGACGGTTCACGAGCACGCAGGGCCATTGTCCCTACTACATGCCCATTGTGCGAGATATGGTCACGGGTGGGCATAGGCATTGCCCCTATTGCAGATGCCCTGCGCCGTGACAGGCCACCAGTGCGCAGGGCCATTGCTCCTACTCCAGGCGCCCTGCGCTGTGACAGGTCACGAGAGCTCACAGCCATTGATCCTACTCCAGGAGCTCTGTGCAGTGACAGGTCAGGGGCAAGCAGGGCCATTGCCCCCACTCCAGGCACTTTGTGCAGTGAAAGGTCCCGGGTGCGCAGGGCCATTGCCCCTACTCCATGCGCACTGTGCGGGAAGGGGTCACAGGTGGGCATGGGCGTTGCCCCTACTCCAGGTGCACTGCGCAGGGACAGGTCACAGGCAGGCAGGGCCATTGCACCTACTCCATCCGCACTGTTCAGGGTTGGGTCACGGGTGGGCACAGGCATTGCCCTTCCTGCAGGTGCCCTGCACCGTGACAGGTCACCGGTGCGCAGGGCCGTTGCTCCCACTCCAGGCACCCTGCACTGTGACGGGTCACGAAAATGCACGGCCACTGGTTCTACTCCAGGAGCCCTGCCCGGCGACAGGTCAGGGGTGAGCAAGGCCACTGCCCCTGCTCCAGGCGCCTTGTGCAGTGAAAGGTCCCGCGCACGCAGGAGCATTGCCCCTACTCCATGTTTACTGTGCGGGGACAGGTCATGGGTGGGTATGGGCATTGCACCTACTCCAGGCGCCCTGCTTGGTGGCAAATCAAGGAAATGCAGGGCCATTGCTATTACTCCCGGCGCCCTGCGTGGTGGCAGGTCACAGAAACGCAGGGTCGTTGCTCCTACTCCAGAGGCCCTGCACGGTGACGGGTCATGGACTTATATGGCCATTGCTCCTACTCCAGGTGCCCTGCACGGTGACAGCTCACCAGCCCACACGTCCATTATTCCCTCTCCAGGCGCCCTGCATGGTGACGGGCCACCAGCGCACATGGCCTTTCCTTCTACTCCAGGCACCCTGCATGGTGATGCCTCTCACGCACACATGGCCATTGCTCCTACTCCAGGCACGATGCGCGGTGACAGCTCAACAGCGCGCACGGCCACTGCCCCATCTCCAGGGGCCCTGCGAGGTGACAGGTCATGGAAACGCAAGGCCATTGCTTCTACTCCAGGTGCCCTGCATGGTAACAGGTCTGACAGGTCACGGAAATGCAAGGCCATTGCTTCTACTCCAGGCACCCTGCACGTTGAGAGGTCACCAGCACTCAGGGCCATTGTTCCAACTCCAGGCACCCTGGGCCGTGACAGCTCACCAGGGCGCACGTCCATTATTCCTTCTCCAGGCGCCCTGCATGGTGACAGGTCACCAGCACACCTGGACATTGCTTCTACTCCAGGCGCCCTGCACGGTGACAGCTCTCAGGCACACACGGCCATTGCTCCTACTCCAGGCACCATGCGCGGTGACAGCTCAACAGCTCGCATGGCCATTGCCCCATCTGCAGGGGCCCTGAGAGGTGACAGGTCATGGAAACGCAAGGCCATTGCTTCTACTCCAGGTGCCCTGCGTGGTAACAGGTCTGACAGGTCACGGAAACGCAAAGCCATTGCTTCTACTCCAGGTGCCCTGCTCGGTAACAGGTCTGACAGGTCACGGAAACACAAGGCCATTGCTCCTACTCCAGGTGCCCCGCGCATTGACAGGTCACCAGCATGCAGGGCCATTGCTCCTACTCCAGGCGCCCTGGGTGATGACAGCTCAACGGCCATTGCCCCTACTCCAGGGACCCCGCGAGGTGACAGTTCGCCAGCAAACACGGCCATTGCTTCTACTCCAGGCGCCCTGCACGGTGACACCTCTCAGACACACAAGGCCATTGCTCCTACTCCAGGTGACCTGGGCGGTGGCAGCTCATCAGCGCACAAGGCCATCACTCCTTCTCCAGGTGCCCTGCATGGTGACAGGTCACCAGCACACACGGCCATTGCTTCTACTCCAGGAGCCCTGCATGGTGACAGCTCCCAGGTGCACACGACCATTGCTCCAACTCCAGGCGCCCTGCGCGATGACAAGTCATGGAAACGCAAGGCCATTGCTCCCACTCCAGGCACCCTGCACTGTGACAGCTCACGAACGTGCACCGCCTTTGCTCCTACTCCAGGCGCCCTGCATGCTGACAGGTCACCAGCGCACCAGGACATTACTCTTACTTCAGGCGCCCTGCACTGTGACAGCTCAAGAGAAAGCAGGGCCGTTGCTCCTATTCTAGGCGCCCTGCACCGTGTCGGCTCTCAGGCACACAAGGCTATTGCTTCTACTCCAGGCCCTCTGCGCGGTGACAGCTCACCATTTCACACAGCCATTGCACCTATGCCAGGGGCCCTGCATGGTACCAGGTCATGGAAACGCGAAGCCATTTCTCAGACTCCATTTGTCACCCTGTGTGGTGACAGCTCAGGAGAACGCATGGCCATTGCTCCTACTCCAGGCGCCCTGCACAGTGACAGGTCACAGACACATACGGCCATCGATCCTACTCCAAGTGTCCTGCGCAGTGACAGCTCACCAGCGTGCATGGCCATTGATCCTACTCCAGGTGCCCTGGGCAGGGACAGGTCACAGGCGCTCATGGCCATTGCTCCTACTCCAGTTGGAATGCAAGCACATGTGTTGCAAAGCCCCCGAGCCTGCCAGGATTCCCTGACGCTTTCGCGGCATGTTTGTGAGAAAAAGGGGAAGAAAAGGGCAAACGCCTCGACTCTTATGTCCCTGCCTCCCACAGTAACGGAGGAGGGTGCATCTCTGCCTCCAGGTCTCACCAGCCCTGCACCCCCCGCTCTGAAGGAAGAGACACAGGACAGCCGCCCGAAGAAGGCCCTGGCTGCATCCCCGGAAAGTTCTCCCTTCTCGGGAAACATTCAGGACCCCGGAGAGGGTGCCTGGAAGCCAGGCTGGGCAGGTATGGCTGCATCCTCTGGGTCCCGTCAGCACAGGCTGCCTTCTTCACTCCGGCTTGCCAATAGAAAAAGGAAGCGTCCAGGTCCAGATTTTCAGAGGAGACCTCAAGGACCTCAGACGCCTGGTGACGCTAAGCTTGCTAATCCTGTCACCACCATTCAAAGGGCTGGCGGTAAACAGGATGGGCAGCCCCCCAGCCTTGCTTTTCCACAGGAGCCACATCCCATCGAAAGGGGAACGATGGTCTGGTTCAAATTTCAAGATCATCCGTTTTGGCCAGCAGTGGTCAAGAGTGTCAGCAACACAGACAAGACCGCGAGGGTGCTCCTGCTTGAGGCCAACCTGCACCATGGAAAGCGGGGCATTCAAGTTCCTCTTCGAAGGCTGAAGCACCTGGATTGTAAGGAGAAAGAGAAACTGCTGAAGAGAGCCCAGAAGGCCTACAAGCAAAGCGTCAACTGGTGCTTCTCACTGATCTCCCACTACAGAGAAGGACTGGTCCGGGGTTCTTTCCGGGGCTCTTTCCTGGACTATTATGCCGCAGACATCAGCTACCCAATCAGGAGAGCCATCCAAGAGGGAGACCTGCAGATTGACTTTCCAAAGGTGAATTATGGCGACCTGGAAGACTGGGAGGAGGAGACCTCCCTGGGCGGGAAGAGGCCTTGCAAGAAAATCCTCCCGGACCGGATGAGGGCCTCTTGGGACCGAGACAACCAGAAGCTCGTGGACTTCATCGTGAGGAGAAAGGGGGCCGACCCCCACCTTCTGGACATCTTGCAAGGCAGGAAGCAGTCCAGGTGGCTGACCGCGTTTCTGAAGCCACACAGGGATTTGCACTGCATTGAAACATACCTGGAGGATGACGATCAGTTGGAAGTCGTGGCCAAGCATTTACAAGAAATCTACAAGCAAATTGACAAGGCCAGGCTGACTCTGATAAGGGATGACAAAGTCAATTTTGTTCTGGAAGTTCTTCTGCCGGAAGCCATGATTTGTACCATCGCCGCACTTGATGGGCTGGATTACAAGGCAGCAGAGGAGAAGTACCTGCGAGGACCACCTGTGCATTACCGGGAGAAAGAGCTGTTTGACAGAAATATCTTAAAGAAGGCAAGAAGAGAACCAGCAACCACCCATACAGCTAATTAGCTCCCGCCTGCCTCCCCCGCACCCATACCTTCCCAGGGAGCTGCCTCCTTTCTAGAATTAATGAGGAAGCCTCCTCCCTTCCCCAACGCGTGTAAGTATGTTCTGGATATTCGAGACTTTGGGAATGTGAGGAATTCATTTGGGGCCCATCTCTCGCATGTGCTGGTGGCACATTCATCACCAGGTCTTCATCGCAAACTCGTGAAGAGCTATTTTGTTAAACGATTGCAACCCCTTGCGATTCCCTCAACGTCTTTGGATGTGTAGTTGTCCCGATAGGTTTGAAAGACAAGAGCATTGATTTTCATAACGTGTCTTTTGACTGGACTTGGTACTTTCACTTAGGACCTATATTCTTTTACACAAAAAGCCACTGGTATCAGCTTTTAAACAACAATAATTTTTAAAGCCTAATGTATATTTTTATGGAAACGTCAGTGAGACTTTTCATTCTTTTGGCGATACGTGGATAGAAACCATCAGATTCCTCTTTCAGATAATTCCTGCCTTTTCCCTGCTAGGCTTGTTTATTTTTTGAAAAGTAGCCCCGAGAGTTGAATCCCATGAGAGAGTCATTTTCTCCTATGTTAACACGACCTTCCGATACTTTTTCAAAAAGCAAACTGCAGGCCAAACATGAAGTTACCGAATGGCTTGCACGTAGTCCATATGTGCTTGAGTGAAATCTCAGTGTGCAGTGAGCGTCTTGTCAGCCTCATGCAAGATTGTCGCTCTGCATTTCCCTGAAATTCCACACCCTCCTTCAACGGCTGAACTGTTTCCTAGAACAGGCTTCAGGCTGTCTTCATAACTGACAGTGATGGATCTTCTCCCTCTAACTGTCGGTCCCCTGTGGAGGGCAGCTAGAGCCATCTCCTTCTTGGCCTGGCTTCTCTCCACCTGTGTGGCTGGCCCAACTGCTTAGGAGCCCGTCTACCTGCCCGTAAACTGGAGTAAAGCCAGCTCCTTGTTCTGGATCCAGAATCCCCCAAGACGTGGCCATTTGTCTCAATGTCACCAAGCTTCATCTTCCAACTTATTCACGGGCCGGCTCCAACAGGTCCCAACAATCTAGACACAGGCTGGTAAGCCATTCCCGGCTGCTAGAGGCGCCAGGGCTGGGAGTTGGAAAAATGGGTCACAGGGGCAGCCTTCATTCCGCTAAGTGGGGCCGGCCCTTGGTGGAATAATATTAAACAGATGCAATTCAGACCTAAGTTGTGAAGCCCACAGATTGCTAGGCTAACTTGAAACAAGATGGTTTTTGAGGATAAGTGTTATGGAAAAGCCAGTTTGTTTTTCAAACTTGATGCTAAAATAAACGTGAAGGCCTTCACATGAACCTGAGTCCTTTTTTAGTTCTTAGAGGAAGTCACCTGTTCTCATGAGACCATGTTATGTGTTCACATGGCCATGTGTTGGGGCGACATTGGCAGAGGAGCTGTTTGGAGTCACCTTAAAACCACTGTGTCTCCCACCTTGAACTTCAGCTGTGTCATGCTTGAGATTGTCCAAATCCATAGGTGGAAGGTCTAGGAAATATATAGACACACTTCCAAAGCAATAATAGCTTGGAAATTCTGACGAAATTTTAGAAGAGAGCCTTCCAAGTGGTGTATACATCAGACCCGACGGAACCCTCTCTAGACTCTGCCTGAGTGTGACCAAGACTCCTGGGCACACTGCCTGGGCAGTCCATGTGACATCCTCATGGCCCCGGCAATTATTTGGAAACAGATCGTCTCCGTGCTGTGTGTGGACCTCACACACCGAGACAACACACTTTAGTTACTCCACAACACTGTCTCCCCGAGTCCAACATATCACCTGAGTTCAGCTTTCTCATGGAGCCATGTTTATCTCTAGCTTCTAATATTACTTTCCTACCCCATTCATTCATTCCTGACCTCATGCTAGATCGGGAGAGCAAGTGAGGTGTGGTTGAAGGCTCTGCTCTGAAGACCGACTTCAGGTGACATAGAAACAGACGGGAATGTGGTGACTCAGGTGACAACCTAATCTTTAAGGTAACAAGGATGCACTGCTTCCCTCTGTCAGTGAGAAATTCTCACCAGTGTCATGGGCCGACGGCCTGTTTTTGAGAGCACAGCCCCAGGTTCACCCAACTATGTGAGGTCATAGGTGCCTGTTGGCTTGGGGTGAAGGGAGGAGACCTGGTCTCTCTTGGATGTCACTGACACCTGGGGCATCCACTGAAGAGAGGCAGACATGCCTCGGACATGCATCTATTCTCCTCCTCCTTGAATCAGGGTCACTGAAAGGCATCCGGGGCACGTGTGTGGGTTGAGGGATATATAGACTCTGAGATCCTTTCCAGCCTGAGCAGGTGCTGCGGCCCCTCCATGATTGCCCTCAGCTGGACCTCCATCACAGGTGCCTGTGTGTTTGATGACAGAGCCCAGCCTGTCACCCACCCTGGCCCGCTAGGTTAAGGTGACCTCCTCTTCTCCAGTCAGAAGGAAGACTGCTGCCCATCAGGCCCTGATCTTAACTGTTGCTTGGCAGAGCTGCACACACAGAGACGGCTCACACCACATTCGTAGGTCTCTATATCCAAGTAAGCAACTGATGGGGAAAGAGGGGAACCCTCAGATTTGTAAGAGTGATGCCCATGAGAATTTTGAATACCTAGAATCTCCTGAACCCTCACCCTGGCATTAGCAACCACCTAACCCTTGCTAATTGGGGAGCAATCCCCTTATTCATGGAGGCTCTGTAAAGACCTCGTCCAAGGGAGCTGCCGTAAAGGAAGTTGCCTTCGAGCCTGTAATTCCAGCACACTGAGAGGCCGAAGCAGGAGCATCGCTTGGATCTAGGAGTTGGAGACCAGTCTGGGCAACATAGTAAGACTCTGTCTCCACAATAATAAACATTTAAAAACTACACAGGCGTGGTGGTATGTGCCTATAGTCCCAGCTACTCGGAAGGCTGAGGCGGGAGGATTGCTTGAGCTCAGGAGGTTGAGGCTGCAGAGAGGTATGATGGCACCCTCGCACTCCAGCCTGGGAGACAGAGCAAGACCCAGTCTCTAAGAAAAAAAATTGCTTGTCTTACCTAACATCCATCCCGCTAACTTTCATCGCTCTGACAAGCGCGAAGTTTGAATAGGAAAGATCACAGCACAGAAGAGAAATACGGTTTCTGTTTGGGTGGGAAATACCTCATATTCAGATAAGCTGCAGAAGCTGGCTAGTTCGCCTTGGCATGACCTGGGACAGCATAGGTGGGAATGGATTTTGGGCATGCGGAACCAGCAAGACAGCAGACAGAATACAGTTCAATATAGGGGAGAGTGTATTTACGTGGGAGCACGGAGCTATAAGGTGGGGTTCCCTGTCTTGGGGCTGGCCTCAGATCCTGCTGGGCTGGCAGCTTCACGTTTGGACAACAGCCTACAGTAAATGACATGGAGTTATGGGAACTGCCTTGGCAGAATATTGACCAATTGGTGAAAGGGTTGAGCGGAGAGCAGTATTAGATGTGATTCATTATGTGAGACCAGTGGCCCTACCTGTGAATGTTGTCCCCTTCGAGGGCTGAGAAGACACTCTAAAATGAGGAATTTGCTAGTGGGGTGGCCCCGGCATCTTTGAGAGCCTCTGCTTTGACTCCTCTCAAAACAATGGTTGGAAGCAAGCGACGCCGCCATGGAACTGGCAGGCAATGAGAGGATTCTCAAATGGCAGGGTCCAGACGGTGACACAAAATTACCAGGGCTCAGGTGGGCACCACTGTCGTACTGGGCAGCACAATCAGGGTGGGGTCAGGCTCATTTGATGAACAGGGACCTGTGGCAACGTTACAGATTGTAGTATCTCAGGGCCTGCATGTAAGGACAGCTGACTGGACTATTACTTGATTTTTATTAAAAGAATAACATGAGCTGGCAAGCAGAAGGCTGATGTTAGCAGCTGCCGTGGAAAACTGTGGTCCCCCACCGAGGGTCCAGATCTGTCAGTTCATAGGCCCAGAGCTTATTGATGGAAGTGGAGGTCAGAAACACTCAGCCACACATTCTCCCAGAAAACCTGTGGCTATTTACCAACATAAATAATGCAGTTCTGTCTAAAGTTCTTCTAACCGGGGATCCGATAGTTCTTTGGACCCATCCCAAGTTTGTTTCCCTCAGGACCTAGTTGTCAGTGATGTACTTTGGATGTTGCATCATCTTCATGTTGGTTCAAGCAACATTACATAGAAAGGTACATATGGGAGCCTACTAAGCTGCTCCCTCTTTACAATACAGGAACAAAGAAGTAATACCACTTCTATAGTGAAAACGAAGAGAAGACCCAAATTTCTAAATCAGAAATGAAAGCAAGGACATTGCTACTTACCTTACAGGGATTAAAAAAAAAGACTCTAAGAGTGTATCATGAGCAATTTTACATTAAGAATGAATCTAGAGGAAACAGACAAATTATTAGAAGCACACAACTAACAAACTGGCTCATAAACAAAGAGAAATTCTCTATAGACCTATAACAAGTGAAGAGATTGGTTTTGTTATCAAAAATCTCAGAACAAATAAAAGCCCAGCACCAAGTGGCTTCACCAGTAAACTCTACCACACCTTTAAAGAAGAATTAACATAACTCCTTCTCAAACTCTTCCAAAAAATAAAAGAGGAGGGGAGTCTTCCCAACTCCTTCTATGAGGCCAACATTACCATGACACTAAAGGAAGAAAAAGACACCATAGGAAAACTACAGGCGATGACCCTTATGAAAACAAAGTTTAAAAATCCTCAAAAAAATGCTAGCAAATACAGGAGGCTGAGGCAGGGGGATATCCTGAGCCCAGGAGTTTAAGACTGCAGTAAGCTATGATGGTACCACTGCAGTCCAGCCTGGGTGACGGAGTTAAATGCCATCTCCAAAGAAAAAAAAAGTAATAGCAAACAAAATTGGGCAGCATAGTAACAGGGTTATGCACCACGACCAAGTGAGATTTATTGCAAGTGAGATCAGTGTGAGGGTGGTCCAACACGAAAATCAGACAACGTAATACACCACATTAATAAAATGAAGGAAACAAACCACGTGATTATCTCAAATGGTGTGGAAAAAGCATCTGAGAAAATCAAACACTCTTTCATGATAAGGACACTCAGAAAAATAAGAAGAGAATTTCCTAAACATGAAAAGGGTCATTCATGAAAAATCCACAGCTAAAATCACGCTCGATGGTGAAAAAATAAAAGCTTTCTCCCTAAGATCATGACCAAGACAAGATGTTCACTTTCACCACTTCTAGTCAACAGTTTACTTGAAGTTGTAGCCAAAGCAATTAGGCAAAAAAAAAAAAAAAAGAAAAGAAAAGAAAAAGAAACAAAAGACATCCAATTTGGAAAAGAAGAAATAGAATGACCTAGACCCATAGATGGCATGTTCTTATATATAGAAACTCCCAAAGAATCCACCAAACAAAGCCATCAGAGCTAATGACAAAGTCAGCAAAGTTATAGGATACCAGGTCAATATGCAAGATCCATTTGCATTTCCACACATTATGAACAATTTGAATAGGAAATTAAGAAAACACTTCTATTTACGATAGCCTTAAAGAGAACAAAATACTCAGGAATAAATTTAGCCAGGGAGATGTACACTGAAAACCACAAAACACTATTGAAAGAAATAAAAGACCTAAACAAATGGAAAGCCATACTGTGTCCATGGACTGGAAGATGTAATGTTGCTATAATATAAAATTGTTATTGTTTAGGGAGATGAAAATACTCCCCCAATTTACCTACTTATTCCATGCAATCCCTCTCAAAATCCCAACAGCCCTTTGCAGAAATGGAAAAGCAGACCCCAAATTCCTATGGGATTGCAAGGGACTCTGAAACCAAAACAATCTTGGAAACAAACAACAAAGTTGGAGGACTCGCACTTCCCAGTTTCAAAACTTACTATGAGGCTATGGCAGTCAAGACAGTGTGGTACTGCCACAAATCTAGGCATACAAATCAATGGCATAGAATTGAGAGTGCAGAAATAAACACCTCCATGTTTGATCATTGATTTTCAGTAAGGCTGGCAAGGCTACCCAGTGGGGCAAAGGGTTTAGGTGTGTGATGAGCAATAAGGTTTCAGAGCAAGCCACTGGGCAGGGCAATGACATTCAGTGGAAGCCTGTCTACATTTGGTAGCCACTGTCTTGAGTAGGCACCCTCCTGAGGCTGCAGGGGAGGAATAGGTCTCCTCCTTGAACTGAAGTGAAGTCCACGCATCCTCCAGATGGGACAGCCTCCCAGTCTCATTTTGGAGAAGCCCAACAGAGCTCAGCATCCTGTTGCTGAGAGCCCCGTGTCCTGCCACAGACGGCCCCCCAGCCTTGCCGCCCGCCAACGTTCCTGGAAACTCCTTTCTGTACCTCCCTTGCATGCTGTCATGGAAACAGGACTTCCCCACCCCCACCCCCGGATACCGCATCCTCTGAGCCCTTTCCAGCAGGGCTATTCTTGTCCACCCTCCTTGGAGCACAGGGCCTGGAGGTGGCATAGGTGACCTCCTTGCTTCTCACAGTGGCTTCCACATCATTCTCCCTCAATCCTCCCTGAAAAATACCCAGTCCCTTTGAAGTGCATGCTCTCAGACTACACTGCTAGGATTACCAGATTTAGCAAATAAAAACACTGGAAGCCCAGTTAAATTCAAACATCCCATTAAGGATGGCTATCTTGAGTAGAAGGGGTCCCATGCATTTCCAAATTTAACTGGGCATGACCACTGCCCCTCCTCACGCAGGCCAGGCTCCTCAGCCCAGAGCATGGATGGCTCTTGCCCGTCTCCTTACGGTTCTACTCACCTAGTTCAGCCTCCACTTTGCAGATGCAATGAAACATTCAGGACGTGCACCAGAGTTGAAAATGGGACCCACTTTTTGTCCAGTCCTGTGTTTTGAGCCATCTCTCGGGATGCTGTCTGTGAACTGGAGCCCAGTCAGTATAACTCAACCATTCCTTCTTTTTCAAACCATGTAAATCATAGAGACCTCCCTTCTCCCGGCCCTTGACCCCATCAACAGCAGAAAGCGATACATCCAACTGGCTGTCCACCTCTTCCAGGAGAAGGTTCAGGCTAAGATCATTGTATGTTAGATACCCAGGCGTCATAGAAACCCAACACCCCCAGCCTGTTCTTCATCACCCAGACTCTTTTCTGCATAAAGCACCGCACGTGCTGCCCTTAATCTGGCTGAGATTCCCACTGCCCCTTGCTCATGCGTGTGCTGGGAAATGCTAGAGCCTGCCAGCCACAAACGCCTCTATCGTCACCTTCCACTGCGCCCTTCACCTGCCTCCATGCCTTGACTGTGTCGTCCCCACTGCAGCTCTCTTGGGCCCACTAATGGCTAGAGCAGCCTAAGTGGCTTCTGAAGGGGAGGGGAATGCTGGGGGGTGGTGGGGGCTGGACGGTGAAGCTGCAGAGGTCAGAAGGGCCTGGGGGCAGAGAGGGAGAGAGACGGCGGGAAGGAGAAGCAAGTGCCACACTCCCCTGCCTGCAGGTGGGCCCCATGGTGACTTGGGCCCCCAGCAGGCCTAGTGACAAAAGGCCTTCCAGGGCTCTTGGATAAACCTGCTCAGGGGTCGGGGGTGCGGAGGGTCAAGGAGACCTCGGGGAGGTGGGGGAGGCCTGTTTCTCTCATTTGTTACCAAGGAGGGGCCCCTGGCTTGAACGAGCCCTTGCTCCAGGAGACACGCACGTGGTGAGTGGGGCTGGTGGGCCAGTGTCTTCACAGACATCTCAGGGTGGAGTCAGCCCCTGTGCCAGCCACCAGGCACACAGAGAGGTAGGGGCCAATGCCCCCACTATCCAGGAGCCCACAGTCTCCCAGAGGAGACGCAAGGGAGGGCTCATCATCACCCTGAAGGTCTAAAGGCGCTGAAACAGACCGGACCCAATTAACTCTCAAATCTTCCCTCCAGGACAAAGGCCCCCACAGAGCAGAAACTTCTGGGAATAGAAGACAAGTAAAGCAAGACAGGCACAATAGGGGCAAAGAAAAGAGAAAGTCCGAATCACAATGGAGAGGGAGAACAAACGGAGAACGTACAATGGAAGGTAAACAGACAGATGGTCACAGTTCTCACAGTCACCAGAAGAGAGTGCCCTTCATACGCGAAATCAGAAAACCTAGCCTCTCCCACCCTTCCACAAGTGCAGAAGGACTGATTTCATGGGAAAACCAGTTGACAAGAGGATCAAAGGCAAATTTCGTACAAAGTTACTAAAAGAAAGAAGAGAATAAGGAGCGGAATAACATCCCTCCAAGCCCAAGCCTGGGCCTGACGGAGGCGTCCCTTAGCCCAGCACGTCCTCAGCCTTGGGGATCATGAACCCCTTTGAGAACCAGAAGGGGGAAGGGCCCTTCCCTGGAAACAGACATGTATGCACAAGACCCCTAGAAGGGTGCCTTCTCTGGCCGGGCAGTCACAGGCACCCTGGCCCCATCCATGGTCCCAGCTGGAGCCTGACTTCCGAAGGTGAGCTCTATGTTATTTCCATGATGATACTTTGTCATTGTAATAGGACCTGGGGAAGAATCAGAGCAAAACAATCAATCACTTTGTTTAGTAAAATAATTTTATTTTCTATTTCAAAGTTGGGGAGAGATTTGGTTATTTTTATTTTTATTTTAAAAAAGCAAGCAAATATTATGATGGCTCCTCACAAAATGAAACATAAAATTACCCAGCAACCCCACTTTTAGGTAATACCCCCCAAAATTGAAAGCAGAGTCAAAGGGGTTTTTGAACATCCATTTTGACAACATTTTATTATTATTATTATTATTATTTATTATTATTTGAGACAAGCTCTCACTCTGTTGCCCAGGCCCAAGTGCAGTGGTGTGGTCATGGCTAATTGCAGCCTCCACCTCCTGGGCTCAGGTGATCCCCCTGCCTCAGCCTCTCAAGTAGCTGGGACTACAGGCACGCATCACCACACCTAGCTACCCGTTTTATTTTTTGCAGAGAGGATGTCTCAGTATGTTGCCCAGGCTGGTCTTGAGCTCCTGGGCTCAAGGGATCCTCCCACCCCAGCCTCCCACAGTGCTGGGATGACAGGCGTGAGCCACCGCACCTGGCCGATAGCAGCACTATTCGCAGTAGCCAAAAGGTGAAAGCAGCCCAAGCTCCCATCCATGGATGGATACGCAAACGTGCTCCACGCACATGACAGAATACGATTCAGCCTTCGAAAGGCAGGAAATTCTGAGCCAAGCTACAAGGTGGATGACCCTTGAGGACATTATGCTAAGTGAAGTCGGCCAGATACAAAAAGACAAATACTGTAAGATTCCACTTCCATGAGGCCCTTAGAGTAGTCAAATTCAGAGACAGGAAGTAGAATGGTGGTTGCCTTGGGCTGAGGGGTGCGGGGAGTTGGTGCTGAACAGGGACAGGGCTTCAGTTTGGGAGGACAAAGATCTCCGGTGACAGATGGTGGTGATGGCTGCACAGCACCGTGAATGTGCTGAACGCCTCCTAACTGTCCATTTCAAAATGGTTAAAGTGGTATATTAAAGTGGTATGCTTTATGTGATGTGTATTTTACCACGATTAAAATTGTAGAAAGGAAAAGAAAAGCTGGCCAAGCATCTTAGTTTCGGCACACTGACACTCCATGTCACAGCCAGAACGAGGGACTTCCACCACCGGGATTCGAGAACCTGAAGACGCTGGCCACCAGAGAGAGTCACCAGGCGCCAATGTCTGTGGCCCGCGGCCCATCCCAGAGGCGAGGCTCTCGGTATCCAGGGCCAGCTCGACCTGTGGCCCGCAGCCAGCCTCCTGCAACCACAGGGAGGAACCAAGAGAGGCGGGAGGGCCTTCGGAAATAGGCACGTCACTGACCTGCTAGAAGTTACTTGAGCACATCCATTCCTTGGCAATCACGGAAAAGAAAGTATTTTCTTCTAGCGTACCCAGAATGCTCAGCTGAGCTATCTGACCTGACCTGGCCCGGCTCACGGCCCCAGCATGTGGATTTGGAACCTACAAGCACACTGGCTCTGTTGGCAGCCCCAACTCGCACACCCAGTCTCGTCTCCCCGGCGGGGCTCACCGCTGCTGCGTGGGCCTGTGGGGACTCCTCTCTGCTCTCCCACTGGCTGCAGCGTTCATAAGTCCCCCTTCCCCCAACACGGTGCTCGGTGCTGAGTAAAAATATACACACGCACGTGGAGCCCAAAACCATATTTGTCCTAGGGATTGGCTCATGCTAGATGGGAAGAATAATCGGAGTGTGCACAAGCAGGAGCATTTGCTATTTCTTTTCCAGTCTACGATGAAGCAGGAACGTAAACTGAGTTACTCTAGTCGGCCACAACATGGAGTTCTGGTGTTTATCTAGCTGAAAGCCTGTGTAATGTGAGCACAGAGACACATTCATTCATTCAAGAAGCACTTTGGGAGCACCCACGCTACGCCAATAAGACGGCTGGGAGCCGGGATTACAAAACACCCCCGGTCAAGGTGTGCCACAAAAGATGACAGCCCCCCAGAGGGGATCCCGAAAGCAGCAGCTGGAAGTCAGTGGGATGTGTGCTAAGATCCCAAACGGGGGAAGCCACGGGACTACAGGAGGCAACGGCAAGGGCGCCTGCCCCTACCGAGTGGGCAGGGAAGGCGTCCCATGGGAACCGTTTAAGCGAGAAAGGCACTACGAGTAGGAGTTACCCAGGCTGAGGACAGGGGTGCGCAGGCAATACCAGGCAGGGACAAGCACTTCCAGACAAAAAGGAGCAGAGTCATTGGAAGGCGGGGGATGGCAAACATTTTCTGGGCAGGGCCGGAGGGTCAATATTTTCAGCTTTGCCACCTCAACTCTGCGGTCGTGGCACGAAAGCCACCCCGCAGGCACAACACAGAGATGAAGGATCATGGCGACTTGATTCCTGGACAGTGGCATCTGCATTTCCCATCACTCTTGCCTGTCCTGAGATAATACCACTCTCCCTTTGGTCATTTAACTACTCTCCCCGGGCTGGACACTTGGAACTTTCCCAGTCTTATGCTGTCACTAGCTATGCTGCACTGAAGAAGATCTTAAACATATTTCTTTCATCTATGAGAGGGTTCATCTGTCGGCTGGATATTCCTCCCACACAGTGGAGGGATCAAAGGTTCTGTGCATCTGAATTTTTAATGGATCTTGCCAAACTGCCCTCCATGGGAGTTGTGCCAATGTCTACTCCTGCCAACAACCAGTGGGGGCATCTATGTCCCATCAGGCTCACCAACACTGTGTGATCTGACATTTAGAATTTAGCCCATTGAATCAGTAAAAACAAACAAACCAACAAACCAAAAGGGATAATCTCAGTGTCTTTTGATGTGCATGTCTGGGGATGTGCATCTTTTCATAGGTTCAAGAGCCTCTTGTATTTCCTTTCTTGTTCACTGTCTGTTCACGTCCTTTACCCATTTTTCCCACTGGGTGCTTCATCCTTTTCTCTGTAAGAGTTCCTTGCGTATTGAGATAGGAGTTGGAGACAGTTTTCCCTAGTGTGTCATTTGTCCTTTGGCTTTGCTGATCGTATTAGTCTGTTCTCACATTGCTATAAAGAAATGCCTGAGACGACTGGGTAATTTATAGAGAAAAGAGGTTTAATTGGCTCACGGTTCCGCAGGCTGTACAGGAAGCATGGTGTTGGCATCTACTCTGCTTCTGGGGAGGCCTCAGGAAGCTTGCAATCATGGCAGAAGGCAAAGGGGGAGCAGGCACGTCACCTGGCCAGAGCGGGAGCAAGAGAGAGAGTGTGAGGTGCCACACACTTTAAAACAGCCCGATCTCACAAGAACTCCTCACTATCACGAGGACAGCACCAGGGGGATGGTGTTAAACCATTCATGGAAAATCCACCCCCAGGATCCAATCACCTCCCACCAGGCCCCACCTCCAATACCGCAGATGATAATTCAATAGGAGATTTGGGAGGGGACACAGATCCAAACTACATCACTGATGATGGATCGCTTTGCCACTCACAAGGTTTGGCTCGGCTTTGTACCTTTCTGTTACAGAAGAGACTTTCTAAATCTCATGAAGGAACAGGTGTCAGCGGTGGCAGAGATCCTCGTTACCCCGAGTTACTGGTGGCGAATCTGTACGCGTCTGCAGTAACTGCAATTCTCGCCTCCTCAGAAGAAAGCATTCAACTGAGGGGTATAGGGCAGAAAGGGGGACCGAGGTGAGTTCCAGAGCAGGAGTGTAAGTTTATTAAAAAAAGGTTTTAGAATAGGAAAGAACCCTTGGAAGAGATCCAAGTGGGCACCTGAAGGTCAAAGAGAAAGAGAAAAAAGGGCCTTTCCCCTTGACCCTGGGACTTTATAGGCTCACATCTTTCCGATGATTCTTCCCTTAGGGTGGGCTTTCTGCACGCACCGTGTCCTCCTTACCCTTGAGAACTGCACCTGCCCAGTGTGTTGTGGGATTTGTACGCATGCCCACCTCAGGCTTTTTCCCTTTTTCCAGTGGCGTGTGTCCGCGAGATCATAAAATACTTCAGCATTTTTGTCTCTTAATGTGCGTGCCCAGGAAGTTGCTTCTCCCTTGGGGCCTGCCTTTAATCAACACTTTAATGTTAACAGGTACGGACCGTCAGGAACTGGCCTCTGTCTGGCGCCGGCACTACTTTTAGAGAGGCGATGCGATAACTGCTGAACCGTCACCCGACATTTCCAGTGGGTAGGGGGAAGAGCCCTCACCTGCCCCACTCATGGCTAGCTACCTGTATAACACAGGGACTTGATCCTAAAGGCAGTGGAGGGCTGACACGGAGGTGTTTTCAGCAAGGAAGTGACCCGGTCATGGGTCCATGTTATTTATGAAGCTCATTCTGGCTACAGGGTGGTGGAGGGACTGGAAAGGGACTGAAATGGCCCCAAAGAGACCAGCTGGTGGCCAGGACCAGGGTGTGGAAGTTGCGGCGGGCCAAGAAGCATTTCTGAGTGGAGCTATGTGATGGGGAGAGGGTGCCGTCCAGGAGCAGGCCAGGCTTTGGGCTTGTCCAGCTGGGTCACTGTGTGGATGTCCATGATGAAGCCATGGAATGTAGAAAGAAGAGCACGGCTTCCTTTTCCTTCCTTCTTTTATTGGGGTGCAGGGGAGACAATGAGTTCTGCATCCTACAGGGACCCTTTTCTTAAACCCCACAAGGAGCTGAGTGCCACACCTCTGTGCTCCAGGGCAATGGCCTGTGCAGTGCCTGTTTCCCTCAAGAGCCTCCCCCAGGGGCAGGGACGATGCTTTAGCCGTAATGTGGATCCCTAGTGCCTAGCACAGTGCCAGGCACTGAAAAAATACTAAAAGAATAATGCTTACACCAGAGGAAGAGAGCTCCCGAGCGGAAGATAAATCTAAGTCATTAACAACAGCTCAGAGGGCAGGATCCATGCTCTGGAGGTGGCACCATAGGCCCACAGGCGGGGCTGGGCCTGGAGAATGAATGAATGGATAAGTGAATGAATGAGGTGCCAGGCAGAGAGGAGGCCTTTCTCCACCCCCTGCCAGTGTCTCTCAGGCTTCCATCCTTCCTTGGCCCTGCTCTTCTCAACAGGCCATGACCCACCCTCAGCTCCAAAGGCCACGTCCCACCCTCAGCTCCAAAGGCCACTTGCCCGTTCTGTGTTCAAACTTGAAGGTCAGTGGTCCACGGAAAGGAATGGTGGGCGGCGCATGGGTGGGGGGCAGGAGAAGAAGGGCCATAGAACCTCCCTTATTCCAACACCACTTTCTGAGTGTCTAGTTTGTGGATGTTTCATGGGATAGTAAGTACCATATTACAGCAGTGACGTGTGTGATTTAGACATATCTAGGTGTGCACTTCTTTGGTGGGGAGGTGTCTGTTGGGTCCTCTAGGGATGCCAAAAGAGCCTTAGGAGTGCCAGTGTCTGCCAGCCCACAGCGGGAGATGGAAGCAAAGACGGCCCCTTGGAGGGGCCCCGTGGTGAGCAGAGATAAGAGGTGCAGGCAGACAGGAGGAGTTTGGCTGGGTTGGGGGGATGTTTTGTGGCGGCAGCATCATTGATATAGGATGAGCTGGGCAAGGAGGAGCTGGGCAAGGAGGAGCTGCCACCACACAGAAGCAGTTACAAATCCGTAAGCTCTGCCTCAAGCAGCAGTAGACTCAGCACCCGTTTCCTGAGCGAGCACAATGTGGCCAGCAGAGTTCAAGAAGGAGAGTGGCATGGCCCCTGCCCCAGGAGGCTTGCAGCAGGGGGTACCCCTCTAAATACATCTGCCTCTGTGTGCTTCCCTCGGCTGCCGTAAGAAAGCACCACAAACCAGTTGACCCAATCACTCCACAGAAACTGATTCTGTCCCAGTTCTGGAGGCCAGAAGTCTAAAACCAAGCTGTCTGCAGGGCCGTGCTCCCTGGGAAGGCTCCAGGGGATGATCCTTCCTCGTCTCTCCCAGCTTCCAGTGGCCCCAGGTGTCCCTTGGCCTGTGGCCTCCTGGCCCTAATCTCCACCTCCTTCTTCATGTGGCTTTCTCCCCTGGGTCTCCATGTCTGCGTTTCTCCTCTGTTTGGTTCCTATAAGGACATTTGTGATTGGATTTAAGGCCCACTCGGGTAATGTAGGATCATCTCCTCTCAAAATGCTCAACTTCATGATCTCTGCAAAGACCCCTTTTCCAAATAAGGTCACATTTGCAAGATCAGAAGGTGAGGATGAGGCCATGTGTGTTTTTTTTTTTGGGGGGGGGGAGGTGCAGGTGGGGGGGGCACAATTCAGCCATGACCCTGGCCCTGTCTCAGCTTGTGCATGGCCGTGCTTCTCAGGGGTTGCCCTCTGCCTTGGAGTCCAGCCCGAGAGGCGGCGGCAGGCTTTGCCACACTCGCTGCATCTGGAGGATTTCCCTCGGCTAGAAAGAATGTGATGGGGATGAAGAGCTGACTGCCTGGAAGTCTTCGCATGCTCAGTGCCCTTGTGGGCACCTCCTGGGTCTGAACTCTCTGATATCCCTGCCCTGCCTTACAGTTCTGGAGGTCAGAAGTCCAAAACGGGAAGTTCTAAGGGACGAATCCTTTTCCTTGCCACTGCAGGGCCAGTGAGCACAGAAGTCAGGGAGAGCAGAGAGGAGAGCTCCTGGCCCAGATTAGCAGAGCCTGGCCTTTGCCTAGGGGCCCCCCCAGAATCAAACAGGGAGCCATAAGGATGCCAGAAGTATCTCCTCACCTCATCTGCAGGACCCAGCCCTTGAGCAGGGTGCACAAGACTCAGCTCGTTACTGCCTGTGGTGGCACAGTAACAGCCCCCAAAGATGTTCGTGGCCTAACCCCTGGGAGCTGCACATATGTTACCTTACATGACAATAGCGATTGGGCAGATGTGAGATGGGTGGGGAGATTATCCTGGATTGGCCAGGTCTTTACACTTGAAGGACAAGGGTCCTTAAGTGAGGGAGAGGGAGGAAGAAGAGTCAGTGTCAGAATGATGCCGCCAGAGAAGGACTCAACCGGATGTTGCTGGCTTTGAAGACGGAAGGAGCCAAGAGCCAAGGAATTCAGGCAGCCTCAAGGTGACAGGAAAGGCAAGGAAAAGGGTTCTTCCCCTAGAACTTCCTATTTTAGACTTCTGACCTCCAGAACTGTAAGACGATAGATCTGTGTTGCTTGAAGCAGCGGGTTTGTGATAATTTGTTACGGCAGCAACGGGGAACGAAAACACCACCTGCCTGCAGGTGCACATCTGCAGCACACTGCGGGGGTGGGGGTTGCTTTCACTGTGGTGAAATAGACATCACATTACATTTACTATTTTAACCACTCTAAAGTGTACAGCTCAGTGTCATTAAGTACATTTGCAATGTTGTGCAACCACCATCTCTACCCAGTTCCAAAAAGAATTTCATCATCCTCACAAAGACTCCTCCTCCCATTAGCAGTCACGCCCCATTTACTCCTCCTCCCAGCCCCTGGAAACCACAAATGCACTTTCTGTCTCTATGGATTTACCTCTCTGGGCGTTTCATAGAAATGGCTTCCTGTCATATGTGAACCTTTGTGACTGACTTCCTTGTCTTTTTTTTTTTAATTGTAGTGAACTACACATAACACAAGATTTACCGTTTTCACCATGTCTAAGTGTAGACTTCAGTGGCACTAAGTCCATTCACATTGTTGTGCCACCATCACCACCATCCATCACCAGAGACCTTCATCCTTCCAAACTGAAATGATGTCCCCCCATTAAACACTAGCTCCCTTTCTGTCCCTCCCCGGAGACCCTGGCACCCACCATTCTACTTTTTGTCTCCATGAATTTGACTGCTCTAGACCCTCGTATAAGTGGAATCATAGAGTATGTTCCCCTCTGTGACTGGCATGTTTTGCTCAGCATAACGTCTTCAAAGTTCATCCATGTTATAGCATGTGTCATAATCTCCTTCCTTTCCAAAGCTGAATACTATTCCATTGTGTGGATGTACCACAATTCGTTTATCCATTCATCTGTCAATGAACAACCTCGTGTCGTTTTACAGCCCCAGTGCCTGCATGTTTGTAAATTTAATGCAAATTTATCAGTAGGTAAAGTGCTGCCCATTCTGTATTTGTACAATTGTCATTCTAGACTATAAATACATCACTGCACTTGTCCCACAAAGTAAATCTAGGTATTAACTGCCCCTCTAAGCCTTGTGACAACTACAGATTTCATGAGCTCGAGCAGCTTCATCAAACTTCACGCTTGAACAGAAGACCTAGATGCACAGGACTGCTCAATGTAACGGAAACTTCAAGCTGCAGTTTGTTACATGTGGAACATTTTTTAGTTATTCCCAGGTAGGAACCTGGCTGTGACTATCAGAGACCAAAGGTGTTTAATCTGGAATTGTAAGGAGATTTTGACAGTTGAAGACATATTCCAAGAAGAAATAATCACACACACACAGAGAGAGACAAAACTCTAGTGAATGTGTTAGCCGTGAGTGTCATTTCCTGCTTCCTCATATCTTAGAAGTTTTCATATACTGCTTTACTTTAAGTACCTGCCTGCATGTCACTTACCTACAAGGTAAGTATCATTGCTCCTGTTTTACAAATCGAGAGAGAGAGAGAGAGAGACGTAGAAAGGTTAAGTGGCCCAGGGAACCAGCTACTGAGAGATTCTACCAGATTGCACTTTGCTTCTCACTGCCCCAAGCTTTCTCCAAATGGGGTCCCAGTTCAACTCTGTTTCTGAAGAGATGAAATCTCGGCCAGGCACAGTGGCTCACGCCTGTAATCCCAGCACTTTGGGAGGCCGAGGCAGGCGGATCACTTAAGGTTGGGGGTTCGAGACCAGCCTGACCAACATGGAGAAACCCTGTCTCTACTAAAAATACAAAATTAGCCAGACGTGGTGGCACATGCCTGTAATCCCAGCTACTCGGGAGGTTGAGGCAGGAGAATCACTTGAACCCAGGAGGCAGAGGTTGTGGTGAGCTGAGATCGCACCATTGCACTCCAGCGTGGACAACAAGAGCAAAACTCCATCTAAAAAAAAAAAAAAAGAAAAACAGAAAGAAGTACATACATTCTGGGATGGGGTCCAGGCACTGACATAAGTTTAGAGCCCCACCCACATGTTCCTGTGCAGTTAGGGCTCAGAACCATTCCCGGTGCACCAAAAACCCATGTTTCTCCTGTTGGTGGGAATGTAAATTAGTGTAGCCTTTATGGAAAGCAGTATGGGGCTCTCTTAAAAAGAAGAAAAAAAAAAACTACAAGTAGAACTACCATATGATCCAGCATAGCAATCCCACTACTGGGTATATATCCAAAATAAGGAAATCAGTAGATCAAAGAAATATCTACACTTCCATATTTATTGCAGCACTATTCACAATAGCCAAGATATGAGATCAACCTAAGTGTCCTACTGCTGGTCCTATGTATAGGACTCACATGAGTCCTACATATAGGTCTCAGCCTACCCACTGAGACCTGACAAGGAAAATAGGCAAGAAAAAATATGAAAGCACAATTCATAGAAGAGTAATCTACCAATTAATGCTTCAAACAACATCCAGACTCACCAGTCATCAAACACAAATTCAAATTAAAATGATATGTCACTTTTCACCTATCAAATTAGTGAAGGTTGTACAAAGGCAATAAGGAACGCTGGACAAGGCACATTCAGAAGGAACTCTCACTCAGACACTGCCCATCGAGTGTAATTTGGTAAAGGTTTTGTAGAAAGCAATCTGACCATATTGAATGAGACCCTCAAAATGCATTAACGCCTTGAGCCAGTAAAGGAACATTTAGTATCTATCCTAAAACAAACCAGAGACTGAAAATAAGGGTTTAAATGTAAAAATGGTCACTGCAGCATCATTGAAAACAGTCAAAACAGACGAAAAGCCAAAATGATGAACAAAGAACTGATTGGTTATGTACGTCAGAGAACTACACTACAATGTGAAGAATTATTATTTAGATATGAAAAAGAATTTTTAAGGAATTTTAATTGTCATGAAAAAATGATTCAGTGGAAAAAAGCAAAACTGAATACACAGTATGGTCCTAAGTATGTTTAAAGATACACGCTCGCCCCTGCTTAAAAAAAAAAAAAAAAAAATGACTGAAAGGAAAGAATACACTAATGACATTAGAGTTAGGTTTCAAGACAATAAATAACATTTGGTTTTCCATGATAAGCACAAGTGGCTTACATAACCAGCAAACAATAAAGGGGGAAAACTGAGGCTTAGAGGGGTGAAAAAATGTACCCAAAGATCATATGGCTAGGAAGTACCAGAGATGAGCCTCTCTACCAAGCCTAGCTCTGCCCTCAGCATTGTTTACTCACTGTCTCTCTTCCTTTCTCTCTCCCTTCTCTCTCTCTCTCTCTCTCTCTCAGCCACACCACTCTAACCAGATGCAAATCCACTCAACTTTGGAGAAACCACATAAACAAGAAGGGTAAGATCCAGAGGGAACACTCCAGCCTGCTGAGACTTCCACTGTCCCAACAACCCTAAAGGTTATAGAGACATCCTTGAGACCATTTTTAAAGTGTGAGTCACATTGCAGGGATAGAATGCTGAAGCCATCCTACTCAACAATAGGTGACAGAAGAAACAACACAAGGAGAGAGGAAATGGGAAAGGCGGCAGGCCCTGCTTCATCCCAAATCACCCCTATCCTCACCTCCAGGGAAGAGAAAGGGGTACAAGACAAAGGAGATGATTGATGGGGCTCCCTACCCAAGCTAAGCTGTTCTCACTTCCACATCCCTGCTTGTCCCTTCTTCCTACCCTGGCCAGGCATGTCTATACATATCTCCAAAACTCAAGAATCCACTGGATTTCTCTTGCACCAGGCCTAACATCACTTACAGTTGGAAGCTGTTGATCCTGTTCCTGAGAATGAAGAGACACACTGTAGTTCTATCTTGAGAGAGATGGCCCTCTTTCGTGAATCACGACAGGTACAGACGGCATGTGGCAACATGGGAAAAGAGAAAATAGAATAGCCAAGAAACTGATACTCAGAAGATCATGGAAGAGGGCTCCAGTTCCATGGTTCCAAAGACCCCCTGAATAGCCCCAGGACAATTCAACACCAACATGATGAAAACCAACTCATCCCTCCACCATGTGGTTTCTCCCATAGTCCCTGTCTCTGTTGGTGGCACCTTCCAACCCAAGTGCCAAGCTAGAAACAGTGGAGTCATCTGTAACATTTTCCTTTGCACTGCCAACCACATCCTATCATCCTCACTGTCTCCAGCCCCAGGATATGGCTCTATCCCTTGAGGTTTCCCGACCTCCAGCCCACATTCCCCTCAATTACCCAGCTCAAGTGTGACTCCTGCTTCCTGCAAGACCTACAGAAAGAAAATCACAGTACATCCAATCTTATATCCTGCCTTTTTTCTATTTAACATATTTTGAACAATATTCCAAGCTAAAAAATAGTTTTAAATGTCATGTTAATGGTTGCATGACATTTCATTGAATGGATAGTTTAGCCATTGTTGGATGTTGGTTTGCTTTTGATATTTTACAGTTAAAATGGTACTATGATAAAAAAAAAAAAAAAACACAGCACAGAAAAGTTCTCTGGGTTAAAGAGATAGGAACTAAAGAAACACATAGCATAAGGTAATGGGCAAGTCAGCAGTCATGGGATCCAGTAAAAAATTAAAGGAAATTTCTGTGGGCCTAAATGGCATCTGTTCACATCAGGAAGCCAGGAGCACACCTGGAGACCAATGCTACTAGACCACCCTCCTTGGTAGTGTCTTATGGTATGTTAAGGGGGGCTGGAGAATAAACCCTTTGTATGCCTATTTACCACAACTCCCTCCCAGCACCCAGGAAAGGGACCTGCCATTGTTGCCCATAAAAGAAGCCAGAGTCTCCCTTCTCTCTCCTGCTTCAGGAGGAGGCACTGCCACATCTTGAGGCAAGAACAATGATAAAATCTACAACACCCTATTGTTCTTAGACAGTGGAGCCTCATTCCAGCATCACTCTAATACCAAAACCAGATAAAGACACAACACAAAAGGAAACTGCAGGCCAATATCTCTGATGAACAGAGGTGCAAAAATCCTCCAAAAAAATGCAGGCAAACCAAATCCAACAGCACATCAAAAAGATTATTCACCATGATGAAGTGAGATTTAGCCCAGAGATACAAGGATGTTCCAACATAACAAATCAGTAAATGTGATACAACACATCAACAGAATAAAGGACAAAAACTAAATGATCATCTCAATATACACAGAAAAAGCATTAGATAAAATTCAACAGCCCTGCATGACAAAAACTCTCAACAAATTAGATATAGAAGGAACATACCTCAATGCAATAAAGGCCACGTATAACAAACCAACCCAAAACATCGTATTGAATGGGGAAACTTAAAAAGCTTTTCCTCTAGGAATTGGAACAAGACAAGGATGCCTACTCTCAACACTCTTGTTCAACATAGTACTGTAATTACTAGCCAGAACAATTAGGCAAGAGAAATAAATACACAGCATCCAAATTGGAAAGAGGAAAGTCAAATTGTCCCTCTTTGCTGATAACATGCTCTTATATACATACATGCATATATATATATATAAAGATTTCACAAAAATACTCTTAGAGCTAAAAAATGAATTCAGTAAAATTGCGGGATACAAAATCAACATACAACAGTTAGTAGCATTTCTATACACCAACAACAAACTAGCTGAAAAATAAATCAAAAAAGCAATCTCATTGACAATAGCTACAAAAACAATCAAATGCCTAGGAATAAACTTAACCAAAGAGGTGAAAGATTTCTACAAGAAAAACTATAAAATATTGGTGAAAGAAATTGAGGAGGACAGCAAAGATAAAAGGCACCAGTATTAGCCCATTTTCACGCTGCTGATAAAGACACACCTGAGACTGGGTAATTTATAAAGAAAAAGAGCTTTAATGGACTCAGAGTTCCACGTGGCTGGGGAGGCCTCACGATGATGATGAAAGGTGAAAGGCATGTCTTACTTGGCAGCAGGCAAGAGAGAATGAGAGAACCAAGTAAAAGGGGTTTCTGCTTATAAAACCGTCGGATCTCATGAGACTTATTCACTACCAGGAGAACAGAATGGGTGAAACTGCCCCTATGACTCAATTATCTCCCACTGGGTCCCTCCCACAACACATGGGAATTAAGGGAGCTACAATTCAAGATGAGATTTGGGTGGGGATACAGCCAAACCATATCAGCATCCCATGTTCATGGACCATAAGAATTAATATTGTTAAAATGACCATACTACCCAAAGTGATCTACAGATTCCATGTAATCTCTATGAAAATACTAATGACATTCTTCACAGAAGCAGAAAAGGCAATCCTAAGATTCGTATGGATCCAGAAAAGACCCCTAATAGCCAAAGCAATCCCAAGAAAAAAGAAAAAAGCTGGAGGCACTACACTACCAGATTACAAAATATACTACATAGCTATATGCTATTGTCTGGATATGGTTTGTTTACCTCTCCAAATCACATTTTAAAATTTAATCCCCAGTGTGGCGGTGTTAGTAGGTGGGAACTAGTGGGAGGTGTTTTGGTCATAGGGGCAGATCCCTTATGAATGACTGGCTGCCACCCTCGTCTTCACAGTAGTGAGTGAGTTCATGCTCTATTATTTCCCATGAGAACTGCTTGTTAAAAAGAGCCTGGCACCTCCTTCTCTCTGTCTTGCTTGCCTCCTCTCACCATGTGATCTCTGTACATGCCAGCTCCCCTTCCCCTTCTGCCATGATTGGAAACAGCTCGAGGCCCTCACTTGACGTTAATGCCAGTGCCATGCTTCTTATACAGCCCACAGAACCGTAAGCCAAATAAACCCCTTTTCTGTATAAGTTACCCAACCTCAGGTATTCCTTCATAGCAACACAAAGGAAATAAGGCACTGTAGGAACCAAAATAGCATGGTACTGGCATAAAAACAGATAAATAGACCAATGGAACAGAATAGAACACCCAGAAATAGAGCCACATATTTACAGCCGACAGATTTTTTTAAAAGCACCAAGAACATTCACTGGGGAAAGGACAGTCTCTCCAATAAAGGGTGCCAGAAAAACTGGATCTCCATATGCAAAAGAAAGAAACCAGATCCTTATCTCTCACCTTATACAAAAACCAATTCAAAATGGATTAAAGACTTAAACCTAAGACCCAAAACTATAAAACACTACTAGAAGAAAATATAGGGGAAACACTTTAGGACATTGGTCTGGGAAAAGAATTTATAAATAAGACCTCAAAAGCATAGAAAACAAAAGCAAAAGTAGACAAATAAGATTATATCAAAATAAAAAGCTTCAACACAGAAAAGGAAACAATCAACAGAGTGAAAAGACAACCTACAGAATGGAAGAAAATATGTGCATTCTGTTCATCTGACAGGGGACTGATATCCAGAATATACAAGGAACTCAACAGCAAAAATACAAATAATCTGATTTAAAAATGAGTAAAAAATCTTAACAGACATTTCTCAAAAAAAAACAGAAATAATCAACAAATGTATAAAAAATGCTCAACATCACTATTCATCAGGGGCATGCAAATCAAAACCACAATGAGATATCGTCTCACCCCAGTTAGAATGGCTATATTGTCAAAAAGACAAAAAATAACAAATGCTGATAAAGATGCAGAGAAACCAGAACTTTTATACACTATTGGTAGGAATGCAAACTAGTGCAGCCACTATGGAGAACAGTATGGAGGTGTCTCAAAAAAACTACAAATAAAACTACCACATGATCTGTCAATCCCATTACTGGGTATATAAAAAACTACAAATAAAACTACCACATAATCCAGCAATCCCATTACTGGGTATATACCCCAAAGAAAGGAACTCAATATATCAAAGAGATATCTGCATCTCCATGTTTAGTGCAGCACTATTCACAATATCCAAGATATGGAATCAACCTAGATGTCCAATAACAGATAAATTGATAAAGAAAATATGATATCTATACACAATGGAATATTACTCAACCATAAAAAAGAAGGAATTCTGTCATTCATGGCAACATGATGAGCCTGGGGGACATTACATTAAGTGAAATAAGCCAGGAACAGAAAATTAAATAATGCATATTCTCATTCATATATGGAAGCTAAACAAGTTGATCTCAAAGAAGTAGAGAGTAGAATAGTGGTTACTAGAGGCTGGGAAAGGTGGAGGGGAGAGAGAGTAGGAAAGGATTGGTTAAAGGATACCAAATGACAGCTAGATGGGAGGAATGAGTTCTAGTGTTCTATAGCACTGTAGGGTGACTACAGTCAACAATAATTTATTATGTAGAAGAGAGGAGTTGGAATGTTCCCAACACAAAAAAATGATAAATGTTGAGATGAATAATATGTGAATTACCCTGATTAGATCACCGTACATTGTAAGTATTGAAACTCACTATGTGCCCCATAAATATGTACAAGTATTATGTGTCTATTTAAAAATTTTTAATTAAAAATAAATAGTGGATGGAGACTCATGAAAAGTTTCAAATTGGTGGAAACACATTGTCCAGAAGTGGCTGAGGCATGTCCAGCGCAGACAAGAAAGGCAGGAAGGCAGGTCGGAGGCTCAGACTCTCCAGGCTGAGTTTGTGAAAGAGTTAGAATAAGATCTATCTTCATGATGCTTTTGAAGCTACTTGGTTTTAATTCTAGGATTCAATGAGAGATGTACGAGATTAGATTTGATGTAAGGAAAGACTTGGCATCTGTCCTACCCTTGTGGTTAAGGAGTCCAAGTGGAAACTTTCCATGATATTCCAGTAGATCTCCCAGGGTAGGCCCTCCCAAGTGGCATGAGGAAATATGCCCTCAGTTTTAGGGCAAAAATTGGTGATTCCTAGCTTTTTATGATTGCAGACCCTTCTGGAAATCTGGTGTATTTTTGATGGCTGCTTTTGTGCCACAAGGGCAGAGTTAAGTAGTTGTGACAGAAAATCGATGCTATCTTCTCTTTCAGGAAAAACATGCTGACCCCTGGTGTGGATGGCTGAGTTTTTCGTGTCTTACAAGGTAGTGAGGTGATTTCAAATGTTCGAAAGAACTGTGTGTGCTGCCTCATTATCTTAACCCATCCATCTATCCACTCTGAAGATGGCTACTCGCTGGTTGGCCCAAGGTGTGTCTAACCCATGGAGCCAGTGCGGGAAGCAGGGAGCAGGGAATCTTTTGTGGTTCTTTTCTGTATTCTTTGGAGAATGGTGAACAGGCTTTTACAGACCTAAATAAGCTGTAGAGTTTTTGGTGTTGACTACAAATAAAAATCAGGGAGATGATGAAAGAGCCAGTTAAGATATCTTGTTTTCTAACAAAACTGAGAAAAGGGGTTATTTGGCCACCATGTGTGACCTTAGGTAAGGAACCACTCTCTTTGGGTATCGGTTTCCTTGCAAGTAGAATGAGGGGCACTGGGGAGATGCCCAAGATTCCCCTCCAACTGAAAGGCACTCAAAGAGCCTGTGATTCTCCCCAGTAGGTGCCCAGTTGGCAAAGTAAGTACAAAGGAGCAAAGTTGGGATTCGAATCCAGGTTCATGTGCTCCAAAGCTCTGCCCCACGGATTCACAAATTGGGGGCAAGTTTAAGAACCACAGAGCCAGACTGAAGCCAAGAGACAAGAGGATCACATACATTTGTGGGGGCTTCAGCTGGCTCTTGCTGTAGTTAGCTCCTGCCCCAGGGCCTTTGCATTTACAGTCCCTCTGTGCTAGACCATGCCTCTCTCATTATCTCCACAGCTGTCCACACCTCCTGCAGCTGTCCGATCAAATACCACGTTCTCAGGGACCTTCCCTGACCACCTTTTACAAAGTAAAATTGCAACCCCCTCCCCATGTTCCCCAGCCCCTTACTCTGCTATACAATCAGTTCACAGCACATCTCTCCACCTGACATGTTTAGTGTAAATTTCCCTGTTAACTCTTTTGTTGTCTGCTTCCCTCCACTAGAATGTCAGCTCCAAGAGGCAAACCTGTTTTGTTCACTACCATATCCCCACAGCCTCCGCCAGCATCAGCCATGGAGACAGAGCCCAGTCCTTTTTGGGGCACAGATGTGAAGCATAATGGGGACCAGGATGGCCCATGGCACTGAGACTGTGTGCTAACCCCTGTGTTGCTACTCAGAGTGCCCTGCCAGAAGGACAGTAGTGATGAAAAGCCATGCATTTTTCATATGTGAACAGAAGGCAAGAAGTTCCCGGATACCAGCCTCCATGCTGCTTTTAAAGCCCTCTGTCTCCAGGGATGACAGCCTCCTGCCCTCTTTGGAAGCTGTTGAGTTACCATCCAGCTACCTAATTGTCCATAAAGAGGAAGTCCTTCACTCTCCTGAGAAACATGCACGTGAGGACTGGGGAACCAACGCATGAATGCAGGTGACTGCTACCTCCTCCAGAGCCCTTCTGACATGGTCACCCAATTCAAGCATGTACAGAGGACATTCATCAATTCAAATGTCCACTGGAGAAAAACCTATGGCCTCCTGGCCAGCGGCTTTCCTCCTTTCCTCAGCCCATTAACCCACTCAAGGCTTTCTATGCTTTAAAAACAAATGAATGAACAAACACCATGAAATGCTCCTTCCCTTCATCCTGCGTCCATCTAGCAACTGCCCCGCCTCCCTTCCCCTTCAGAGCCAAACTTCTAACAAAAGAGTCTGCACTGGTCCTGGCCCGTGCTGTTTCCTCACTGCCCATTTCTGTCTCTCTCCTGGGACCAGCACTCACCCCCACCACTTCCCGGAACTGCTTTTGCACTGAGGTTTCAACCATCGCCCATTTGCCCGTGATTCTCAAATCTTCCCCGTAGTCTCAAACTCTCTCCTCACCTCTCATCCTACATTTCCAGCTGTCTAGAAGGCATTTCCTTTGGGTTATCTCCTGATCACTGAACATGCTTAAAACTGACCTCATTAGTTCCCCGTAAGCTCTCCAGCTTGCCTGAATTCTCGACAGCAGGGAGTGATAACCTCGCCTCCAAAGCTCCTCTGGCTAGCACTGCTGAAATCTCACTCTTTTGCTTACTCTTTAGCCTCAGTTTCCTCATCCTTAAAACAGGGATAATAACTCAGAACCTGAAGGGTGGTTTATAAGGGGTATAAATAATTGAGGTAGGTGCCTGGTACCCCATCGGTAGTCCACAGATTATAGCCATTATTACCCTTGACTGCTTCCTCTCCCTCATGTCCCCTACCCAATCCTGAACAAGTCCTGGCAATCCCACCTCCTAAATAGGACTAGAACACAATCATTTGTCTCCAGGCCCACTACCCTGAAACACAGACAAGTCATTGTAGATTCTTGCAATCACCCCAAGGAACTCCCCAGAATCCACCCTCTCCTGTACCAATCCTATCTTCCACCCGACCACCACACTGAGCTTTCAGAAAAGCAAACCTTGCTGACATACAACTGCTTCAAAGCCTTCCAAACATCTGCAGTGCCTACGGGACACAAGTCCAAAATCTTTAACGTAGTCTCCATAGTTCTTTGTGATTTGGCACAGCACTCCTCCAAAGCTATCCCCAGAAGCTTCTATGCTCTGTCACTCCTGTGAACCTCTGAAAATGAGCTACCCCTCATCCTATCCATTCATTTCACAAAGCTCTACTGAGCACTTACTATGTGACAGGCAGTGTGCCAAGTGCCATCCTAAAGAGTTTACCATCTGCTGGTATAGGCAGTGCTCTGCAAAGGACAGGATGCCAGGGGGGCACAGAACAAGAGGTCATGGGTACACCTTCAGCAGTGAGCCAAAAAAAGAGAGGATGGCAGGAACAAGCAGACGTGGTCAACCGGGACATCCTTGACATTTCTCTCTTGTCGTAGCCTTGTGAAGTCATCCTTGAATGTCAAGTTAATCATTTGTTTCTCTTGGCTCCCACAGACCAACTGAACAGCCCTCTCCAGGTTTTCACATCTGCCTTCCCACTAGCTGGTGGGCTCTTTGGGAGAAGCCATCGTGTTTTTCCAGAAGTGGAGACTTTAGGACCTGAGGGTGCTCAGTGAATGGATAAAAAGAAGTTGGTTCTAGCTTTACATGCATGCACCATACATGTGTGTACAAAATCTGCCCGGAGGAGCCTTCCAGACTGCCCACACTAGGCCAGGTGTGGGAGGTCTGGAAGGCTCCCCAGGCAGATTCATGCACCCCCATTGTCTGAGAAGCTCTCGATTTCACAGTCTCAGCTGTCAATCACATGCCGTGGTTATTGGAGTAATGTGTCTCACTGCCATTAGCCTGCAGGCTGCATGAGGCAAAGGACTGTGTGGGCCATACTCACTGCAGTGCCCGGCACACGGGAGTGCTCAATAAGAAATCCTTGCTGGTAATTGAAAGTGAGCAGGCTGCATCATCTCTTTGTTTTATATCTCCCACAGCACCAAGAACCAGAATAAGCCCCTCAGTAACCAGATACTCGTGGAGTTGGACTTATTAAATCACATATATTCTCAAATGACTCCACTGCAAATGATCTCAACAAGTCAGGTCAGCAAAGGAAAGTGATGGTGATCCACCACGTGTGAGGAGAAAGTGGATTTGAATTCCTGGCCCTACCAGAGAGCAGCTATGTGGCCTTGGCAAGTCACCTAGCCTGTCCATCTCTGTTTCTTCACCTGAAAAAAAATGGTCACACTGGATTCCCATGAGGTGTCTATGAAATAACCAACACAGAATGTTTAATACATGCGTCATGATCACTCAGCATCTGCTTCAGTTATTGTAATTACTGTGAGTGTAGTCATGGAATTCAGTCTCCTCCTGGCCCATGTCACCAGGGCCCGCCCTTGCCCCCAAGCCACCTTATTGACTAACTTCTCCCCTCTTCCCCCACATAGTCAGTAGCAATGAGTTCACCATCCAATGACCCTTTCATCTGAGTTCCTCCTCATCCACCTACTCATTCACAGCCTGGGACATTCAGCCTAGGCGCTAAACCCCACACATTCACACCAGGTGTCCTGAGCAGCTAGTTATTGAGAATGGCATCTAGTTATTGGGCCACTAAGCACAACACTTACAGATTTTTCACTCCGAAGGATTGGAATACAATGGAAAACTGAAATTATGCTCAAAGTTATACTCAAAACCTTGGAGTCCTGGTCAATTCCGAAGCTGCCTGGATCTTTCAACAGCCTTAATCTTGCGTGGTCCCCTGTCCCTGATCCTGGAATGGCAGCATTGCCACCCCAGTTTCAGACATGTTTCTCAGCATCATCCTGGCCATGTGACTAAAATGCGGACTCCAAGGCCCCACCCTAAGACTGATTCCGAGAACAGGACCGAAGCCCTAGCATTTGCATTTCCCTAGGCTCCCTGAGGACCCGGATGCTGGGGAGGGGCTGCTGCGTGGAAGTCCAGGCCTGCGGTGCATCTGAGCAGAGCCTAGGTGCCTGCAGGGTGCAGGGTGCAAGGTGCTCACTGTGCCTGTGGAACACCTGTAACTGTGCTGCTCAGTGGCTCCAGAGCCCCGCCTTCTGGCCTTTGCCCATGTGACCACAGGCTCCCGCACCCTCGGATCCCTGCCTGCCATGCCCCAACCACCCTGCCCCCTCATAGGAGCTGGTGGGATCCCATGAAGTGCAGCCCAGCCTTCCCGCCCCGAGGCAGGGCCCAGGCAGGCAGGAGCCGGGCTGACTGTAGGGGGAGGCCCCTCCGGGAAAACGGCACTGCTGCTTCCCACCCCACCTTTGCGCAGCGCGGAGTGTGGAGATGCACAGAGTGATGCTGGGGACACCTGGAAGAGCAATCCCAGCAGTGATGGAAAGGACAGACAGGAGTGGCCACTGAGGTGCAGGAGAGACTGTCTCTTGTAATCTCAATTGCTCGCTCCACCCAGAGAGCACATATTATGATCCCCATTCTGCAGATGAGGAAACTGAGGCCGGGAGGTGGGGAGGGAGTGGTGCTAGATGGCGATGAAGGGCAGGCTGCAGAGGACTCCCGGGTCTGACAGTGCTCATGGAGGCAGCCGCAGGTGGGCCCTGGGGGCTATGTGGGACTGAGTGCTGCCTACACACTACCCCATTGATGTTCCCTGCACTCCCAGTGAATATCTTTATTATGGTCGTTTTACAGATGATGAAACTGAGGTTCCAAAAGGTTAAGAGCATTGCTCAGAGTCACAAGGGTACTAAGTGGTGGAACTGGGCCTAGAATTCAGCCAACCACACAAACCTCTGTGGCCCCGGTCTCCACCTCATCTCCCATCATTCCCCCCAGCACTGGCCCAGCAGTTCTCCAAATCCTGGAGATTCTGTCCTGCCTGCATCTTTGGGACAAACCCTTTGCCCTGTCTGGAATGTCCCCCTCCCCGAACTCCCTTGGGAAATTCTCCAGATATGCTCACAGAACATGGCTTTCTCTGTGACTCGTCCTCCTCCCACTGCAACAATCCACCCCAGCATTCTATTTGCTACTCCAGTAGCAATGATCTCAGTTTACTGTGCATACTTTGTTTTGTCTTTATCTGTATCCCATGCTGGGTTCTTACTTTTCCAGGGAAAGTGACCTTGTCCTACTTATCCTTTTATGCCCAGCAAGCACAGGCTTACAGAAATGCTTGCTAAAGACTGCTCTGTATTGCCTAACTTGCAGGGCCCTCCACAGCCCTGGCCTAACCACTGTTCCATCGTTATTTCTGGGCATTCTGTTGACTCATCCATGCTACTCCTGATTGCTTTGCATGCAGTAACAGCATCACACAGGACAGGTGCAGCAAGGAGCACCCGCAGACATGAAAGGCACGGTTAACGCTAACAGCGACCAGGGTCAGGGCAAGATACATGTCCTAAGGACCCAAGAAGTATGGGCTAACACTGCAGTTCTCACATCTGGGTCCAGGGACCCCAAAGGGTCCCCAGACCGTTTCAGGCAGCGCTTTACAAGATCAAATCTCTTTTTATAATGACACGAAGAGATTTTTGCCTTGGCTCTTTTCTTCTTGCCCAAGGATACCATGGAGTTTTCCAGAGGTTACCTGAGTGTGATGCCAAGGTGCGTGGAAGTCAGAAGCAGATGAAAGTTCAGCTGTCTAATATGTTATTGGTGTTAATGTGCAATGCTTTTATTACTGACATCTTTCAGTAAGTGAAATTTTTATTTTTATTTTTTAATTTTAACACAGCAAAATGTATACTGTGTGTATAGATAGAGATAGAGATAGAATCTCCACATAAACAAACATTCTTTGGGGTCTTAAATAAACTGTAAGAGTGCAAAGGGGTGCTGAGACCCAAAGGTTTGAAAGCTGCTCGTATTAAAGAACTAGTCAGTTAATCTTGCTTCATTTGATGCTCCAAAATGGAATGCAGTTAAAAAACAAACAAACAAACAAAAAAACCTTTCATGGCATATTAGGTTGGGGACAGTGTGGTCTTTATCTTTAAAGACAACTTTATTTTGTTTCTTCTGTGATGATGGTGTAGGTACCACAGAATGCAAACTTAGGAGAGCAAGTGTGGAAGATTTTTGTAATCCATGTGAAACATCATATATCTACATTAACAATTTTTATGCCCTGATTTTTAAGATCTTTCTTCTTTGTTTTTATACAAGAGGGTCAAATCGATGCAGCACAAATAGGGAATTGTGGGTTCAGCTTGCAAACTGCCTGAGATCAACAACTGGATTGTGTAAGTGTGTTCCAGCTGCCGTGACCAAGACCCCACAGGCTGGGAGGCTGAACCTACAGAAATGGATGCCTCACCATTCCAGAGACTGCAAGTCAGAAATCAGAATATGGGCAGGGCCACGCTCCCTCTGAAGGCTCTGTGGAATGATCTGTTCCAGGCCCCTCTCCTAGCTTCCAAGTACTGCCTTGGTTTGTGGCAGCAGAACTCCAAGCTTCACCCTGGCATTGTGTGTATGTATGCATGTCTTTCCAAATGTCCTCTTCTTAGAAGGACACCAGTCATATCAGATTAGGGCCGATTCTAACGCCCTCATTTTAACTTAATTACTCCTGTAAAGAGCCTATCTCACCTTCTGAGGTGCTGGGAGATTAGGGCTTCAACATACCTTTTTTTGCGGGGGAGCAGGAGGGGAAACAATTCAACCCATAAGAGTGGCCAATGCCACAAATTTGAGAAATTATAAAGGAAAATGGTATGGGATAAAATTATGGGGCTGAAATCAAGGAAGCAAATAGCATATTTTGGTCCATGGTAATAAGGAACTAGAGAAGGTTTCCAGGGCAAAACCTTACAAGACCTTGTTGTGTTGTGTTTTGTCACCATACACATGAGAATGTTACTCAGGGAACTGGGTTTTATGCTGTGAAGGTCCTTGCTGGGCCTCACGGAAGCTGGGAACATTGTGTTGGGCTAAGGGGGTGGGGGTTATTTTCTTTAAGACAGCCGTGCTCAGACAGTGCAGGTGGGGAGAATGATCTGGACCTACAAGTTTTAGAATCAATTCCAAGACTCTTGCACCGAAAGTCCAGAGGAGGATGGAATGTACAGGGAAGGAGAAAAAAGAAGAAAAGTGGAGTTCTCCAGAACTTTAACATCTTCTACAACTGCAGACCTCACCGCCATTTAAAGCTATGGCTTGCAGTGATGAGAAGTGTTGCTAGGAATCAAATGAGTTTGGTTAGTAAATTTAGGGAATGAAATCTTGTAAAAAAAGACAAAGTGAGGAAGAAAACACTGCCAGATTTTGCACTGTTGCAACCATGGTAATGACTTGAGCCAGGAACCTAGGTGGAAGTTGACCAAAGGAAGCCCAGCACCCACCATTCCTCATGGCCTTGATGAGAAAGGCCATGGCCATCAAAAAGAGCTGCACTTAAAGGGGGAGTGCAATGCTATCTACCTAATCCAGCTTCACATAACAAATTACTACAAATTTTGAAGCTTAAACCAACATGCAGTTATTATTGCACAATTGCCCTGCGTCAGGGGTCCAGGCCTAACTTAACTGGGTTAAGTTAGGCTGCAATTAGAGTGTTGGCTAGCTGGGTGTTATCTGGAGGCTTTGGGGGAGAATCTGATTCCAGGCTCACTAAAGTTGCTGGCAGAATTCAGTTCCTTGAGGTGGTAGGGCCGTGGTCCCCATTTTGTTGCCAGCTGCCTCCTGGATTGTTCTCAGCTCCTAGAGGCCTCTCTCCAGTCCATGCATGTGCCTCCCCCACACTCTCAAAACTAGAAATCATGTGTTGAGTTCTTCTGATGCTTTGAATCTCTCTGATTTCCCCTTCTGCCCTCCGCAAGGAGAAAGATCTTCTTCTAAAGGCTCATGTGCATCCTAAACCAGGCATAGCAGAGAACGCAAGATAATCTCCCTATTTTAAGGACCACCGATTAGTAACCTAATTGCATCTGCAAAGTCCCTTTTGCCATGTGACCTCACAGATTCATGGGTGTGACACAAGGAGGTCGTGGTAGCCCTGTGTCTCTGGGGAGGCTATCTTTGGAGACTAGTTTTCATTCACCAGAGGATTATTTTCTGGTCTATTCTCAAAACCTCTCGACCCTTCCAAATTGCTTTTAAGCCACAATTGACTTGTCATCACAGTGGTTCCCTTAGCAACGGCGAGAGCTGGCCACCTCTCTCCCGATACAGACCACACTTGAGTATTTTTCCACAGAATGTGCTTCTTTCCATGGCATGTTCCAAGACAGCTCCCTACCTGTTAGGAAAAACCCTTCACCATGGGCCCCCGCTTGCTTCTCCAGCCTCACGCCTCACTACTGCCCTCTCACTGCTGCCCTGTTCCTGGCATTCAGTCCCAGCCTCCTCCACATGCATCCTGCTGCTGGCATTGGCGACACCTCCTTCCCCAGTCCTCCACCCTTTAACAGTGGCTTGGCCTTTAAGACCAAGATCAGAATGCATCTCCTCCGAGGACTGCCGTGGAGTCCCCCAGACTGAGTTCTGTGCTCCCAAGTGGCTCCCAGTCTCATTCAATGCACACGTCCCCACCCCAAACCAAACACACGCAGCCCAAGTACCATGTGCCTGTACCAGCAAAGGATCTCCAGACTCTGCAGGTAAAGCCAGCAGCAATGCACACAAACTCCTAAGGAGGCGCCTAGCAAGTATCAAGAGCTCAGCGAGTGTCACTTTTGTTCCAGCTGTCACTGTCTATGGCCCAAAGGACTAGGATAGCAATTGCCAGCCCAGGGGACACTGAAGAGATGCCCTGACAAGTCCCTGCCTGGGAACAGACCAGAGCAGAAGACTGAGCCTCAGCTCTGGGAGCCCCGCCCTAAGGAGCACAGGCTCCTACAGGTCCTGGGGACATTGCAGACACTGAGTAGAAAGAAGTTGAGTGCTCACGACCATCTCAGGTCCCCAAGTGGATGGAGGCAGTCGCTGAGAACGTGTGGCCCATGTTATTCTGGTCTCTTTCTTAGAGTCTTTAAAAAGACATTGACATTGGTTTGGGATTTTTGTTTTTCTGATTACAGAAGCAACATGTGTTGACCACCAAGAGAGCGCTGATCACTGCTAACTGCAGGCCCTGTGTCCTCTGGCCATGTTTTCAAGGGCTGTCACCATTAACCACATGCCACCTGTCCTCCGGCTGTTTCCACGGCACAAGCTGTGAGGTCTGTCAGCCTGGGTTAGAATCCCAACACATCCACTGATGAGCTGTGTCGCTGTAGGCAACTTCCTGAAACTTCCTGTGCTCAGTGTCCTCATTTGGAGAAGAGTGGTCGTGACACTGCCTACCTCCCCTCCCGAGGGCTCCTCTGACAGCTTGAGGAGTCAACGCAGGCTCAATTGCTCAGCCTGGTGCCTGGCCCTAGGTAGTTCTCTAAGGGAGAGGCTCACTATTCTCCCAGGCTCCAAACCCTTCAGCACCTCGTGTTGGATGGCTGGTGTGGGGGGAGGGCCATTATGACCAGGTTTCTGCTGTCCCTGATTTGGCCAGGTGGAATCATGGCTGTCAAATGGCCATGGGGGACTGAAAGCAAGATACGGGGGTGCCACAGAAGGCAAGACCACAGGCAGTGCTATAGAAAGTGCAGTGTGGTGGGCATGCAGTGTGGCCACACTATGCAGAACCCAGGTGGGTGTGCGCTAGGACTCCTGGATCTGGGGCTCAGGGAGACAGGGCTTCAGGGCCCAGTCTCCAGCAGTGCGATGTGCCCTGGAATAGGGTCACAGGTCCCCAGGGTACTCACTGGTGATTGGGCTGACTGTCAGCCTTGCTGGAGAGAAATCCACCCACCCCTATTCCCAGGATAGGAAACTGATCTGCTTGGGGGCTGCTTGTCTTTCTTTGTGATAGGTGCTGTGGCTCACAATGAGGTTCTGGGGATAGATGGACCTGGGGCTTTCCAGGAGGAGAATGGGAGCCATGAGTTTGAGCCCAAGCAGGCACGTGGAGCCAGGAGCAGGGCAGCTGGAGGTGCTGGAGGCCAAAACGCTCAGGGGACTGACTGCTGCGTGCAGGGACTGCAGGCCTGGGAGGCAGGCCCTGCTCTGGGCTCCCTGAGGAAGGGGTAGGATCTGGAGGAAGATGGCAGCCTTGAGAGAGGCTGCCCCACAAATGCTAGGGTCTGTGGGTGGGGAAAAGCTCAGACAGCACAGTGTAAGCCCAGGCCCAGAGCCAGCCGAGCCTCTGGGGCCCATGGCTCAGGGAACCACAGCAGCAGGGGACCAGGGTCTGCCCTGCAGGCCCAGGGAAGCAGCCAGCAGGTGCCTCTGCTTTGGCCTTTGCACAACCCACTGTGGGTGAAGGAGTCAGGGCCTGGGAGGTGGCCCTGTTTGCACAGGCAAAGAGAAAGGTGAGACAGAGGGAAAAGGTCACATTCAGCTCTTTCCAAATTATCTTGCTCCAGGGGAGAGGACCAAGGGCTGGGAAAAGGATGGCCCCCAGGGGCCTCACTCTTCTGTGCCAGGCCCTGTTCCTGTGTCTGGCAGCCAGAGGGCCCATTCCCAGAGCCCATCTAGAGCCAGACTGCCCAGGGCGTGACCTTCCTCCTGGCACCCTGCCATGGGAGTGGCTGGGAAAGTGACTGCTCTGTGGCGTCTTCATCTTCAGAAAAATGAAGCTGCCACACAGCTCACCAAGAGGAGGTGATCCCAGGCCAGGAACAGGTGGACGTCGGGAGTCCAGAAAGGCCACAGAGGGTGCTGGATCCTGTGGGAGAAGCAGCAGGGGGTCCCGGCCATGCCCCTAGGTTGGACTTGTCATTCCCAACCAACTGCAATGGGACATAGACTTACCTTACAAGGTAGTGAATCGACAGGTTCTCAGATGAGCCTAAAATTAAGTACAAAATATGCTGGCCCGCCACAGACCCCGGGGTGCTATCCATAGAAGGACAGGGCACAGGCCTGAGGACGGCACCCCTGTCAGTCCTCTCTGCTCAGGGGCAGACCCGAGGATGGGACCCCTGTTAGTTCATTCTGCTCAGGTGAAAGGCCCGAGGATGGCACTTCTCTCAATCCACTGTGCTGAGGAAACAGACCTGAAGACAGGACCTAACTCAGTCCCCACTGCTAAGGGAAAGAGCTAAGGCCACGACTCTCCCAGTCTTCTCTGATCAAAGCCAATGAGGGAGCAGGAGTTTTCTCAGTCCTCTCTGCTCAGGGGACAGATCTTAGGACATGACCTCACTCAGTACTCTCTACTCAGGAGCAATTCATAAAGGGACACCTCTCCACATACATGTCACTCAGCAAACAGGAGAACAGGAACTCTGTTGGTCCTCTCAGCTCAGGGGACAGGCCTGAGGATGGGACCCCTGTTGGGCCATCTTCTAAGGGGATAGATAAGAGAACAGGACCTCTCTCAGTCCCATCAACTCAGGGGACAGGCCTGAGGGTGGGACCCACCTCGGCCCATCTTCTAAGAGGATAGATATGAGGACAGGACCTCGCTCGGTCCCCTCAGCCCAGGGGACAGGCCTGAGGGTGGGACCCCTGTCGGTCCATCTTCTGATGGGATAAATATGAGGACAGGACCTCTCTCCATCCCCTCAGCTCAGGGGACAGGCCTGAGGGTGGGACTGCTGTCAGTCCATCTTCTAAGGGGATACATGTGAGGACAGGACCTCTCTCAGTCCTCTCTGCTCAAGGGACAGGACTGAGAATGTGACCCGAATCGTTTTATCTTCTAAGAGGATTGATGTGAGGTCCAGACCTCTCTCAGTCCTCTCTGCTCAAGGGACGGACCTGAGGATGGGACCCCTCTCTGTCCATCTTCTAAGTGGATACGTATGAGGACAGGACATCTCTCAGTCCTCTCTGCTCTAGACACAGACCTGAGTTTGGGACCTCTGTCGGTCCATCATCTGAGGGGATAGGTGTGAGGAGAGGAACCCTCTCAGCCCCCTCAGCTCAGGGGACAGGCCTGAAGATGCGACCCCCGTCGGTCCATCTTCTTAGGGGATAGATATGAGGACAGGACCTCTCTCAGTCCTCTCTGCTCAAAGGACAGGCCTGAGGACAGGACCCCTCTAAGTCCTCTTTTCTCTACGATAGATATGGGAATGGGACCTCTCTCAGTCGACTGTGCTCAGAAGACAGGCCACAGCACAGGACCTCTCTCTGCCCACTAAGCCTCAGGTACCTGAAGACAGCATCTCTCTCAGTCTTCTCTGCCCGGGGACACCTCTCCCACTGCTTTCTACTCAGGGTCAGGCCTGAGGACAGGACCGCTGTCAGTCTTCTCTGCTAAGGGGACAGACCTTAGGATGGGATCCCTCTCTGACCTCTTACACAGAGGATGGGCCTGTGGACAGAACCTCTCTTATGACTCTCTGCCCAGGGATGGGTCTGAGGACAGGACTCCTCTCAGTCTTCCTGCTCAGGGGACGCCTGAGGATGAGACCTCTCAGTTTTGTTTGCTCAGGGGACAGACTAGAAGATGGGACCTCTCTCAGTCCTCTCTGATCAGAAAGAGACCTGCGGGTTGTACTCTGTCAGACATTTCTGTTGTTCTGCACAGGGGACACCTGAGTATGGGACCTCTTTCAGTCCTCTTTGCTCATGGAACAGGCCTGAAAATGAGACCTCTGCCATTTCTCTATGATCAGGGACAGAGCTGAGGACAGCACCTTTCCCAGTTCCCACCGCTCAGGGTTTGGAGAGAGGCCTGTCTGCTCAAGAGACCCAACTCAGTCCTCTCTCGTTAAGGAACAGGTCTTATGATGGCACCCGTCTCAGTTCATTTTCTCAGAGGTATACCTGTGGACAGGACCTCTCTCACTCCTCTCTGCTCGAGGGAAAGACCTGAGAACAAGACCTCTCTCAGACCACTTTGATCAGGCACAGGCCTGGTGACGGGACCTCTCTCAGTCCTCCCTGCTGAGGGGACAGGCCTTAGGATGGGACCCCTCTCAGTCTTGTCTACTCCGGGACAGTCCTGAGGACGGGACTTCTCTGAGTCCTCTCTGCTCAGCCTCACCCCCATGATTGGGCTCTGATCCAGCTCCCTCATCCACCGCTCAAGCCCTCTGTGAGCCCAGGAGGCTGCTGCTTATTGGATGGGCTTGGTCAGCCCTTGGGCACCCAGGAAGGCACCTTGATGGACCTTTCTGTCCCCAGGCCACACATGCCGCCCTCCTCAGGGGCACTTGTTGAGGACTGTGCAGCAAAACACAATGCATGGTAGGAGCTCTGCCAGCTGGCACGCACCAAGGGCCTGGCTGGGATGAAGGGGACAGGTGGCCCCCCGGGGGGGCCCGTCCTTCAGGCCCGACAAAGTCTCCTTGCTCTGGGCTGGTGGGGAAGCAACTGGTTTCTCCCGGTACCTCCTTCCAGACTCCCTGGCTAGATCCCTTCCGGGTTTCACAACCCAACTGTCCAGCCTGTGTGCTCACATGCCCACTGACACAGTCACACACACATTCACTCACACACTCATGTTCCAGACACACTCACATGCGCACACACATTGAGTGACAAACACACATTGAATGACGCATTCATGCCTGCTCATTGACACACCCACATTTGCAGTCAGCGCACGCACGCACAATGACTCACAAACTCACACACACACTGACACACACTGACACACTCACAGTGTCACACACATTCAGCGACATGCATGCTCACCTTCAATGGCACAGCCTCATTCCCCCACACCCTCCCACTCACACACGCTCAGTGATGCAGTCACATGCTGTCACTTGGATTCACACACATTCTCAGAAACTCATGCACATGCTCACACTGACACACACACGCACACGCTCAAACACACCCGCTCACTCACACTCACACCTGCTCGGGAATCACGGCACACACAGGTCCACTCTGAACAGGGAAAACCAAGGAGCCCTGACAGGCCCTGGCAAGGTCAGCCAAGCTCTATGCCCTCTCCTCTTGCCCTGTCCCCAAAATCTGGAGGGGCCCTTGGAAAGTGAGCAGTTGACTTGGCCCTGCTGAGACACAAGGGACGGACATGCTGGGGTTGTGCCCAGCCTGAAGAAGGCAGGGAGAACAGAACACAGTGGGGGCCCCAGGCATGCCTGCAGGGCACCCCGATGGGACACACTACAAGGGTCCCTGAGACACCGGTTAAGCACCTTCAGGCCGAGGAGGCTGCAGGCCCAGCCCCAGAGACCTGCCGCCCCCTGCCCCTCCCCGACAGCCCCGCAAAACTACCCCTCCCATGCCTGCACTGGCCTGTGTATGCCGAGTGTCTCCCAGGGCCCCTGCCGCCCTGCAGACCTGCTGACTGCAGCTCCGCTCAAGCAGACAGGTCGCCTAGATCCAGGATTCCTCAGCCCAGGTGGGCAGCCACCCATTCCCAGCATTGGCTCTGAGGCTGCTTTGGGGGAGCCTGGCTATCATCTGAGCCATGGGGATGGCCGGAGGCTCTGTGCTCCAGAACAGCCGGAGGAAGTGTGTGGACACAGACTGAGTGAGCCCCGGGAGACCCTCGCCACGTCCAAGTCAATGATCCCGTCCCCTCCCCACACATGTGCAGGGAGGGGCCTATCACTTGTCCCAGTTCTGTCGCCCACAGACTCTGCGTTAGTTAAATGGCTGATCGAGGACTACCCTCCATTTGTAGCGAGCTCCCTGGCCTGTTGGGAGAGAGAGCCAGTCCCAGGAGGGCTCAGGAGGGCGGGTTCCAGGATCCTCAGGCCCCCATCAAGAACTGCGCCTCTGGCCACAGTGCTCAAGGAGGATTGCTGCCCTGGGGATTCAATCAGCCACTGCCCATGAAAACCAACATCCTGTCGCCAGGCTCCATGCAGCCCAAAGAACCCCACAGGCCTTCAGGGACCCTGCCCTGCACACACCCCAGTGTCAGCCTGGCCACTGTGGCCCTCACCCCACCCAACCCCATGCCCAGCAAACCTCATCCCCAGTCTCCCAGAGCAGAGGCGAGGCCGGCTGGAACACTGAATGAAGTTTATTGAAGAGAAACATGTACTGAAACCATTGAAGAGAAGGGAATCACAACACAGAGAGAAACTGCAAATTGCCACCACAGGACACAGGTCCCACACAGGTCCCGGGCCCCCTCCTCCTGGGGTTCCTGGCAAGACGCCTCATCTGCTCCTACTCCTGCTGCAGCCCCCGCTGCCAACTCCCTCCTTCCTGAGGGCCCCAGGGTCCGCCTCTTGCCAGGATGGTGGACTCTGGCAGTGTCCACTGGCTTCAGGGAGCCCCCTCCCGAGCCCATCCGCTGGGGCAGGGCCCTGCCCTATAGCCCTCACAGGACACTGAAAACACAGCAGGGAACACCCCCCCAAGTCAAGGAAACTGAGTCACAAGTAACAACAGGAATAGAACACCAAAGCACAAAGCTCCCCGGGGAGCCTCAGGCAGGGCAGCTCTGCTCTGTCCCAGGTCCGGTTCTTCCTCACACAGTCATGGTCACCATCATGGTCACGGGCACCATCGTGGTCATGCTCACCATAGCAGTCACAGGATGAGCGTCCATCGTGCCCTGGCGCCTCCTTCCACCATCTCCCAGGACTGTGCTGGGGGCCTCCGGGGAGGAGCTGCTCAGAGAAGAACACACACAGCTCCACGAGAACAAGCAGCCCCTGGCCTAGATCTACACCAGGAAAGCAGAGGTGGTGCTCACGACAAGGGACAGGTAGCAGCTAGCAGAGCCTGGGCTAGCAGGAAGCTCACAGCATGTGCCCCAGGCCCAGAGGCAGCCGCACCGATGGGCGCACAGCATACAACTTTGTGTAGGAACAATGGCTAGCGGTGGGTGAGTGGGCGTCTGCTGTTCGGACGCGTGGGTCACTATGGGGCCTACAGAGGTGAGGGTGGGCTTCCCGGAACGGGGGGCAGTCTGCCCCAGGGATGGCAAGTGGGGGCCACCTCTTGGGACATGTAGGCAGCTGTCACCCTTGAGAGGGCCTCTTTCCCCCATCTCTCCCAACACAGGACAAGGGGTGGGGGGCAGACATCTTCAGGCTGGCCGCTCAGAGCTCCCTCCAGGCCAGCTCCCCATTTGGTATCAAACGTGGTCATCTGAGTCACTGGGAAGGGCTGGTGGTGGTGGCCAGGACCCATTAGGGGAGGTGGGAGGCACAGCTCCCAACATGGGGTGAGGGACCGGCCCTGGCCTGGCCTCTGTCTGCCTCCAGGGTGCTGCTGCCTGAGAGGAGAGGAGCCCTCAGGGCCCTCAGAGCCTATTTGCCCGGGGGGGACTTGGGCTTGCCCGCCTCCCCAGCCCCATCCTCATCCTCGTTTTCTGACTCCTCTAAGATGGGCTTGAGCCCCTCCTGGGGAGGCTCCTCAGCCTCCTGGCCTCCAACCTGGACAAGGCCCTCTGGCTCCCAGCTGGGACCTCCTGGGGCCATGTCGACTGCACTGCCCATCCTGGCTGGGAGGCCCCCAGGGGCGTCGGGGGACCTTCCCTGACCTAGGCCTTCAAGGCCTGCAGGGGCATTTTCATCTTCCCCAGTGGCAGGGGCAACCCTGGCGGCCTCTTTGGTGGTGGAAGCAGCCTCATCAGCATCTTCTGCTCCGGGATCAGCCTCGCTGGCGTCCCCCTGGGCCGGGGAGGCCTGGGCAGCAGCTGGGTCTTCACTCTCCACTGGGGCCGCTGCCCAGGCCACACCCTGCTGGCTCCTTGCTAGGGAGGCTGCCCACGCCTCCATGTCCCGGATGAGCCGCAGCAGCCTCAGGAAGTCAGGTGGCCTCCTCTCCAGCTGCATCCTCCTCAGGGTATCCTGGAGTGCCTCGCTGGGGCGGGCCCGAGACAGCACCTGCCGCAGTCGCAGGTGGTTGGCCATGGCTGGGTGGACCGCCCCCTTCTCCACGGCCTTCTGCAGCAGGCCTTCCAGGCGCACCACGAAGGCAAACAGCCCCTCCTGGGGCCCCTGCGTGCAGGTCAGGAACTTCATCCGCGAGGTCATCCATGTATCCCGGCTCCTAAACACCTGCCCCAGCGCCGTCAGGCAGTCCTGCGCAGAGAAGTCTGGATCTTCCTCCAGGAGGCCGCTCACGATATCCAGGGCCAGGCCATCCAAGCTGTCCAGCAGCCGCCTCCTTCTCTCCCTTTCCGACGCGTGGCACCACAGCTGCAGCATATCCTTGGCGTCCTCCAACCAGCTCTCAAAGGACTCTTCCACGCAGCCTGGCTGCTCCCTCCCGGAAAAGGGTCTCAGTTCCCGGTAGGCCATAGTTTTCACCAGAGGCCGCAGGGTCTGGCGCCATGACTGGGTCCAGGCCTCCACCACACCTGCACCTACTGCCTCACCTGCAGCTCCTGCCTCATCTTCACCTCCTTCCTCACCTGCGCCTCCTGCCTCACCTGCACCTCCTTCCTCACCTGTACCTCCTTCCTCACCTGCACCTCCTGCCTCACCTGCACCTCCTGCCTCACCTGCACCTCCTGCCTCACCTGCTGCTCCTGCCTCACCTGCTGCTCCTGCCTCACCTGCTGCTCCTGCCTCACCTACACCTCCTGCCTCACCTATACCTCCTGCCTCATCTTCACCTGCAGATCTTTCCTCATTCACACCTCCTGCCTCACCTACAGATCCTGCCTCACCTGCAGCTCCTGCTTCACCTGCACCTCTGGCCACTGCTTGCCCCTGGGGCTGTGCAGGGAAACTGGGTATATCCTGAAACTCAGCATCAAGGGCCTGGGGCAGGGAGATCACTTTCCAGGGTCCCCCTTTGCCTGCTATTTGGCGGGGAATCAAGCTTTGGTTTAAACCCTCAGCGAATTCCACCAAGGCTGCCCTGGCCCCGAGCTCCTTTCTGAAGACCTTGATGAGCACTCGGTACCTGCCCAGGGGCGACAGGGCAGCCCGCACGGCCTCCTGGAACTCATGTTCCTCGCAGTCGTCAGGGATATCCAGGATGAGCAGAGAGCGCTCTGCGTTCACACCCATCCTCCTGCACCAGTCCTGAAGCATCGCCAGAGCTATCGCAGAGGACTTGAGGGAGGGAGCCTGATCAGACAGGAATGTGTGCTGACTGTTGCAGTCTCTGACGCAGCCTGTGAGTGCAAAGGGGAGAGAGGGACGACGTTGCTGCCAATCAACCCACCCCCACTACAGGCCTTTGCCCTCCCCTCCCAAGCACTGCAGCAGCCAGGGATCCATTCCCTCCCACTGCTGCAGCCCATGCACCCCCAAAGCCCTCCCCCAGTTGGTGACACTTAATCCCTTGGCACACACCCACCACCTCTATTGGGAGATCCCCTTTTGCCTGAGCTGATGTCCCCTTATCACACCACAACAAGTGCACCTCCCCCTCCCACCATCATCTGTAACATTGCAGCCAGGAGTCCTCCCCTATCCAAGCCCCTGCAACAGGTAGCTCTTCCCCCACCCAGAATCCCTGCGGCCAGTAGTCTTCCCCTACACAGATCTTTGCAGCCTGGAGTTCTTCCTTACCCAAACTGCAGAAGGGAAGCAGAGAGACCTCCCCCGTCTCTTTTCCAGCGCCAAACCAGGAGCCCCCTCCCTCTTTTGATCTTCCTCTTTTGATCTTCCGTGTAACCTGGCAACCCCCCTCCGCGCCCCCCACACCTGCAGCCAGAAGTCCCCTTCCTCCCCCGAAAGCCAGAGCCCCCCTCTCTCCCACCGTCCCCTGCACCTCTGCAACGGCAGCCCACCCTACCCCCCACCCCCGCCCCACCAGACTCCTGCAGCCAGGAGCCCCCTCCTCCTCTCTCTGCGGGCCCTGGGCCGGACCGGGACCCCCTCTCGCGCCCACTGCGGAGGCAGCGATCTGGCACCTGCCCAGGGCGCCCGCGGTCACTCTGGGGTCCCGCCGGAGCCTGCTCACTTTCTCCGACTCTGCGGACGCTGCGACCACCCGCGGAAAAACGCCGCCTTCAAGCTGTGGAGCCCACTCTGGAGGCCACCTAGAGGCCCTGGAGCAGGAGGGTGGAAGATCTCGCCTCAGTCACGCGGCCGCGCTGCGCAGCGCAGGGGTCTCCAAAGCCCGCTGTGCTAAGACTACAGGGCTTCCCGCTTCTCCCAGAAGCCCCAGGTAGATGAGGAAGAAAAATTTCGTAGTCTCTGTGGAAGACAAGTGGCTAGACAGGAGGAGACATCTGTGTTGCCCTGGCAACGGGACCTGCATGGTAAGGGCTTAATGTTCCAAGGCTTGGAGCCTCTGGGAGCAACAGGCCCACCGATTGGCCCTCCACCATCAAAATGACCTCCATCAGTAATTGTGGCAAATTGCTGGGATGGGATGGACTAGAAGTCACGAGGAGGAGATCCTAAGACCAGGTCCCCAGGGTATTCACAGCCTGCCCTGCTCAGGCCTGGAATCCCTACAACATAGATTGATTGCTGGCTGTGTTCCTCATACCAGCTCTTTACCGGCTGGAGGCCGGCCTTCAACCACCTGGGCAGCCATTGCCTAGGAAAGCGTGTGGGCTTTCAATCAGACAGATGCAGCCTCACCTAACAGCTAGGTGGCCTATATCTGTCAGTGAACATGTATGCCCATCATCTGGAAATGGGCAATAAAACACTTGCCTTTTTATATATTGCTGGATATGGATTTCTAATAAATAGTTTTCCTATACTGTTCTTGAGGGATATTTTTCTGTAATTTTCTGGTTTTATATCATCTTTTTATCAGGATTTAGGTTTGTACTGGCCCCATAAACTGAGTTAAGAATTGTTTCCTGCTCCTCTATTTTCTGAAACTGTTGTGTAAAATTGGCAATTTTTGTTCCTTAAATATTTGCTGGAGTTCACCCATGAAATCATCTGGGCATGGATTTTTGTTTTATTTTTAGAAAAGTTTTTTGTTAATAAATATATTTATGAAGTATAGGGCTATGTGTTTTTTCTATTCAATCCATTGGAAGTTTTGGTAAATTGCTTTGTTTCCAATGCATGTGTCAATTTTATCTAAGTTGTCAAAATTATTGTCATAAAGTTAATATTCCCTCACTATTCTTTTAATGCCTATATAACCTCTAATGATATCCCTCTTTCACGGCTGATATTAATGATTATTTTCTTTTTTCTTGATTAGCCTTCCTAAGGGCTACACATTTGGTTGCTCTTTTAAAATATGTGTGATTTACTTACTTTTAGTTTGTTTTCTATTTTATTGATTTCTGCTCTTGTATCTCTATTATCTCCTTCCTTCTACTTATTCGAGATTTACTTTGCTATTCCTTTTCTAGCTTCTTTAGGTGGAATGTTTTGTATATTTACTGATTTATATTAAATATTAAATATATTTTATATATTTACTGATTTCTTGTCTAGTGGTTATATCAGTTGCTGAGGCAGAGATGATGAAATCTCCAACTATAATTGTGGAAATGCCTAGTTGTTCCTTTATACTGTCAATTTTTGTTTCATATATTTTGAGGCTCTGTTATTGGGTGCAAACATGTTTATGAGTTCTATGTGTTTCTGATTAATTGAACCTTATATAATTATTACCTTTATCTCAGGTGATACTCTTTGGAACTCCACTTTGTCGGCTATTAACATAGACTTTCCCACTTTCTTATGCTTGCCCCTTGCATGGTATATAATTTACAACCTCTTACTATCAACCCATCTGAGTCTGTATATTAAAATTGCATTTCTTGGAGACAGCAAAAGTCTTGCTCTTTTATTCATTCTGACAATCTCTGCCTTTTAATTGGAGTGTTTAGCCCATTTACATTGAATGTTATGTTTGATATATTTGGATTTAGGTCTATCCTTTTACTATTTGCTCCATCTGATTTTTGTTCCCATGTTCCCCATTTCCTGCCTGGATTAATCAAATATTTTTTGTAATTCACTTTTAATGTATCCGTTATCTTCTTAGCTATATCTCTTTGCATTTTTGTAGTGCTCACTCTAGAGATTACAATATATATATATATATTTAACTTTTCACTGTCGACTTAAAGTTAATATTGTGCATAAATGTAAGAAACTCTCCATCATATAGATTCACTTCCATTCCACCTCATCCTTTATGAGTTGCCAAACCCTAGTATATACTATTAAACTGTTTACTTTAAAGTCATATTATTATAAAGAAATTAAGGGCAAATAACTATTCATTAATATTTACCCACACATGTACCATTTCCTGTGTTCTTCATTTCTACCCAAAGATCAAAGATTTCCTCTAGTTTAATTTTTCTTCAGATTGAAAGACTTCCTTTAGTATTTCTTTTAGTGCAGTTCTGTTGATGAATTTTCTTAGCTTTCCTATATCTCAAAAGATATTTACTTCACCTTCATTCTTGAATTTGTTCTATTTCCCTAGATATAGAGTTCTGTATTGGAAGGTTTTTTTTTTCTTTCACTGTTTTAGAAATGTTGCTCCACTGTCTCCAGGCTTCCATTGTTTCTGATGAGAATTAAGTTCTTAATGCACTCCCATATGTAGAGTCATTTTACTCTGACTACTTTCAAGATTTTTCTTGCCCTTCTTTGTTTTCAGTAGCTTGACTACAATGTGCCTAGATGTTGCTTTCCTTTGTAATTATCCTCTTTGTGGTTCACCAAGTTTCATTAAATTTGTAAATAATGGATTTCCTAAGAAAAATGATACTAGAGGAATTTTTCAGCCATTATTTCTTCAGATAGCTTTCCTTCCCCATTTTCTCTATCCCATCCTGGCACTCAAAATACACATTTGACCTTTATATATTGTCCCACAGACCACTGAGGTTCCATTCGTTTCTATTATTGTTCCTCTTGGTTTATCCGAATAGATCATTTCTATTGATCTAGCTTCAAGTTCATGACTCTTCTGTCATCTGCAATCTGTTATTAAGACAATCCATTGAATTTTTCACTTTATGTTTTTCAGTTCCGGAATTACAGTTGGTTTGTTTCTCTTTTTTAAATTTTTATTTTAGGCTTAGGGGTACATGTGAAGGTTTGTTGCATAGATAAACACATGTCATATAGGTTTATTGTACATATTATTACATTACCCAGGTAATAGTTATCTTTTCTCTTCCCCTCCCGTCACACACCCTCCATCCTCAAGTAGACCCCAGCATCTGTTGTTTCCTCCTTTGTGTTCATAAGTTCTTATCATTTAGCTCCCACTTATAAGCGAGAACATGCAGTATTTGGTTTTCTGTTCCTGTGTCAGTTTGCTAAGGATGATAGCCTCCAGCTTCATCCATGTTACTGCAAAAGACATGCTCTTGTTCTTTTTATGGCTGCATAATATTCTGTCATGTATATGTACCATATATTATTTATCCAGTCTGTCATTGATAGGCATTTAGGTTGATTCTGTATCTTTGTTATTGTGAATAGTGCTGCAGCAAACATTCACGTGCATGTGTCTTTAGGGAAGAATGCTTTATATTCCTCTGGGTATATACCCAGTAATGAGATTGCTAGGTTGAATGGTAGTTCTGCTTTTACCTCTTTGAGGAATCTCCATACTGTTTTCCACAATGGTTGAACTAATTTACACTCTCACCAACAGTGTATAAGTGTTCCCTTTTCTCCACAACCTCGCCAGCATCTGCTATTTTTTGACTTTTTAATAATAGCCATTCTGACTGATGTGAGATGGCATTTTGTTGTGGTTTTCATTTCCATTTCTCTAATGATCAGTGATATTGGGCTTTTTTTCATGTGCTTTTTGGCCACATGTATGTCTTCTTTTGAGAAGTGTCTGTTCATGTCTTTTGCCCACTTTTTAATGGGGTTATTTTTCTCTTGTAAGTTTATTTAATTTCCCTACAGATTCTGGATATTAGACCTTTGTCAGTTGCATAGTTTGCAAATATTTTCTTCCATTCTGTAGGTTATCTGTTTACTCTGTTGATAGTTTCTTTTGCTGTACAGAAGCTCTTAAGTTTAACTAGATCCCACTTGTCAATTTTTGTTTTTGTTTAGATTCATTTTGGTTTCTTTGTCATGAAATCTTTGTCTGTCTCTATGTCCAGGATGGTAATTGCCTAAGTTGTCTTCCAGGGTTTTTATAGTATGGGGTTTTAGATTTAAGTCTTTAATTCATATTGAGTTGATTTTTGCACACAGTGTAAGCAAGGGGTCCAGCTTCAATCTTCTGCATATGGCTAGCCAGTTGTCTTAGCACCATTTACTGAATAGGGAGTCTTTTCCCCATTGTTTGTTTTTGTCAGCTTTGTCAAAGATCAGATGATCGTAGGTGTGCAGACTTATTTCTGGGCTCTCTATTCTGTTCCATTTGTCTATGTGCCTGTTTTTGTACCAGTACCATGCTGTTTTAGTCACTGTAGCCTTGTAGTATAGTTTGAAGTCAGGTAATGTGATCCATCCAGCTTTGTTCTTTTTGCTTAGGATTGTCTTAGCCATTCATACTCTATTTTGGTTCCATATAAATTTTAAAATAATTTCTAGTTCTGTGACGAATGTCATTGATAGTTTGATAGGAATAGCATTGAATCTGTAAATTGCTTTGGGCAGTATAGCCATTTTAATGATATTGATTATTCCTATACATGAGCATGGAATGTTTTTCCATTTGTTTTTGTCTTCTCTAATTTATTTGACCAGTGTTTTGTAATTCTCATTGTAGAGCTCTTTCACCTTCCTGGTTAGCTGTATTCCTAGGTATTTTATATTTTTGTGGCAACTGTGAATGGGATTGCCTTTCTGATTTGGCTCTCAGTTTGGTTGTTGTTGGTGTATAGGAATGCTTCTGATTTTTGTGCATTGATTTTGTATCCTGCAACTTTGCTCAATTTTTTTATCAGCTGAAGGAGCTTTGGGGCCAAGACCATGGGGTTTTCTAGATATAGAATCATGCTGTCCGCAGATAGAGATAGGGTGACTTTCTCTCTTCCTATTTGGATGCCCTTTATTTCTTTCTATTGCCTGATTGCTCTGGCTAGGACTTCCAATACTATGTTGAATACAAGTGGTGAAAAAATGTATGCTTGTCTTGTGCTGGTTTTCAAGGGAGGAATGCTTCCAGCTTTTGCCCATTCAGTATAATGTTGGCTGTGGTTCTTATTATTTTGAGTTATGTTCCTTCAATATCTAGTTTATTGAGAGTTTTTAACATGAAGTGATGTCGAATTTTATCAAAAGTCTTTTCTGCATTTATTGAGATAACCATGTGGTTTTTGTCTTTAGTTCTGTTTATGTGATGAATCACGTTTATTGGTTTTCATATGTTGAGCCAAACTTGCATCCTAGGGATGAAGCCTACTTGATCATGGTGGATTAGATTTTTGATGTGCTGCTGGATTTGGTTTGCAAGTATTCTGTTGAGGATTTTTGCATTGATGTTCATCAAGGATACCGGCCTGAAGTTTTCTTTTTTTGTTGTGTCTCTGCCAGATTTTGGTATCAAGATTATGCTGGCCTCATAGAATGAGTTGGGGAGAAGCCCCTCATCCTTAATTTTTTGGAATAATTTCTGTAGGAATGGTAACGGATTGTCTTTGTACATCTGGTACAATTTGTCTGTGAATCTAGCAAGTCCTAGGCCTTTTTTGGTTGGCAGGCTATTTATTAGTGATTCAATTTCAAAGCTTGTTATTGATCTGTTCAGGGAATCAGTTTCTTCCTGGCTCAGTTTTGGGTGGATGTATGGGTCCAGAAATTTATCCATCTCTTCCAGGTTTTCTAATTTGTGTGCATAGAGGTCTTTGGAGTAGTTTCTGATGGTTGTTCTTAGTTTTGTGGGGTCAGTAGTAACATTCCCTTAATCATTTCTAATTGTGTTTATTTGGATCTTCTCTCTTCTTCTTAATTCATCTAGCTGGTGGCCTATTTTATTAATTTTTTCAAAAAACCAACTCCTGGAATTTCAAGCCAGTGGGTTTTATCTTGTGAGGTGCTGTGGAAGTGGGGGCTACAGGCTGTTGCTGCTCAGCCCCCTAGATTCAGCCTCTTTCCTAGGGGTATGTACAGGAGTCTAACCTTCCACTTTGCTGAAGCTGCAACTACTTTTGCCGGAAAGCCCAAGTATCTAAGGTTCCAGGTTCTCCACACATGCCTGAGCAGCTGCTCTGCCAAGAGCCATGGCTCTGTCTGTCAGACTGAAAACTGAAAGGCCCTGGTGGAGTGGGTTCACAAGGAGATCTGCTGACCCGAGGGTTGCAAAGATCTGTGGGAGAAGCGTGGTTTCCTAGAGTCGCTCATTCACTAACCACTTTCCTGGGTAGGGGAGGATCCCCTGGCTCTGTATTGCTCCCAGGTGGGCCATTGTTCTATTTTGCTTTTCTTTGTTCTCTGTGGGTCAAGTTGTTTCCTTGATTAATCCCAATGCAAGTACCTGGATGTTTCAGTTGAAGGTGGTGTATTTACTCACCCCTTCTGTTCCTCTCTGTGAGAGCCACCCATACTACCTGCTTCTAGTCAGCCATCTTGGCCACTCCCCCAATTGGTTCTTTTCAATAGTTTCTTTTTCTCTACTAAAATTTCCTATTTAAAACTTCATTGTTATTCTCTTGGGCCATGTTTGTATATATTTTACATTTTTACACTTTTACCTTTTACATATTACACATAACATTTACATTTCTACACTACACAATTGGTTTTGTGTAAATCATAATAAACACATCAGCCAAAGTGATAAGTAGGTTGGTGTATATAATTCATTCATTAATTTATTCATAGATCCACCCATTCAACAAGCATTTACAGTGCACCTACTGTGTCAGGCATTATTCTAAGTCCTAGAAATTTAGAGACAAATTAGAAATAGTCTCTGTTCTTAAGAAGCTGCCAGAATGGTAAGAAGAGGCAGGCATGTAAACAAATTTAGTAATACAATTTACTGGGGGTAGTGATAGGGTATGTACAGAGTACAGGGGGATACCAAGTGGGCAGGTCATACCTGGAAAGGGTCAGGAAAGTCCTCACAGGGAAGGTACACCTTGCATTAGGATAGAGGAGGAAAGATAGAGGTACATATCAAAAACGTAGCAAACAATCATCAAATGGCTTGAAGAACATCAGGGAGAGGTGTCCAGTGAGCAGGTGGACATTGAGATTTAGAAAGCAGAAGTTGGTCCCAGAGAGCCAAACCTGATGGCATTTAGCCTTAAGGTGGTTGTGTGAAGCTGGGCGTATTAGTCTGTTTTCATGCTGCTGATAAAGACATACCCAAGACGAGGTAATTTATAAAGAAAAGGAGGTTTGATGGACTCACAGTTCCACGTGACCGGGAGGCCTCACAATCATGGCAGGGGGTGAAAGGCACATCTTACATGGCAGCAGGTAAGAAAGAAAATGAGAATCAAGCAAAAGGGGAAGTCCTTTATAAAAACATCAGATCTCATGGGACTTATTCACTACCATGAGAACAGTATGGGGAAAACTGCCTCCATGATTTAATTATCTCCCTCCAGGTCCCTCCTACAACACGTGAGAATTATGGAGCTACAATTCAAGATAAAATTTGGGTGGTGACACAGCCAAACCATATCACTGGGTGAGGGGCTGATATCCCCAGATGGCACCACAGGTAGCCTAAGAGGATGTGGGTGAAATAGAGTTGTTCTGAGCCTTAGTCAGTGAAGGAGACCGGAAAAGAATTTGTTGGAACTGAGGGCCAGAAGCCAAGCCTGAGACATTCAGAGCAAGTTTTACCTTTATACTTTATACTTTAAGGACGGAGGCTGTGGACTCAGGCCAGCCATGTGGCATTGAACAAACTACTTAAACACTGTTTGGCTCAATTTCCATAACCATGAAACAGAAGTAATAATAGGACCTGCCTCAGGACTATTGTAAGAATTAGATGAGATAATATTTATAAAACAATGTCTGGCACATAGCAAACAATCATCAAATAATAGCCTTTGTTATCAATTTATTGTTTTAATGGATATGAAAAACTAGAGAATTAATTTTAACCCCTCAATCACTAGATTGTAACACAGATGCATTCATTTATTTGAGAAATATTTATGAAGCATCTACTATGTGCCAGGCATGTTTTTTGGTACTATCAGGGAGAAATCAATATCTATGGTCTTAAGACCTTAACCTGGTGTTAAGATCTCAAAGGATCTACGAATCAGATGGGGAAAAATGCATCCTTATTTTTACTAAAATAACTAAACTTTAGTGTTTCCTTCAATTATGAATGTAGGCAACAAACCACAACAGTATCGGCAATACATGTGACTTTGTCACCAACAGAAATAAATATTTTCATATCACATTACAGTTATTGCCAATAGCTAGACACATTTGCTGGAAATAACATTTCATCAATTTATGGCATTGGTAAAGAACCTTTAAGTACTGCTGTTTTACTTGTTAATGAAGAAGCACATATATCAATATAAAAATCATTATGAGCATGCTTTATGTTCTCGACTATGGTCAGCCCAGGGTGAGTTTCCCTTGGATGCTTTTTTCCTTGAGTATCAGGACAATTCTTGTTTCTTGTAGTAATCTAGCATTATATCCTAGACACTGTCCATAATGAATTCTAGTAGATTTGGCTTCTTGGTTTCTGTTATATTTCTCCGAAGATGAGTCATTGTTTGTTATTGTTGTTGTGGTGGTGGTGGTGGTGGTGGTGGTGGTTTGTTGTCTTAGTAGACAACTAAACTAGCTAAACTCACATGAAGTCTCCTCTGTATTGGGTACCAACTGCAATCTCCAGACTCCGTTTCTTTGGTATTGGGCATCAGCTGAAACCTCTGCTCAGTTCTTTTCTTGGACTCAGCCCTGTGCTTGCATGGCTCCAGGGTCAACCAGAGATTTGGGCAGAGTGTACAGGCCAAACATGGAGCTCCTCAACACGGTGCTTCTCTACTCCCAGGTATTGCCCCTCCTGCTTTCCCTCTGCCATGGCCACCCTAAAATCTGCTCTCTGGGTCTCTGAGTTTTAGCCACCCAGCACAGCATCCTCTGTGGCCCACACTCACATGCAGACAAGCAAGAAACTCACCTTTGCAGAGAGGAACAAGATTACAAATCTCACCGCAGTGCTCAGCAGTTCAGGCTCCCCTGTGGCTCCCACCAATGACTGGGCAGACATTGCAAGACTCGGGATGCTGCCAAGAGAACCACGGCTACCAGTGCTTCTCAGGGAATGGGTGGCACGACGCCTGCCACCAGCAGCCCAGCCTGAGTGAAATCTGTGGGGACCCTGCTTCTTCCCACCTCGGGCCTCAGACTCAGTGGATAGTAGGTTCATATGATTGGTGGAGCCTGAGTTAGGTGCCCATGCTGTAGCTACAAGAGAAGCTGGGAGAGTGAATACTAACCATCTTTGAGATCTAGAGTGGGAGGCAAACTCTACTTCATGGGATAGGCAATGCCCCAAACAAAGAATGGTTAATATAAAAATGATTGTCATTGTCTACTTTATATGGTATTAAATGGACAGAAGAAAGAAGAGAAACACAGATTAAGAAACAAATAAAACACACAGATTACCAATATCAGGAATCAGGGTGGTGTTATCACTGCAGATAATAATAGAACATTGTGTACAATTTTATATTAATAAATTTGGCTACTTACATGAAATGGGCAAATTTCTTGAAAGATACAAATAGCAAAGCTCAGTCAAAAAGAAATAGATACAGGCATACCTCTGAGATAGTATGCCTTCTGTTCCAGACCAGGGCAATAAAGCATATATCACAATAAGCCAGTTACCCAAATTTTTTGGTTTCCCAGTGCATACAAAAGCTATAGCCTGTTAAGTGTACAGTAGTATTATGTCTGAAAAAAAATGTACTCATCTTAATTTTAAAATATTTTATTGCTAAAAATGCTAATGATCATCTCAGAGTTTGGTGTGTGGTGAGGGCCTTCTTACCATGTCCTCATATGGTGGAAGGCAGACGCAAAACAGCAAGCTAACCAGATGCTGCATGAAGCCTCTTTTATAAGGGCCTTAATTCCATTCCGAGGGAGTAGCCCTCTGGTCTAATCACCTTTTAATAGATCTGGGTCTCTCCCTCTTCTTCCTTCTGTCCATTTAATACTATATAAAGTAGACAATGACAATGCCTCACCTCTTAATAATATCACATTGGCAACACCTGAATTTTGGAAGGGATACATTCAAACCACAACATCCAGTCTCAGGCATTTTTTCATGGCAGTGCAAATGGACTAAGACAATTTCCAAATAATTTTGTTGAGTGAAAGGAACCAAACACAAAAGAAGACTTATTATAACATTTTATTATATAAAATTCTAGAAAATACCCTATAGTGACAGAAAGCAGATCATTGGTTGCCTGGGGACAGGAGAGGAGAAGAGAAAGGGATAGTCATGGGCATGAGGAAACTTTGAAGGTGATGGAAATCCTTATTGCCTTGATTGTGGTGATGGTTTCATACGTGTGTGTGTGTGTGTGTGTGTGTGTGTGTGTGTGTGAAAGCTTATCAAGTTGTTTAGCTGAAACATGACAAATTCACAGTTTATTGTCTGTCAAATATATCTCAGTGTAAACAGACAACCTACAGAATGGGAGAAAATCACCTGACAAAGGTCTAATATCCAGAATATAACCCCATCAAAAAATGGGCAAAAGACGTGAACAGACACTTCTCAAAAGAAGACATACAAGTGGCCAAAAAACATATGAAAAAAATGCTCTCATCACTAATCATCAGAGAAATGCAAATCAAAACCACAATGGGACACTATCTCACTCCAGTGAGAATGGCCATTATTTAAAAGTCAAAAAATAAGAGATGCTGGAGAGACTGTGGAGAAAAGGGGATACTTATACACTGCTGATGGGAATGTAAATTATTTCAGCCACTGTGGAAAGCAGTTTGGAGATTTCTCAAACAACTTATAACAGAGCTACCATTTGACCCAGCAATCCCAGTACTGGGTATATACTCAAAGGAAAATAAATCATTCTACCACCAAGACACATGCACCTGTATGGTCATCACAGCACTATTCACAATAGCAAAGACGTGGAATCAACCTAGGTGATCATCAGTGGTGGATTGGATAAAGAAAATGTGGTAGGCATTCACCACAGAATGCTATGCAGCCATAAAAAAAGAATGAAATCATGTCCTTTGCAGCAACATGGATGCAGCTAGAGGCTGTTATCCTAAGTGAATTAATGCAGGAACATAAAACCAAATGCCACACATTCTCATTTATAAGTGGGAGCTAAACATCGGGTACTCGTGCGCATAAAGATGGGAACAACAAACAATGGGAACTACAAGAGGGGTCAGGGAAGGAGGGGTCAAGGGTTTAAAAACTAACTATTGTGTACTATGTTCAGTACTTGGATGACAGGGTCATTCGTACCCCAAACCTCAACATCACACACTATACCCAGGCAACAAACCTGCACATGTACCCCCTAAATCTAAAATGAAAGTTGAAAACATAAAATTTCTCAGGAACTACATGTGTGTGTATATATATATACATACATACACACACACATATATACACACACATTGCACATAATGGGCTAGCTTTCTCTTTTGTCTCTCTCTCTATATATACACACACACATATATATACATATATATATACTGCACATAACATTGGGCAAACTACTTGAACAGACACTTTACAAAGAAAGATATAGAAATGGCCAGTGAGCACATAAAAGCATACTCAACATAATTAGTCATCAGGGAGATGATAATTGAAATAACAATGAGATGCCACTTCCCACCCTTTCAAATGGCTAAAAATAAAGGCTGACAACCTCAAATGTTGATGAGGATGGGAAAGAAAAGGAGCTCGCATACATTTCTGGTGGGAATGTAAATTGCACAACCACTTTGGAATACATTCTGGCAGTTTCTTATAAAACATAAAACTATCCTGTGATGTGGCAATTCATCTCTTAGGTATTTGCCCAAGAAAAATGAAAGCATATGTCCACACAAAGATGTGTACATGAATATTCATAGTAGCTTTATTTATAATCGCCCAAACTGGAAACAGCCCAGATCATAACCTGGTGAATGAACAAACCAACTCTGATATATCCAAACAATAGCATACTACTCAGCGATAGCACATTCAACAACATAGATAAATCTTGAAAACATCACGTTGAATGAAAGAATCCAGACACACAATAGTACATACGATCTGATTCCATTCATACAGAATACTGGCTTTCCAGTCTTCGCCCTCAGTTCCCGACCCTTCACTCCCCCCACCACCATCTTGAAGATGCCCAAGGGGGAGAGGTCCCTTCCATTCCTTCGTTCCTTCCTTCGTCTGCTGGTCGATTTGTTCGCTCGTTCATTCATTCATTCGCACGCTCATTCCACTCCTCCCCACCTCCACCCAAGCGTCCAGCCCGCGCGCGCCGCTCCCCCGCAGGCTGATCAGACTTGCCTGCCCAGTCCGCCCCCGCCCAAACCCCGCCCCCTTCCCGCCACGCCCCCTTCCCGGGCCAATCGGGGACGAGACTGGGGCCGGGGCGGGGCCTCGCTCCCTCAGAACCCCCGGCGGCGCTCACGGCTCCGGAAACGCGCCGCGGGGCTGTTAGCTCGGCTGGGCACGGGCGGCTCCGTGGCGCTTCCTGCCACGCCAGGCCTGCCTGGGCCGCGCCAGCGCCGCTCCACCGAGGGCCGCGCGTCGGCCGCCGCCGGGCCTGGGTGAGTGTGCGGGCCGCGGGAGGATGTGCGGGGGGCGCTGGAGGGGCCGCAGGGCGGAGGTGATCGTGGGGGCGGCAGGAGGACGTGTGGACCTGAGTGAGCGTGCAGGGCCGCGAGAGGATGTGCAGGGGGTGCAGGACTGTGTGCGGGGCTGGAGCGAGTGTGCGGGCCGCAGAAGAGTGCACGGTGGAGGGAGGGGGCGTCTCTGGGCAGTTGGAGAGCTGCTCGGCCTTGGGCGGGCCAGAGCAGGGAACGGGTCCCGGATGACGAGTACGAAGAGGCCCGAAGGCCTTCCCGAGGCGGGCGGGGGGCGGCGATCCCGGGTGGGAATCGCTAAAGTGTAGAGGCCTGCTCTGCTCTTTGGGGGACGCTAGGAGATGGGAACCGCTCAGGGGCGGAGAGAAAGGACCCCTGCCCCTAGCTCCTAGGAGCCCGATCTGGAGGGGGCATTGTAGGGGTGGGGGTTAAAGGACTTTTCCCTGGTCTAGGGGAGGGACTGAGCCGCAGTCTGGGAGCTGGGAGGGTGGGCCAGGTGGGAACAGTTCCCGCTGGGGAGTCCCTCCTTTCCTTTTGAGTGGGTGGGAGTGGGGGGGGGCGGTTAAGCCTCAGCTTGGTGGGGAGAATGGGGGCCGGTAGGTAGCCTAGAGAGAGAGCTGTGGAGAGGCAGGGGAAAGGGGGCGGTGAGCCGAGCTCAAGGCCCTCTGTCTGAACCAGTCTTTTTCTGTCGCCCTACTGGGGGCCGCCATCTCCCACTTCAGTGCCCCCGCCCCCTTAAACTCCTTTGCTGGCTCCTCCAGTCTATATTTGGGTGATTAATTATATATCTTTTCCACACACACCCCCCACTCGCCTGCCGCCCAAAGTCCATGGTCCCTTTCAAACAACCCCCTGCCCCCATTCCTGGCCCACTTCCCAGAGGTCCCACCCTGCCACCTTGTTCCAACTGAAGCCCTCCAGCCAGCCTTGACCTAGCTGGGCATGCGGCCCCCTCCAGTCTCCTTAGTCAATGAAACATTTCCTCTTCAACCTCAGCCCGACATTTTTCCTTTACAAGAGAATTTCAGATGGGATTGCTGGAACAGCACCTCCCCTAGGTACTAATGCTGCCTCAGCCCCTCCCCACCCTCACCTTCCCCCAACCCTGCAACATTGGACCTTCAAGTAGAAGCCACTTGCACAGTATCTGGCCCAGTTCAGTACATCCCCACAAAATGTTACTAGGGGGATGTACTGAACTGGGTCAGACACTGAGTTTTATATATAGAACCCTATTGAGCAGTAATTTGCAGCCTTCTGTCTGTGAGGGACCCCTTGGAAATCTACCAGAACTTGTGAATTCTCTTCTAACCATCAGCACAGACTCAGAGATAGTGGGCTCCCATTTCAGCAGGTTCCTGGGCAGGAATCCTGTCAGTAACAGAGATTCTGAGAGTTGGAGAATCTGGGAACCTCCAGATTCTAGACAGGCCCAGTGTTAAGGAGGTGCAGCTCTGCATCATAATCTCCTGGGGTGCTTGTTGAAAAATGCAGACTCCTTGGTCTCTCCCAAACCTGCGAAACTCCCACATGAGTTCTTAGTGAACTCCACACCAACTTTCTCACCCAGTGATCCAGCCCTTACCCAAACCTGCCTGGGCTCCTTGGATGGCCCTGGGCTCTTTGCAATTTGCATAGCATCCCACCCCACCCCCAATTTCGACCTTTGTATCCAGGCGATGTTACCTAAAGGAAGCTATACTTAAAATTTATTTCGATTTTTAGTAAGATGCCATGAATCTTCTTGGAGAAATGGGAACACAAAGCTTTCCTCAATTAAGTACAACAAACACTACAAAATCCCCTTCTGGTCTACCTTCTGGCTTTTTATAGAAAGGAAATAAGATAGAAACCCAAACAGAAAGAGACAGGTGCCCAGGCAAAGTGAGAGGAAACAGATGCCTTCCCACCCACACATACAGAAAAAGGCACACACAGACACAAATACCCCAAGAGAGACAGACTTTCCTGGTGAGACACCCTCTCTTTAGGCCCTTCAGGATTCTGCTACTTCGAGTAGCAGCCTGTTTGCTGCTTTGGGACGGGACGGGATGGGCCCACGTGGGGCCTTCACTTCCGCCTCCTGGCCTGTCAGGTGGAAAGAACATGAAGGCCAGGCTCAGCGTGGCCCAGGGCTTGGCTCAAGGGTTGCATCCTGGCCTGGCTAGGGTGGATCCAGATCGTGGCAGTATATATTCAGTTGAACCCTGTATCTGGCCCAGTTCAGTACATCCCCCAAAATGTGGGGGACATGTTCCTGGGAGGTGCACACAGGTCTGCTTCTGTTCACCTGAATTATTGCAATCCAACAGATGGGGCCTTACCTGCCAGGCTGATCCCTTGGAGTAGTTCTGAGGCATGATGAGTCATCCGTGTGTGTCTCTTTTGGGTAAGTCTGGGTGTTTATGCATGGTGTCTGCTGGCTTTGACGCTGGGCATGCTATCAGAAGACCCTATAGGTGGGGTTACAACATGGTGAGGAGTATCGTTTTGGTTCCGGAAGCACTTATATTTTCATCTGTGCCACTGTTGCTGAACTGTCTTTGCCCAGAGACAGTTCTCTCAATCCAAGCAATACAACTCACAGGAGAAAAGATATTCAGGAAAGAGAATCTGGAGTCTAATCTCCCTTTTGGATGGGAGAGGGAGCTGAAGGCATCCATCTGAATTGGATCTTTTGTGAGTGGAAACCTTTGAAGACACCCGTTGCTCTGGCCTAGAACTGAGCAGAACACAAGCCACCTGTTGTCTTCTGGGTAAACTCAAGCTTTAGGGCCTGAGGACATTCTGCTCCAGGTCTTTATTTAGATGCTTCAGAGAGTCCAGGTGTTTCTGGCACCCCTTGGAAGCTTCTGGAACCTTCCAGAGGAGCCTTATTTGGGTGGTCTTGCTGCCTTTCCCCTGCCCAGGGAAGGACAGCGCACCTGTTAGAGAATGTTGCTTGGCTATTTGTGCGATAAAATCAGTTGAACGCTGGTCTTTAGGCTCAGAAGCTACCGTTAGCCAGTAGCCAAACATCCAGCAGTGAGGCAGGGATGTTCTTAATCCAAAGGCAACCAGAAAACATCTCATTATTACTACATTTTGTGACGTGGGTTGTTTTTTGTCTCTGTTGAGTTCAACTCTTCATTTCTGTTCTTCCACATCAAAGTGGAATGATTATTTTGAGACTCTTAGTGTTTTCTGTTTCCATGCAGTAAATTTGATTTAAATAAGTTGGTTAAAATTTACATTGTGATCTAAAGCACGTTAGCAGGAAGATTTGTTCACTCACATGAGCTTTCATGTTTTAGAAAGCATAATTTTTCAAATTATCAGGCAGTAGGTTGACATTGACATCACTATTTTCCATTTATTCTAGCAGATGTTTGTTAAACAGCTGCAGTGTAATGGTGCTTGCCTAGGTCCAGTGTGCAATTCACAGCTGACCTTGACAGGGCCTTTGCTTTCTGGGAGTTTATAGTCTTTAGACTATCTTCAGATCCCATTGAAAGAAGGAGAGTAATACCACTTACGTTAAGGGTTGGAAATGTGTTTTTCCACAGTATTTCTTTGAGCTTTCATATTTCCCAGTTGTATGTAGGAGTGCACCCTATGAGATTCAGGACATGCTTTTGTGCTGTGAGTGAAAGTGCCTCACTTCAGGGTCAGCATTACCCTGTGTGTCCATTGGGTGTGCATTACAATGATTTTCATGTTCTGTCTGGAATTCCTTCGACCTTGATTCCCCAAGATCCACTGTCAGAAGGCAGTGGACACCTGCGTTTGTCACTTTTGTCACAGCATCCAGCTTCTTTTCCTGATTAGTTCCACCATTTTAAAATAGAAGAGTTGTGCAACATGGACCCTAAATGATCCGATTGTCTCTAGGATTGATGATAATTTTATTTTGAACTGCAGTAGGGATTAATGTGTTATCTTTTTTTAATGATCTTCCTTTGCTTCTCATGCAGCTCTTTTACCTGATATACTTGATTGATTAATTATGCAGAGTTTCGTTTCCTTTTGTGGAAGCAGGGCCCACTTCTTTCCTCCCATTTTTATGAGTACCTTTTAAATGATCTCCGTGTCCAGGGCTCTGTCACTGTGGGTGGTGATCACGCAGCCACTGAGAGCTAAAGTACTCTCAGGCTAAGTCCCCTGCATGAGCTGCTACAGGAAGGGGCACTCCTGTTGCTGCACAGGAAAGGATTATTAACAATTCATTTGGGGGTTGTGGCTCCAGGATTTCAACAGTTAATCATGCCAATTAAGTAAAAACACTTCAGTAGGATTTGCCCGATTAAGTTGAACACTTCAGGAGGATTCACTCAATTAAATGTGGGTGGCTTGGGAGGACTGTGTGTGTGTGTGTGTGTGTGTGTGTGTGTGTGTGTGTGTGTGTGTGTGTGTGTGTAAGAGACAGAGAGAGACGAAGAAAGAGAGAGAGGAATGGCATGTCTCGTTGTGCAGTGAGGGCATGTTAACAGGATGGTTTAAAGGCAGCACCCAAACACCCATATATACCATTAGGCCTAGATGACACTAAGCCTCACCCCCAGTCTGTCTTCTGGCTGTGGCGTGGTGTTATAGGTTGGATATTATTTCACTCTTCTCTGGTGTGGTTTGAAAAGTCTCAAATCTTGGGAGCTAGATATTAAGCAAGTTTACCTCTTGGAGCCCTGGTTTCCTTCTCTGTGAATGGAGGCGGTAATAACCGCAGGATGTGGTAAGTGAATTACAGGAAGGGAGATGCATGTCTCCAAACACGTGTAGTGCATGCTCCAGGGATGGAAGTGTGCTCCATTTAACATGCCCCTCCCCACACACATTGATTCAGTCACCCCGCAATTTATCACGTACCCACTCAGGGCCAGGAGCTGCTGCAGACACTGGGGACTCAGGAGTGACCAAGAATGAGAAAGTGCCCCTGCGCTGTTGGAGCTCCATATCTCCTGGGCACTGTCAGTTAGAAACAAGCAATTTCATTGGATAGTTTTTAGTTAGCAAAAGTGTTCCAAGTAGACTATGACGGGGACTAGAGAGTGAAGGCATTCTAAGGAGGTGACATTAGAGTTGAGGCCTGATGTGGGCCAGGCGCAGTGGCTCACACCTGTAGTCTCAGCATTCGGAGATTGAGGTGGGAAGATGGCTTGAGCCCAGAAGTTCGAGACAGTCTAGGCAGCATAGTGAGACTCCATCTCTACAATTTTTTTTTTAAGTTAAAATATTAGCTGGGCATGGTGGCACGCAGCTGTAGTCCCAGCTACTCAGGAGGCTGAGGCGGGAGGTTCACAAGCTTGGGAGGTTGAGGCTGCAGTGAGCTGTGATGGCACCACTACACTCCAGCCTGGGTGACAGAGTGAGACCCTGTCTCAGAAAAATAAAAATAGAGTTGGGGCCTGAATTCTCAGAAGGAGCCATCCATGAGAAGCCCATGGTATTCTCAGCAGTTTCAGAGGCCTTGAAGGCCACAGTCTTGGCCTATCGAGGATTGAATGAAGGCCAGTGTGTCTGGATGTCACTGCGATGTGGCAGGGCAAGATAAGGAATTGGGGGGCTGGGCCAGGGCATTGTCAGAAGGCTAAGTTCTTAGGTCTCTGGCCTGAGGTCAGCGAGAAGAGGTCTCTAACAGGTCCTCTTTCTCAGAAGGTGTATCCACAATATCCCCCTCTACATTCTGTTTGGCAGCCAAACGTCAATGTCAATTGGAAGTGAATTTTTTTAAATGAATTGTGTAAGTAATTCATGACCAGTTCATTTTGTACTGGAAGCCAAAGTCAAATCAGACATCGAATGTATACCAGAGGAATCCAACGGACCAGCAGGGCCCTGCCCGGGTGACAGTGGGACAGAGAGGGTGTGGCTGCTGAGCACCCGAGGATGAACACGATCTCACACTGGGGAAGCCCCTGTGCCAGACAGCCAGTTAAAGATGGGAATGGGGCTGCCTTGGACTCTGGGGCTAGATGAGGCCTTCTGCCCGCACTTCTTAGGTGCTGATAGCTTGCAGGGAGGAGCCCAGGAAGTCACAACCCCAGGGGCCTGTCTCTAGGCTTTCTGGTCATTTCCCTTCATGGACCGCCCATAGATTCCTGCCAGCCCTTCTCCCCTGCACTTGCCTTGCTGTGTAGGGATCCCAGGAAATGCTGGGTTTTTTACCCAAGCAGAAGGGCTGCTCCCCATTGACTCCTTGGCCTCAGCCCTTGGCTTCTCACATGCTGAGCAGCTTTCTTACTCAAAGTCTTTTAAAAGCAAAATATTTTACAATTGTTATGCTTTTCTGATACCAAGAAAATTCAGCTTGGTTACTAAAAATTCTCACATTACAGAAAAAGAAAGCAGATCTTTCTAGACCTTGACTCTCCCCAACTCCAACCCCATGTGGTCACATACACATTAGAGATGTGCTTATTCTAGCTACAAGTCACTCTCACTTTTTTCCTTTTTTCTCCTAAAATGCAAATATATACTTAGCCATCTCCTCCCCTCCCCTTCCCTTACCCTCTTTAGGTTTTCAAGGGAGAAGTAACTATGTCTGCCTGTATCATCTACGAAGGATTCACATTTTTGTCATCTGCAGCACATCATCCTACGTTGGCACCTGTTGGTTTTATATTGAAACCCTCCAGTTTTCTTCCTGCTGAGTTCTAGGACTCTGGTAGTGTCTCCAGAGCTCTTAGCCACATCTGTCATTCATTCTTTCCCCCACTTTTTTATGACATTGGGATTTTTTAGACTCTTTCTGTTGGTTCTAGTATCATGTTTTCCATTCTCCATCTGTTTACTTTTAACTTATCTGTGTCTTTATATTTAAAGTTTCTTGTAGACAGTATGTCTTGTTTTTATTACAGCCTGACAATCTCTGCCTTTTGATCGAAGTGTTTAGTCCATTTACACTTACCTTAACTATCCACGTGGTTGGGTTTAAGTTTACCATCTTGCTATTTGTTTTTATTTGCCTCTTCCATTCTTTTTTCCCCTCTTTTTCTTTACCTTTCTTCTTTCAGATTATTTTTAGTACATATTTGATCTCTGCTGTTGGCTTATTAGCATGTATCAGAGTCTTGGAGGACTTGTCAGAACACACAATCATATGTTTTACTTCTGATGTTATAAACCCCACACTACCTTTTTATTACTTTTGCTTTAAATGATTAATTGTTTTTTAAAAGATTTAAAAGTGAGGTGGGTAAAAGCATTGTATATTTCCCCACATATTTACATTCCTGGTGTTCTTCATGCCTTTGTGTAGATCCATCTTTCCACCTACTATCATTTTCCTTCAACCCGAAAGATTTCCTTTAGTATTTCCTATAATAGAGATCTGCTGGTGATGAATTCTCTTAGCTTTTGTCTGAAAACAAACTTTATTTTGCCTTCATTTTGGAAGGAAATTTTCCTTGAATATAGAATTCTAAGTTGACAGTTTTGTTTTTCTTTTAGCACTTTAAAAATGTCATGCACTGGTTTTCTGACTTGCACATTCTCTGATAAGAAGTTAGTAATTACTCTTTGCTCCTCTCCACGCAGCAACATCATTTCTTTCCTCTGGCTATTTGAAGACTTTCTCTTTATCACTGGTTTTACAGCAGTCTGATTATTATGGGTCTTTTAAAGTCTTGCTAGGGGTTGATTGACTTTCTTGGACGTGTGAGCTTACAGTTTTCATCAAATTTGGAAAACTGTCCTGCCATTATTTCTTCAACTGTATTTTTCATCCCTCCCCCCACTTTTCCTCACCTTCTCAGGTTCCAGTTATGTAGGTGTTAGACCACTTTCTCTTACCCCAGGTCATTAAGATGCTGTTTGTTTTTAAAAACTCTTTTTCTCTCTGAGCTTCATTTGAGATCATTTCTATTGCTATGTCATCAAGTTCTCTAATTTTTTTGTGTGGTATCTAATCTGCTGTTAATCACATCTAGTAAAATTTTCACTTTAAATATCATAGTTCCCACCTCCAGAAGTTCCATTTGGTTCTTTTTATATCTTCTATTTCTCTCACTATATTCCTGTTTTTCTTTTAATGCTTGTACATCATTAAACTCGCTGTTATCCTTGTCTGTGAGTCATCACTGGTCATTTCTGTGTGTTTTTATTAACTGATTATTCTCCTTGTCCTGGCCACATTTCTGTGCTTTTTGGCGTTTCAGTAACTTCTGATTGGATGTTGGGTATTATAAAGATTATATTATTGAGTGTCTGGATTTGGGGTGGTAGTTACTTGTGGATCAGTATGATCCCTTTGAGGCCTATTTTTAAGCTTTCTTTGAGACAGGTCTTTTGTAGCTTTGGCTCTAGGAATAGATCAGCCCTACTACTAAGGCCTCTGGATTCTCTGCTGCATGTCCCAGGTGATCACAGAGGACTCTCTATACTGGTTGATCAGACCTTGAATGTCTCCCTACCTTTGTGTGTCCTGAGAATTGTTCAGCTTACAGCTTCCTGGTCACCCTTTTCCTGGGCTTTTGGAGTTTCACTCTATGCATGCATGGGCCTAGTAGTCAGGAAAGACTCAAGGGGAGGCTTATACAGATTTTTTGAAGCTCTTTTTACTGCATAACTAACTCCTTTCTGGAACTCTGCTCTGCAACTTCCAGCTGCCTCAGCTGCTCTGAATGCTGGCCTGTGTCTCCTCAACTTGGCGAAGCCACTAAGCTCTATTTGGTTCTCGCCCACCCCAACACACAGTCTCGATCTGGAAATTGCCTCCAGGCAGAGAGCTGGGGCAATGATAGGGCTCCCGTCATCTGTTTCTCTTCTCTTGGGGATCATGATTCTGTGCTTCCTGCTGTCCAGTGTCTGAAAACTTGTTTCACATATATTTTCTCCATTTTTTTCTACTTATTTATGGCACGATGTGAAATCTGTTCCTTGTTACTCCATCGCAGCCAAACGTGGAAGTTTCTGTCCATTCTTTTTCACATAACATCTTTAATTTTATATAAGAGTCTTTCTGGAGTAGCTGGATTTTGTGGGCCTTGAGCCAGTGTAAGAGCCTTCCTTTTCACTGAATTATGAGTTGAATTGAATTGAATTGTCATCACAACAGGAACTGTGTAGCTGTTTCTTAGAATTCACTGAAGTGGGAGGCCTGTGATGCACGGATGCCGGTGGTTGAATCTTTCACATATTTTGCAATTTGGAAGAAGAAGATAATTTGTACAAATCATTCAGCTCTTTTATTTAACAATTTAGTGTTTGAAGATCTTTTCTTTGAGGCTTATTTTTCCAGCTGTTTTGTTCCACTTTTCATTTGGGTTGAACACGTTAGAGAACTGCTGTCATGTGTACCTGTCTTGCTGTCACCGGGCTCCTTGTGTCAGTGGGCTGTGGCTTTTAAGGGCCTCACTGCTGGTCTAGAAGCCCCCATTCCTGCTCTCTTCCCTCCAGCATCTTCATCCGGTTTTTTGTTGCCTCTACAAAGTTGGAAAGGGTCTCTCATTTCCTGGTTATTTCTTCTGATGATCTTGGTGTGCCTCCTTCCTGTGCAGCATCAGCATGGACTTCTAGGCTTGCCAGTCTCCCTGCCCTTGGCTTTCTGTCTAGGTCTGTCTTCTCCTAGCTGTGCCTGGGCTGGCATCTGCTGGTCTTGTCTTGGCTCCCTCTGGCCTGCCTCTGTTCATTCTTTGCCAGGCTACTTTCCCCATTGTTCAAGATGTGTTTTCTCAGGCATCTCCGTGCCCTGGCTTGTCATTCAGCCAGCATGTGAGAGAAGACTCAACAAGATCAGAAACCAAGGAAGAAGAAATCACCAGTCTCTTCCCAGGGGATCCAGGGACAGGGCTGTCGTCACTCATGGCCTTTTTCACTTTCTTTAGTTCCACCTACTCCCCAAGGTCTTACCCTCCCCAGGATGGAGCCCCAGGAAACCAGGTCCTGGCAGTCCCTCTTGAGATGCCAGAGGCCTAGGTGAGCTGTGCTTCCCTCTGCCTTGCTTGGGATTCTCTCACCGCTCCCTGAATCTGGCCTCAGCCTCTGTCTCTTGCCCCAGCATGACACACGGCAGAGTATGAACCCCAGCTGCTGCCTTCCTACCCTCCCTCTGCTTCTCTTCTGGAGGCTGCCAAGGATTGGATGTCCACTGGGCTTGGAGTTCCAATCATCCAGGTGGGGAAGCTGAGTTTCCATCCAGGAAAGTGATTGAATGGAGGTCCCTTGGAAAGACGAGAGGCCAGGTCCATGGCCCAGGGATCCTAGTGCTTGATCAGGTTCTCTTTTCAGGACTTCTTGGAGCTGTGGTTAGGCCTCCATGTTAGCAACAGACACCCACTCCAGACCCTCACCTCTTGACCCTGGCATTACTGGCGCTGCCCCTGCCTCATTCTAAAATAGATGGAAAGACTGATGAGCCCTGGGAATTCTTTCAGGATTTGGTGACATTTGATGATGTGGCATGGTACCTCACCACAAGGGAGTGGTTTAAGCTGGACCCTGAACAGAGGGCACTGGAATATTATGGGAACGTGACCTCTGTGGGTAAGGATGTCCCAGCCCTTCCTCAAATTCACCACCTTCTTGGAGTGGGGCAGGGGACACATGGCTACCCCCACAGAAGCTCACCTTCTCCCTGGGTTGTGGGGAAACACAATGGGTCTGCCACACCTGATATGTCAGAGTAGTATGAGCTCCCCCAACTCCTCTTGGCATGGAAAGAACCCCTCTCAGTCTTTTACTGGGAAAGAAATTAGAACACTGCCACTGTAATGTAGAATGCCCTTTTCATTTTAATGCACAAATTATGCAAATTGCATGGCCATTTGGTTTGAGTTTATTTGTGAGAAAGGTTGACGTGATCAAGATCTTGTTCACCCATTAGGGGTCTGCATGTGTGCAGTGGGGAGGAGGTTTTAGGAGGAGAGACGTTGGGAGTCAGATTTGGGAGCTGTCGAAGTCCACGTGTCTGGGAAGAGCATGAAGTTAAATGTGTGAGCTCTGAGTGGGTGGACAGAGAGAAGACAGGGTGAAGATCACCTCCTCAGGGTGGCCACTTGATACTCCACAGAGCCTCCCCAAGGTGGGCCCAGAGGCTGCCTTCCTCAAGCTCCTGGAAGGAGCCTGACCTTGGGAAACACCTTTGAACTGAATGAATGACTTGCCTAAAGCCTGGTCTTTGAAGATTGAAGGGGGTTCCCCTTCAAAGGCCTTGCCTATGTTCCTCCACTATTCTCATGTCATCTCTGGCTGTTGCCATAACCAATCTCCTTTCCCATGAGCAGGCGTTCCTGTTTTAAATCCTGCCTTGGTCCCTCACCTGGCACAAGGACAAGTGCTACTGGTGTCAGACCCATCGCCCAACACTGATCCTGCTAAGTACTCTGGTGAGTGAAAAAGAAATGTGAGGAAATTGGGGGAGACCCAACCAAGCTGCTATGGGGCATGGGTTAGGGTTGGAGAGCCCAGCTGAGCTGTTAGGCTTCAGGTTAGGGTTGGGGGTCCCAGCTGAGCTCTTGGAGTTGAGGTTAGGGTTTGGGGGCCCTGCTGAGCTCTTGGGCTTGAGGTTAGGGTTGAGAGAAACAGCTGATCTCTCAGGGGTTTGGGTTAGGGTTGGGGGCCCAGCTGAGCTCTTGGGGTTGAGGTTAGGGTTGAGAGGATCAGCTGGCCTCTTGGAGGTTTTGAGTTAGAGTTGGGGGGTTCCAGCTGAGCTCTTGGGTTCGGGTTAGGGTTGAGGGACCCAGCTGAGCTCTTGGGGTTGAGGTTAGGGTTAGGGGGTCCAGCTGAACTTCTGAGGTTGAGGTTACGAGTAGAGGGGCCCATTTGGGCTCCTGGGGTTGAGGTTAGGATTGAGAGGATCAGCTGGGCTCTCTGGGCATTCAGGTTAAAGTTAGGACCCCAGCTGAGCTCTTGGGGTTGAGGTTAAGTTTGGGAGCCCTGCTGAGTTCTTGGGGTTGAAGTTAGGGTTGGGGGGCCCAGCTGAGCTCTTGGAGTTGAAGTTAAGGTTGGGAGGGCTCAGCTGAGCTTTTGGGGTTCTAGTTAGTGTTTGGGGCCCCAGCTGAGCTCTTGACGGTGAGGTTAGGGTTGAGAGGATCAGCAGGGCCCTTTGGAGATTCGGGTTATGTTTGGAGATCCCAGCTGAGCTCTTGGAGTTACAGTTAGGGTTGGGGGTCCCAGCTGAGCTTTTGGAGTTCTAGTTAGGGTTTGGGGCCCCAGCTGAGCTCTTGATGGTGAGGTTAGGTTGAGGATCAGCAGGGCCCTTTGGAGATTCAAGTTATGTTTGGGGATCCCAGCTGAGCTCTTGGGGTTGAGGTTAGGGTTGGGGGACCCAGCTGAGCCTTTGGGGACGTGTGTGGCTGCTCTCTGGTCACAGAAGGGGTGACCTCCTCAGCACCACTGTGGTAGAGAGTGTCCAGAATGAGGTCCCTCTGCCCCTGGCTTCTGCAGTCCTTGCTTCTGGTGGCTTCCGGGCCCAGGCCCCGTGCTCAGTGGCTGTCTCAGAAAGAAAAAGATTCTTGACAAAGGAGAGGCCCTTCCCTCCTTCATCCTCTGCAGACTACACTGCCTTGTGTTTATCGTTTCAGAAAGCACCTCCGCGACCCGACACCAGATGAAGGGGGAAGATGCCCAGCCACAGGAGATGGCGTCCACAAGCTTCCCAAGGGCCAGTGGTCCCAGTCCTGAATTCAGACAGCACGGGGACTCTGACGGGAAGAGAGGGAGCCCACAGAATCTGCCCATAGAACATCATTTTGCTTGTAAAGAGTGTGGGGACACCTTTCGGCTTAAAGTCCTGCTTGTCCAGCACCAGAGAGTCCACAGTGAGGAGAAGGGCTGGGAATGTGGCGACTGCGGGAAGGTCTTTAGGGGGGTGGCGGAGTTTAATGAGCACAGGAAAAGCCACGTAGCTGCGGAGCCCCAGCCCGGCCCCAGTAGGGCCCTGGAGAATGCCGCGGAGAAGAGGGAGCAGATGGAGAGGGAGGCAAAGCCCTTCGAGTGCGAGGAGTGCGGAAAACGGTTTAAGAAGAATGCAGGCCTGAGTCAGCATCTGAGGGTCCACAGCAGAGAGAAGCCCTTTGATTGCGAGGAATGCGGGCGGTCGTTCAAAGTCAACACCCACCTCTTCCGACATCAGAAACTTCACACTTCGGAAAAGCCTTTCGCCTGCAAGGCGTGCAGCAGGGATTTCCTGGATCGCCAGGAGCTTCTCAAGCACCAGCGCATGCACACTGGCCACCTGCCCTTCGACTGCGACGACTGCGGCAAGTCCTTCCGAGGGGTCAACGGGCTGGCCGAGCACCAGCGCATCCACAGTGGGGCCAAGCCATACGGGTGTCCCCACTGCGGCAAGCTCTTCCGAAGGAGCTCGGAGCTCACCAAGCACCGGCGGATCCACACGGGCGAGAAGCCCTACGCCTGCGGCCAGTGCGGCAAGGCCTTCCGCCAGAGCTCCAGCCTCCTGGAGCACGCACGCATCCACAGTGGCGAGCGGCCCTACGCATGCGGCGAGTGTGGCAAGGCCTTCCGTGGGCCCTCTGACCTCATCAAGCACCGGCGCATCCACAGCGGACTGAAACCCTATGAGTGCGACAAATGCGGCAAGGCCTTCCGCCGGAGCTCCGGCCTCAGTCGCCACCGGCGGATCCACAGTGGGGCGCGGCGCTGCGAATGCAGCCAGTGTGGCCGCGTGTTCAAGAGGCGCTCGGCACTGCAGAAGCATCAGCCAACCCACCACGAGTAGAAACGCCCTGTGGTCCCGCGGGACAGGGACGGAGTCCCCAGAGGGGATGGCAGAGTCAAAGGAGATGAACAGTTTTGTAGCGCTTATATATTTTGTCTTCCAAAAGGTTGAGACCGATTTATACTGCCACCAGCAATTTATAAGTGTTACGTTATGCCCATCAAGAGTAGCTTGTACCATTTAACTTAGTTTGGCTAGTTTAACTGGTAGGAAGTACCATCAAGGTATTTCAGTCCACATGCCTTGAATCCAAGAATGAGAGAGGACAAATCTGGATGTGGGGTAGGGAGGGGCTTAGAGGTCATCAACTCCAAGCTCCCCCCGCCCCAGAGAAACACACAGAGCTGTTCCACGATGGCGTCCTCATAATGTGATCCCAGCTTTCCTGAAGAGAACGTTGCCCTCATGATTTTTGGCCTACTTGAATTTATAAATTTTTAGGGATGTAAATAGAACACTCAAATGTCTTAAAATATTTAATTTATTAATTTAGTTATACATACATACTGTAAATCACATATTATATAAAATAATATATTAATTTAGAAAATACCCCATTTTTGCCACCCTCCCTTTCACGAAATCATTTTACTCTGACTCCTCACCGTCTTCACCAACATGGGAACCCTGTTTGAGTCATCAGACAGTTTCAAGACACACCCAGTCACTTCCATCCGAGCTCTGCACGGTCGCTCAGTGACGATCCCTTCATGAGGCTCTCATTAGAAATTTTCTCCCAAGCCATAAGACCATATTTGCAGAACATTAGGACGATTTCTCTTGTCGTTTTTTAATCTGTCCTGTGACTGTACAATATAACCACTTAAGGTCATACTTTTTCAAACAACCTTTAAACGTCTTTTCTTTTAAAGCACCCAAAATGTCATTGTGAGGCCAAACGCCTAGTAACAGTTACTGAATCTGGGTTAAATGTCGGTATCTTTTTTTCTTAAACCATTTCAATTTGGTGTCCCCTATACATATCCAAAACTAGCATCGATTGGGGTTGTTTTGAACTAATGGGTCTTGTCCTCAAGCAGCACTATTTTGTTCAAAATAAAATAGTTGAGAGCATGCCCCTAAGAAGAGATACATCTCAAGGACTCAAGTGCAGGGTGACGCCTCCTTTTGGAAATGAGCCTCTCCTGGTATCAGGCCTAGATGGTACTTCTCCAGCCTTCCGTTTCTTGTTCTATAAAACAGGGGTGATCACAGCACCTACCTCCGAAGGTTATCACGAGGACTGCCATCGTGGCTGCAGAGTGCCAGGACCACCGGCCTGGTATGGAGGTACACACTCAGTGAAGGCCATCTGCTGTCATTGTCATTGTCATAGTTATTGCCGTCATTCTGTGGCTTGTCAATTCCAGAACTGGGGATAGACCCCAGGCCTCCTGACCACCAGTCTCATCTTTCTCTTATGCGATGACTTAAATGGTGTTTCTGTTTTTTGCATGCAAATGGTCCGTTCATCTCCTTTGACTAGTTATCAACTTACCTTCGGATATATTAACTTTATGTAGCAGTTCTTTCTATATTGATGGTGATGTTCTCTTTTCCAATTTTATTGCTTTGCTTTTTGTAGCAGTTTTATTACGTTTTTGTTGTGAAAGCTTTTAATTTTTACATATCCAAGCATTCATTTTTTGTCCACTCAGTCATAACTTTCATTGCTTCTGTAGCTAGATATGATGACATTTTCTCTAGAATTTTAATTACAAACAAAAAGCTGCAACCCCAGCCCATCAGAAGGTGAGTACACCAGGTGGGCAGGCTGGATGGAAATGGGCCAGAGAAGCAGGCTCTTTCCTCATCCGAGATGCGGACTCCCTGTCTATCTGTGGGCACCACTTGACTATCCAACCTGACCACTGCGGCACACTGGAGATGCTCCCATCATAGATTAGCCAGAACTCTGTGACTGCTCATCATTATAGACCCCGCCAGCAGCAGTGGGGCTTGGCCTCACCTAGATCAATGGAGTGGTCCAAACTTGGTCTGGGAGCAAGCAGCCCAGCCATCCTTTGAGCTCCTGGGAGCCTTGGCAATGCTCCGAGTGGATTCAGTGACTGAGCAGCAGATTCACCCAAGAAACATCTCCTTGGACACAAGAAGACTTGCCTAGACCACATCCTCCTTTCAGCCGGTGACTCTAGAACTAGAAAGAGATTGGTTCATAGGCTTCTGCTGTGGGCAGCTAGGGGAAAATTCACCCATGTGTTCTGGCATCACTTCCTATAGCCACACCTAAGTGAGGGCAACAGAGCAGAGGCTCGGAGAGGAACCCTGCCCCTCCGATGGCTTGTGCGTTATGCTGATAGAAGCTGGCAGCACTGCCCTGGGCTATGATTTGCAACAGCCATGCCCAGGAGGAGCACTAAAGCAAAGGTTTGGAGGGCAGTGGAACCCTTCTGAAAGCCTGTGTGGCATAGAAGTAGAAGCTGGTCCTCCTGGGTCTGAGCTACCATTTCCAGTGGGCTCCCCCAAGAGGAACAGCAGCAAGGGCTAGCGAGGAACCTGCCCCTCCAGTGGCCCACAGAAGCCACAGATAGAAGCCAGCCCCACCAGGGCTGTGCTGTGACTTCCCAGCAGCTGTGGCTGGGGACAGGGACACTAGGAGGGCCTGGCAAGGAAGTGTGCCCTTCTCGTGGGCCCACCAAGGCTGAGGCAGAGCTTCCTAGCAGACACAACTTGGAAGGGCTTCTCAGGCACCCATCCTGACCCCCAGGCTGGAGAGGAGCCAAAAGCACTTGTTACATAGTGATTCCTTTTGCCCTGTGGGCCTCAGTTCTTGCAGTAGTTGTGAATCTGTGTCTGAAATCACTACTTTCTTCTCGGATCCTTTTTCTCTTTTCGAGTTGTTAGGATGTGTTTTGTACAGCTGTCATTTGATAAAGAAGGTTGACCTCTACCAGGGGCAAGTCTGGCACCTTTACCTAGAAGTACTCTGCCATGTCTTGCCCGTTCATTTATCGTTTGTTGGGTTTCATGAGGGATCCCATTGAAGTAGATCCCTTTTATGAAGGGATCCCATTGAATGCAGCATTAACTCAGAACGTAGCATAAAGTCGTCACTGCTCCCAGCTGGGACGTGGTGTCTTGGCATCCCTTCCTGCCGTCCTTGACTCTTTCCCATCTTCAGTTCTATAATTTTCTCCCAAACAAATGCTCTTTTAGAGTTAACACTAAAGATCTGGTCTTTGCCGTCAAGGTTGACAGAACAGCTGTTCATGGTGTTTGCGGTGAAACCCGTGTTCTCTTTCAATGCAGTCTGTGGCTTTAACGTGTGTCCTGTAATTTCGCCAAGATCATTTCTTGCCTCTGGTAACTTGGGGGTGGATTTCCTTGGGCTCTCTAGGTGTACTGCTATGTCAGATGCAAAATGTCACCCAGCTTCCTGTCACATATCCTTGTCTGTGCATTCATGCATCTACCTCATTCCGGTTTTCTTTCTAATCTCATGTATTCCTGTTGTGAGGAAATGTGTTCTTTTCCCGATCCTTTTGTAGTTCATACACATGACAATTGGGTTTCCACGCACGTGCATGAGATGTTCCTCCTTCAAACCTTGTTACTATGTCAGCACATTAACTGCCTGGCATGGAAAAAGAAAAAAAAAAAAGAAATATGTTCTTTTCCTACCATTTGAAAAAAATCCTCCATTGCTTTTATTAGAGTTTTGAATACTTGTGAAAATTTTCAAAAGAAAGTAATTGATTACCATTTTTGCTGCTTATTACGATGAGCTGTGTCCATTAGCTGTGTCACCCCACTCTTGCATTTCCAGAATAGTCCCTACCCAATTGCAGCGGGCATGTTTTTGAGTGGTGTTGCATTCCATGTGCTTGATTTTGTCCTAGAACTGGCACAGCGCCTGCCCTACCTGCAGCCCTGGGTTGTGGCCCTGTTGCGTACCATGTGATTTGCCACCCCGCTTCTAGGCCATATTAATTCAGCCAGAACTGAACACCTGACCCAAGGGCAGCAAGCAATCATCAGAGCATAGAGCTGACAGAACATGATGGACCACGGACACCACCAGGCCTTCCAGATCTGAAATGCAAACAAGGAAACAGAAGCTTCTAGGCATCAGAAGGTGTGGGGAGCAGCACAGTACTCAGAGGAGTGAGGAGCGTGGCGCCTGCTGGGAGGAAGGCCTGGCCATGGTATGTTCTTGGATTTCTGGCAGCAGCCCTCATTGGTCCACGTGCGTCCCCACTACAGACTCCTTGACTTGAGCCAGCTTGAGTGGGTCTCTACTCTTTTCTATTGTGTTTTGCCACTTGGCTGCTTCCTGGCCAAGTCGCACCTGACTGCATGAACACCTGTTCAAACGTGTGTTCTCTGTTCTCTAAGATGGGTGAAAGTCGATGCCTTCTAGTCTCAGTGAATTTAACCTGTGATTTTATGTCTACGTATATTGTTCCTTTACTGAACCCACCACATGCGGGCCATAAAATGAGTGAAATCACAGTGCACCCTGTTCTCTTATTTTTGAAGTGTTTCACGATTTCCAGCATGTCCATCAGATGGGGGGATTGCTAACTTCTCTCTTACTCATGTACTTACATTCTGTAGTTCTCATTGCATCACTTTGGATGTTTACTTTGAAAAGCAGAAACTGTCTCTTTAAACTTGGCCCTCAATGTCATTTGCGTATCTCTGAGAACAATAGCTATGTCCCACCCCAGTTTGTATTTCCGTTGGTTGTTGGCACTTTTTTCTCATTCCCCCATCTCATTACCTTGTCTGTTTTCTGGCACTCACTATAATCAGCCTTGCACTAGAGCTGTTTGTGGACTTGGCTTCACCCCCTCCTCCTCAGCCCTCCCCCACCCATTAAATTGTGAGCTCTTAGAAGACAGGGGTGGCCTTTCATGTCTGATCCCCTACCAAATCTAGCACAGTGCCTTGCATCAAGTAGATTTCAATAAATATATGTTAAATGGCATTGGTCTTCCTTGACGTCTTTTGTCAAACCTTCATTTACCACTTTCCTTGCTCCTTTCTCCATGCCATGGGGTTCTATACTTGTCCTTGCACTTGGAAACTGCCCCCTCCTGGGGTCCAGGTGCTGTTGTGGCCCCTGCTGGGAATGTTATTCCAGTGCTTGCTGGGCACTTGGAGGGAAGAGGAAGCACCCTGATGGGGAGGCTGGTTTGCCTGGAACTCTGAGCTCTCCCTTGGCAGAAAGGGGTCTTTCACTCAGCCTCCCCTCACCGCAGCTAGGGCTCCCCAAATCGGAATTCCAGGTGGGAGCAGAAGACAAGGCCAGATCCTCAGCTCCTCCCTCAGGGACTGGGAATGGGATAACATGGCTTTGGGACTTGAGAATCATCCCTAGGCTGCATAGGGGTGGGAGCAGGAGTTCGGTCCTCTTGGTGGCCTGTGGCTGGCCCTCTGCCTGGTGACCACTGCCTCAGAGAAGTCAGGGGCAGGAGCAGGCCCCAGTTTCCTGGCCCTTCTAAATGCCAACGGCTCAGCCGTGGAGCCAGCAGCCCAACTGCAGAAGGACATCCCATCCCTCCGGCTCCGGGATGCACATCCCGATGGGAGCCAACAGGAGGAGACAACATGACTCTCTCCACTGCCCCAGTCTCCCTGGCTTCTGGCAGGGGCCCATGCTCATCACAGCTGTCGATTCTCCTACCCCAGGTGCAGCTCTGGGTGGGTGGAGCGATACCACCCCCCTTGACGGTTGCTTCCTACTTAGCAAGGCAGCCACCTCCCGGTGCGTCCACCCCCAGCCAATGCCTGCCCCGGCCTGGCCCAGCCCTTGCCGCTTGCAAGTCACTTAGTTGCTGGAAAAGCATCATTATGTGCTTGTTACTGAGAATTCTACCTGTTTGTTTTTTCTTAAAACGTGTGCAAGCTGTTCTGGCAAGTCTCAGATGTGCATGGGTCCATTTGGACAGCTGACACTGCACCCAAGGCAGGAGGGGACAGCATGGGGTTTTCTCTGGGAATCCTATGAGCCCCTAGTAGAGGATTGAGAATATTCTCTCCTGCCCCTCTCCTAGTTCCCCTGCCTGCCTGAGCACTGTAGCTCTTCCAACACCACCCTCTATAGAACAAACGAGAAGGCATCTGAGGAAACGGGATGTGCCTTTTGGCTCTCCTCCCTGGTGGAACATTAAAAAATCCAAGATTAGTGGAAAGATCACATGCTACACCCTAGAAGTCTCTTGCTGGCCTGAGATTCACAGTCCCAAACCCCTAATCTCTGGGCCAGTGTCTGCAGCCCTGATTCCTCTAGCCCAAATTCCCCATCACAGCCCTCCGCCCCAGCCTACCTCTCATTACAGGAAGGACAGGCCAACAGGTAGAAATGGGGGCTTCTGCTTCCATGCCCACTGCATTTTAGCTTCTCCTCCCCAATACTCTCCCAGCTTATTTTCCTGAAGCTTCCAGAGCTGTGTCTTTGTCCACCCTCACTAGTCTCCAGTAGATGTGATGCACCTTCTCGGCTAAAATGCATTTCATTCAAAAGCTCACTGCATAATAAAAACATGGCCTGAAATCTTTTTCGGGCAAGATGTGTCAGAAAAACTCTCTGCTCTGTCATCCCTTTTCTGACCTTTATTCAACAAGTATTTATTGAGCACCTGCTCTGTGCTGGGCCCCAGAGATGTAAAAGCAAGTGACAAGGTCCCTGCCCTCAAGGACAGAGTGCCAGAGAGAAACAGACATGCAGCCAAAATGTCACCACAAGTGGGGCCTATGTAAATGTTCACCAAGCTGTGCTCCTGGGTAGGATTTGTGCACTTGAGTGGAGGCAGGTTACACAACAACTACCAAGCCAAATGCATACAACATTAGTGGATAAATCCCCCCACTCCCTCCTCAGATGCTATGGGGTTTTATTAATACATTCCTCTCTGGCACCTCTCCATCCCTGCCCCAGCCCCGTTCCATCAGCCTCACTGGCATCCCTGTCTCTTTGCCTTGCCTTGCCTTTCTGGACCCAATCCATGTTCCTCTCTGCACCTGTCGACCTCTGGGGGAGGAAGGCAGCTCCAAAGGGGTGGTCCTCACCCGAGCCCAGCAGGCCCCACCGTGCTACAGAGAGTTCTTTACTGTAAGGTCGGCCTGTCACCTCAGCACTTTCAGAGGTGGGTGGGGCCAGCACCTCAGGGTGCTGTGAGCTGGCTGGGCTACGTCACTCCTGGGATACTGTGCTGCTGGTTCTCTGTCCATCCCAGTCCTCTGCCCCATCTCCTCCAACAAGCCAGCTTACCCCACAAGTTTAAGTCTGTTCATCCCTTTCTTCCCTATCGCAAATTCTGCAGTCCTGAGGTGTTTCCTCTGGGCCTCTACAGTCCAAGGGCTTCTGGCACCACCACCCCTTATTGAGCTGTTTGTCATTGGTGTCTACAGGTGTCTCCCTTCCCCCACAGAAGTCTCCTTCACCTTTGAACACCCACCTGCTGGATGCCACAGGGGCCCAGACAGAGAGGGCCCTAACCACACCCTGCCCCCAACCGGGAAGAGGCCCCTCCCTCCTCCCTGGGCTCCCTGTGCTGCCAGACCCTGACCCCACAGCCTGGGAGGGGCTGCAACCCCAGACATGGAGCCCCCTAGGTAAGGTGGGGCAGATCTCCCTGGACCCCACCAGACACTGGGGCCCTGGATGAAGATGTCTTTGGAATTCATGAGAGGAATCAGCTCTCCCACCCAGGGCCATGTCCTTGGGGATGGGACAAGTGGGACAGAATGTAGCCTAAGCCTGGGCCTCCCCTCACCTCCTGCACCCCCAGATGGAAGTGGTGGAGATGATGGATCAGATCGTCCACGGGTGTGGGAGGACTCATCAGGACTGGGCCAGCCCCAGCTCCAGGGGGCCCCAGCCACAGAGCCCATGGCATTGTCCATGATGCTGCTGAACCTGGCAGAGCAGCTCAGGGAGGCAGACAAGGAACTGGCAGGCAAATACACAGAGCTGGGGAACTGGTGCACTTGGAGGATTCTGCAGCTCATGCAGGTTGGAGGGGCCTGGGGACCTGGGCAGCAAGGGGCCCTCCACTCCCCAACTCCCCAGGGTGTCCTCGGGCTTTACACACCTGAAGAGAGAGACATGGGGAGGTCCCCACCTGAGGAAGGTGGAGGGCTCAAGGGCTGGAGGGAGGGTGCGGAGCCCTAGGCAAGGCCTGACAGCAGGAGACCCTCCAGATCAAAGTCCCTCCCAGGCCTCTGGGTGGCCACTGCACAAAGGTGCTGACCTCCTGGTTGGAGGTAGCAGGTGAGTGGCAGGTGCCTGGAGAATGGGGATGGATGAGGCCTCCACCATGGCTCAGAAGGTCCCCAAGGTCAGGAGCTGCCAAATAGGAGGGGCCAAATGGTGGAGGTTGGGGGTGTTGCCCCTGAACCTCAAGAAGCCTCAGGGCACCAAGCCCACTTTGGAAGGGCAACAAATGCCAATGACCAAGGCCAAAGCCCAAATTTCACCATCGGGGAATGAACTTCCAAGATTCAGTAATAATTCTGAAATTTATCTCTGGTATGGTTTGGCTGTGTCCCCACCCAAATCTCGTCTTGAATTCCCACATGTTGTGGGAAGGACCCAGTGAGAGGTTCAATTCAATTACCATGGGGGCAGGTCTTTCCCATGCTGTTCTCAGGATAGTGAATAAGTCTCACAAGATCCGATGGTTTTTAAAAGGGGCGTTTCCCTGCACAAGCTCTCTTCTCTTGTTTGCTGCCATGTGAGATGTGCCTTTCACATTCCACCACGATTGTGAGGCCTCCCCAGCCACGTGGAACTGTAAGTCCATTAAACCTCCTTCTTTTGTAAATTGCCCGGTCTCGGGAATGTCTTTATTGGCAGCATGAAAACAGACTAAAACTAAGTTGGTGCCAGTAGAGTGGGGTACTGCTGAAAAGATACCCGAAAATGTGTGTGGAGGAAAAGTTAAATATTAAATTTGAACTCAATTGAACATGGACACAAACAATGGTCACCAAGTCCCGGAACAGGTTGTGTGAGCCCCTTGAGACATTCATCCACTGCTGTGTCAGAGAAATCTCCATTTCAATCTGTTCCTATACATTGAAAAACAATAGACAATCGCAAAAACAAGTTGACCTTTTTGTGTTCCTTGAGCCCAGTCGTGAAGGGCCCTCGTGACTGGGCCTCATGCCAAACAACTCGTTACAAAAAGAGCTAGGGTCCCAGACTGCACCAAAGCTTCATGAGACCTCTCTTTGTCTGTGCACAGATGAGTGGCCAACTCTGGAGCCCAGGATGTTGCTTCCCAGTCTGGTGGTGAATCCTCCACAATCTGGTGAGTGTAAATATATATATTCCCTTCTCCCCTTCCCATTGCAATTTGCTTATTGTATCAATCTGCTTATGATATCATTTGCTTATTATTATATCACTTGCTTATTATATCTGCATTGCCATTTACATGGGATAAAGGTTGTTTACCCGTAAAGGTATTGTGTGTGTATCTTTTCTTCTCCCTTCACGCGTTTCCTGCACAGAACAATGTGGAAGTGACTTTGGAACTGGGTAAAAGGCAGAGGTTGGATTCCAAATTTTGAAGGGCTCAGAAGAGGACAGGAAAATGTGGGAAAGTTTGAAACTCCCTAGAGACTTGTTGAATTGCTTTGATCCAAATGCTGGTAATTATTATATGGACAATGAAATCCAGACTGAGGTGGTCTCAGATGGAGATGAGGAACTTGTTGGGAACTGGAGCAAAGGTGACTCTTGTTATGTTTTAGCAAAGAGACTGGCAGCATTTTGCCCCTGCCCTAGAGATTTGTGGAACTTTGAATTTGAGAGAGATGATTTAAGGTATCTGGTGGAAGAAATTTCTAAATAGCAAAGCATTCAAGATATGACTTGGGTGCTATTAAAGGCCTTCAGTTTTAAAAGGGAAACAGAGCATAAAAATTAGAAAAATTTGCAGCCTGTCAATGTGATAGAAAAGAAAATTCCCTTTTCTGAGGAGAAATTCAAGCTGGCTGCAGAAATTTGCATAAGTAACAAGAAGCCAAATGTTAATCACCAAGACAATGGGGAAAATGCTTCCAGGGTGTTTCAGAGACTTTTGCATCAGCCCTTCCCATCACAGGCCTGGAGGGCTAGAAGGAAAAAATGGTTTTGTGGGCCAGGCCCTGGGTCCCTCTGCTATGTGCAGCCTAGGGACTTAGTGCCCTGTGCCCCAACCACTCCAGCTGTGACTAAAAGGGGCCAAAGTACAGCTCAGGCTATTGCTTCAGAGGGTGGAAGCCCCAAGCCTTGAGAGCTTCCATGTGGTGTTGAGCCTGCGAGTGCACAGAAGTCAAGAATTGAGGTTTGGGGCCAGGCATGGTGGCTCACACCTATAATCCCAACACTTTGGGAGGCCAAGGTGTTGAGGTCAGGAGTTCGAGACCAGCCTGGCCAACATGGAGAAAACCTGTTTCTACTAAAAATACAAAAGTTAGCTGGACATGGTGGTGCAAGCCTGTAATCCCAGCTACCCGGGAGGCTGAGGTTGGAGAATCACTTGAACCCAGAAGGTGGAGGTTGCAATGAGCCAAGATCATGCCACTGCACTCCAGGCTGGGTGATAGAGCAAGACACCATCTTAAAAAAATAATTGAGGTTTGGGAACCTCCACCTAGATTTCAGAGGATGTATGAAAATGCCTGGATGCCCAGGCAGAAGTTTGCTGCAGGAGTGGGGCCCTCATGGATAACTCTGCTAGGGCAGTATGGAAGGGAAATGTGGGGTCAGAGCCCCCACACAGAGTCTCTACTGGGGCACCACCTAGTGGAGCTATGAGAAGAGGACCACCATCCTCCACACCCCAGAATGGTAGATCCACTGATGGCTTGCACTGTGCACCTGGAAAAGCTGCAGACACTCAACACCAGCCTGTGAAAGCAGCCAGGAGAGAAACTGTATCCTGCAAAGCCACAAGAGTGAAGCTGCCCAAGTCCGTGGGAGCCCACCTCTTGCATCAGCATGACCTAGACATGAGACATGGAGTCAAAGGAGATCATTTTGAAGTTTTAAGATTTGACTGCCCTGCTGGATTTCAGGCTTGCATGGGGCCTGTAGCCCCTTTGTTTTGGCCAATTTCTTTCATTTGGAACAGCTGTATTTACTCAATGCCTGTACCCCCATTGTATCTAGGAAGTAACTAATTTGCTTTTGATTTTACAGGCTCATAAGTGGAAGGGACTTGCCTTGTCTCAGATGAGACTTTGGACTGTGGACTTTTGAGTTAATGCTGAAATGAGTTAAGACTTTGGGGGACTGTTGGGAAGGCATGATTCATTTTGAAATGTGAGGACATGAGATTTGGGAGGGGAGAGGGCAGAATGCTATGGTTTGGCTGTTTCCCCACCCAAATCTCATCTTGAATTCCCACATGTTGTGGCAGGGACTCAGCGAGAGGTAATTATTCAATTACAATAGGGGCAGGTCTTTCCTGTGCTGTTCTCGTGATAGTGAATAAGTCTCACAAGATCTGATAGTTTTTAAAGAGGTGTTTCCCTGCACAAGCTCTCTTCTCTTGTCTGCTGCCATATGAGACATGGCTTTCACCTTGCACCATGATTGTGAGGCCTCCCTAGCCACGTGGAACTGTAAGTCCATTAAACCTCCTCCTTTTGTACATTGCCCAGTCTTTGGTATGTCTTTATCAGCAGGGTGAAAACAGAGTATTACAATCTCCAAACCTAACTGTTATTATAATGTAATGATCCATTTTCATCCTCACTTTCAGAGCTGGCCCTCTGGTGCCCAAAGCAGACTCCTGGGGTCCCTGTATTGGGCACTTACCCACTTCCTGCTGGCCGCAGCATGACACCTGATGCTCCTAGAGCAGCCAACTGAATTCCAGAAGAAAGGCTTCAGTGGTGTGTTTTCCAGAAGGAACCTGGCTCCTAGGATTAACAGTTGGGTCAAATCTCAAAAACTCTTTGCCCTTAACTACTGAAAACTTCCAGCATCTATAGCAGTCATAGTCACAAGATTTCCTTTAAATTTTTCAGCAATTGTTTTCCTAAGGCATTCTGTAAAGTCTGGCTTGAAGTTTGTTTAGTTGAGATAAAAATGTGTTTGACTGCACTCCAGCCTGAGAGACAGAGTGACATACTGTCTCAAAAATAAATAAACAAATAAGTTTTTTAAAACATGTTTGAGAACCACATTTTTCTCCAATGCTTTATTTTTTTCTTTAAATTTTTATATTCTTTATTTTTGGGGATTAGAGACAATTTATCAAAGACACAATTGTACACAGCTTTGGAGTTTTTCCTTCTGGAGATTCTTTTTTTTCTTGCAAGATGAGAATTCCCCATGGTGCTCTTTCTGAAGACACTTATGACTTAAATGGAGTCAAACAAGTAAAAACTAAATTCCATTCTTAAAGTTCCTTCATTCAGTGCTGCAAACGCTGGTGTGCCAAATCATCGAGTGAGATTTTTTATCCTGTTCTGTGTTATTATTAAAAATGTATGAACAGGCGGGGCACAGTGGCTCACTCCTGTAATGCTAACACTTTGAGAGGCTGAGGTGGGCAGATCACTTGAGCTCAGGAGTTTGAGACCAGCCTGGGCAACATGACAAAACCCCATCTCTACCAAAAATACAAAAAAAAAAAATAGCTGGGCACGATGGCATGCACCCATAGTCCCAGCTACTCAGGAGGCTGAGGTAGGAGGATCACTTGAGCCTGAGAGGCAGAGGTTGCAGTGAGCTATGACTGCACCACTGCACTCCATCCTGAGTGGCAGAATGAGACTATGTCTCAGAAAAAAAAAAGACTATTGTCTATTTTATATTCATTTTTAATTACACAAACAAAACATGAATATAATCTCATTTTAAAATATTAAACAAATACGAATAAAATAAAAACCCCGTTTAGTCACTGTCTGGCCCCTCCCAATCACACCCCCCTTTCTGAGAACATCTGTCCTGACATTTTTCTGCATATTTACCTGCATATATGTACACACACAATAGACAGTTTATCATGCCAGCTGTTTATCATGCAACTTACTTTCTTCACATAACTAAGCGTGGGAGAATGTTGGGAGAGTGTTGTTAACTACAGGTCAGTATTTCATAGCATGAGCATAGTGAGGTTTATTTGACCCTTCCCCTTCTTGGTGAATATTCAGGTATTTTCCAGGGTTTTGCTAATAGAAACAATGCTGCAAGAGCCTTGCTCAGATCTCTTGTGCACAGGTGTGAGCTGTACAACAGATGCTGAGTTAGGTAGAGTGACACTACATTGCTTCAACAAAGAGACCTGCAATAAAGCAGTAGCTTAGAGAAAATTGAGGATCATTTCTCATGGAAGTCTGAGCCATGTAGTCCTGGTTGATGGGGCAGCTGTGCTCCACACAGTCACTCACAGACCCCAGCTCCTCACATTGCCTTTTTCCTCTCTTCTTTAGGACAGCACTTCTCAAACGGTCTATGGTGAAAAGCCAGTTTATTTCATTCAATTGTGGAGTGAAATATTTTTTAACTTGCAATAAAGATGCCATGGTGATATTCTGTTACTATAAAAGCCTTAATATCTGTACTAACCCAATGTAAACTAAAAATAAAATCCTAAGCCCCCAGCTGACTGAACGGACCCCCTCTTGGCCAGGGGGACATTAGAAAACCTTAAAAATGAGTTCACAGCCATGATGAGACAGCAGGTCAGACATGCCTCCCTTTTGGAGATTAAACACAACAACTAACCTGCATTGGTGTTAAAATAGAGATCATAAGACTGACAGAACACACTCTTGATGACAATTAGATGCGAAATTATAAACAGGACCTAAGGCCATGCCACGCAAAGGTTAAGTCCCACACCCCTATACTTACAGAATGAACTGTGCTCTCACTGCCACAAGTTTTTCTTTTTCTCTAGCAGCTAAACAAGCACTGGCCTTGAAATAAGCAAGATTATAAACAATTGCAGCTCAGCCAGCTTCAGACATGGACTAACTGAACCCCTGTTCCACCAGGCATAACTACAGCTTTGATTGGACAAGAGATTGATTTCAGTAACTTTCTCCTGATAAGACCAGCAGCCACATGCTTGTTCTTGCCAGTTTACAGAGATTTCATGCTTGAGTGACTTCATGTCCTGAAAAGACCTTTGGATGTATAGGACCTAACTGTAATACATTTAAATGTTAAGTCTCCACCCCAAAGTGAACATGGGTCATATGTTACATGCATGTTTGTTCAGTACACATGTGTCAGGACCCCCCTTTATGAATATTCATAGCTCTTCCTGTAACCTGTTGAATATGTATGTTTAGCTAACCTGTCCAGCACCAAGATCCTAGCCCAACCCCTCCTCCTTCAAAGTGCCTGTCTCTTGTCTTGGCCAGAGGCACGCTTCCCAGCCTGCAGGACGACCACCTTGCAAGCTGTAACCCTTAAAAAGAAGTAAAGTCTCCTTTCTCCTTTACAAATTTATAGATTTGTTTAAAAGTTAATGCTGGTCATGGACCCACCACTAACAAACAATTTATGGGTGCACAGTGGTTCAGGGACCCTGCTATAGCAGCTCCACTTGAGGAGGAGCTTGAGTGGGGAGTGGGCACCACACTCACCCCAAGGGATGCTGGGCAATCTCGTCTCACTGAGCAGCCTAGCACCCATGAATAATAGCCCTTGGGCCAGAGAGACAATGAGCAGTCTCACCCACAGATCCCCAGAAGTGGCATTTACTGGGTTCAAAAGGTACAGGCATTTTAAAAGTAGATTCTGGCAACGTTCCCTCCAAAAAAGCCTGTACCAAGTGGCAAGAGTTCCCATGTCCCCCCACCCTAGCCAAAACCAACGGGCAAAAATGGCAGGTACTTCCTTATCATTTGCACTTCCCTGATTACTAGTGCAGTCAGGTTGAACATCTTTTTACTATTACAGACCATTCAATGGCATCTTCTGTAAACTGCTCTTTCATACTCTTTGCTGATTTCCCTATGGACATGCAGTTCTTTTTATATGCTTGATAGTAACCCTTTGTTATGTACATTGTAGATGCTTCTTCCACGGTGTTTTTTTGTTTTTGTTTGTTTGCTTGTTTGTTTTTGTTTTTGTTTTTGTTTTTTTGAGACGGAGTCTTGCTCTGTTGCCCAGGCTGGAGTGCAGTGGCGCGATATCGGCTCACTGCAAGCTCCACCTCCAGGGTTCATGCCATTCTCCTGCCTCAGCCTCCTGAGTAGCTGGGACTACAGGCACCTGCCACCACGCCCAGCTAATTTTTTGTATTTTTAGTAGAGATGGGGTTTCACCATGTTAGCCAGGATGGTCTCGATCTCCTGACCTCATGATCCGCCAGCCTCGGCCTCCCAAAGTGTTGGGATTACAAGCGTGAGCCACCGCGCCCAGCCCCACAGTTATTTTTAACTTAGTTAATGGCTCATTTATTGTCCTGTAGAAGTTATATTTTTCACAGTTATGTCCTCAAATGTATCAGGCTTTTCTTTTATGGTGTGTGCATTTTGTGCCTTACTTAATAACATCTTCTTTATCCTCTAGTCTTGTTTTTATAAATTTGCTTGTATAGTTTTCTTTTTTATAGTTTTGTTTTTTATGTTTAGACTTTTTGTTAATCACTCAGGAATATTGTCTTTTCTATGATCTATAGTTAGAATCTATTATTTTGTTTTCCTTACATGAATAACCAATTGTCCCAACACCATCCTTCCCCCGATTATTTGAAATGCCAAGTTCATCACGTAGAAAGTAAGCTCCATGCTTCCATGAGGGCAGAGGCTTTGTTTTCCTCACCCCTAAAATAATGTCTGGCACGTCATGATTTGTCAACTGAATGGATGGATGAATGAATGAATGAACGAATGAATTCTAAATAGCCAAATTTTCATGGGCGTGTTTCTGGAATTTCTGTTGTCCTATCAATTAATATGATGATTCTTGCTTCAATACTCTACTGTTTTAACTATTGCTTTATAAGTTTTGATATCTAGTAGGTTCTTTCTTTTAAGATTTTTTGCCAATCTTGTACATTTCTCTTCCAAATTGATTTAAGATTTGCCTCACAGGTTCTATTGAAATCCTTTGAGGATTATTATTGGGGTTGCATTAAAGTTATAGATTAATTTCAGAAGAGCAGACGTCTTTCAAAGTTGAATCTTTCTATCCAATAACATGATATATCTTATCATTTATTCAGGCTACTTTTATGTCCTGTAGTGAGTTTTTATATTTTTCTTTATATCAGTCTTATGCATTTTTATGCCTTTTAAGTTCAAATGATTTTATAGTTTGCGTTGTTCTGGGGATTACAAGGTTTTTAAAAATAGTATATTGGTTAATTGGTCATTGCAGGAAAGGTAGAGCCTGTGAAAACATCTCATATGAACACTAAAGATTTGTCAGGTGCTTCTTTTAGATTCTTTAGAAAATGAGCACAACATAGCTGAATAATTATAGTCTTTTCTAGTCCAACATTTATACTCTGTATTTCCTTCTTGTCTCGCATTGATCAGGCTGAGTCCATTACTAAAAGTTGGCAAGGATGCTGTAAATAGATGCTGAATTTTATCAAATGCTTTTCCTACATCAGTTGAGATAATATATTATGTTTTCCCTTTAACCAGTAATGAAGTGAATTACATTAATAACTGTGTTAATATTGATCTATCTTTGCATTATTTGAGGGAACCCGTACTTTGACATGATAAAGGATCCTTGTAATGTCCTCATGGATATGAGGTATCTTTGTGTTTTTGTTCATGAGGAAGATTGATCTACACAGTGCTTTTACTGTGCAATCTGATTCCAATTTTGGTATCAGGGTTATAATAGCCTCATAAAATGGGTTTGGATGCTTTCCATCTTTTTCAATGCAGAGAAGGGTTTGTACAATATGAGAATTACCTATTTCAATTCAGATTTAGCAGAATTTAACCATATAACCACCTGGGTCTGATGCAATATTGAAGCATAGATCTTTGACTATCTTTACATTTCTTCTATGGATATTGGTTTATTCTGATTTTCTACTTCTTGACCAATTATTATAATTTGTATTTTCCTAGAAAATTTTCTATTTTATCTATATTTTCTAATGTATTCACATAAAACTATATATAGTATTATTTTTTTGTGTGTGAGACAGAGTCTTGCTCTGTCACCCACGCTGGAGTGCAGTAGCACAGTCTCGGCTCACTGCAACCTCCGCCTCCTGGGTTCAAGTGATTCTCCTGTCTCAGCCCCCTGAGTAGCTGGGATTACAGGCATGTGCCACCATGCCTGACTAATTTTTGTATTTTTAGTAGAGATGGGGTTTCTCCATGTTGCCCAGGCTGGTCTCTAACTCCTAACCTCAGGTGATCTGCCCACCTCAGTCTTCATTGCACCTGGCCTATATATAGTATTCTCTTACAAGTTTTAGAAAAATTGACTCTGCATCTGAAGTTTACACCCTGTCCTGTTTCTCATTATATTTATTTGTTTTTTCACCTTCTTTTCTCCTGACCAATATCTCTATGAATTTGTGCATTTTTAAATATTGGTCTTTTCAACTATTCTGGGCTTTTTGCAATTTATTTATTTTATTAATTATTATTTTCAGTATTGGGGGCTTTCCTTTGGTTACTAATTTCTTATTTTAGTGTTTTGGATTCAATAAATATGATTTCTGCCTTTGAACTTGAGATTTTCTTTGTGACCAAATATGTAGTCAGTCTTGGATAATGTTTCATATACTTTTGAGAAGAAACTCTGCGTTATCTGATTGTCAGATGCAGTTATACACACTGTGCACCTCTTAGGTCAAGCTCCTGACTTGCGTTATTCAGATCCTCTATATACTTATTTATTTTGTTGTTTCCTTGGTCTGTCAGTTCCTGAGAGAAGTATAGTAAGTCTCTTTCACTCTGACTACGAACTTGTCAATTTTTTCTGAACTTCTATCAAGTTTTTGTTTCACATGTTATGAAACTATATTGGGCACCAAGCCTTTAAGCTTGTGTCTTTTACATATAGGAATAGTCATATTTGTCCCTGAGAAAGTTTTTTGCTTTGGGCTCCATTTTACATGATAGTAGTATTGTTCTACCTGCTTTCTCTCTGTTAGTATTTTCCCGGCATTTTTAAAATCCATTTATTTTGACTCTTCTCATTATTTGTTTTGTAAAGAGACCCTGAGTTTGTTGGGAGTAGTAGTGTTGCAAGTTTCAAATCTACATTTCCCATCCTTCCTTGCAGATAGGGGTGGCCAGTAAAATGAGAGTGAAAGTCACTGGGTGGAGCTTCTGGAAGGTTCCTGACAGTGGGCTGAATTACCAGGAGCTGCCCTGTTTGATCCCCACACTTTCTCTTTCTCCTAACCTAGAACACATATTTGATGGCTGGAGCTTCAGCAGCTATGTTGGTGCGGATAGAGAAAAAAAGCCAAGAAAATCGTAAAGATCTCTCTTGACATCCTCAAGCAACTAACAAAAGCCAGCAACTGCCTACTTCCTTATGTCTCCATACGTGGAAAAAATAAACTCTTTTGTGTTTAAATCCCCACTGCTGGTTTTCTGTTACTCCATTGAACACAGTTCCTAATTAATACATTGCCTGTGGAGGCAACCAGTATTACCCAGTTTTTGTTTATTCTTCTAGAGATATTCTTTTTACTGTCATCACTTTAAGTATATTTTCAACTTTTTATAATGGGCAATTTCAGACATACGCAATAAATAGCACATGGTATAATGAACCTCCACGTACCCACCACCCAACTTCAACAATTATCCATTGACATTCTATGCATGTACATGCACACACACACACACACACACACACACACACACACACACACATTCCTATTTTATACAAATGCTAGCATGCTACTCACACTGTGCTTTACTTTTCTTTCTTAAATTAACAATGTGTGTTGGAGATGGTTTATATCAGCACCTAATTTCTTCATTCTCTTTAATGTCCATCTAGTATTCTTTTATCTTTTCACAAAAATATATCTGTAGAATCAATTCCTGCATGTGCAATTGCTGGGTCAAAAGGTACACAATTTGTAATTTTGATAGATGTTGCCAAATTACCCCCACAGAAGTCGTACCAGGTCCAACTCCCAAAAGTAACATAGGACAGTGCCTATTTGCCCACACTCTTGCCAACATTGGGTGCTATCAAACTTTTCTACTTTTGCCAGTCTGATAAATGAAAGCAGGTAGTTTTGATTTGGATTTCTCTTATTTGGAAGTCATTTGTATTTCTCTCCCGTGAACCGTATTCCTAGTTTATGCCTGTTTTGCTATTGTGTTGCTGTCATTTTTCTTACTATTTTGTAGGAACTATTAAATAATAGGAAAACTAGCCTCCTTGTCTCCAACAGGAATTGCAAATAATTTTCCCGGTTTAACATTTGCCCTGGACTTTGCTGGCAGGAAGTTTTGTGTTGAAGAAACTTTTCGTTTTTATGTACTGAATTAATCAAGCTTCTCTGTTTTGGCTTCTGTCATACTTTAAAAGGCCTTCTCTCTTCCAACATATTTTAAATGTCCCATATTTTCTTCCAATATTTTTATAGCTTTATTTTTTTAATCTTTAAATCTGATCCATCCAGAATTTAGTTGGTTGCACATTATGATGTGGGATTCAACTTCACATTTTTCCCAGATGGCCACCTACTTATCCCTACACCATTTATTGAATAACCCATCTTTCCCCAAGGAACTGAAATAACATTTCTATCATATTCTAAATCCTCGTTTGTATTTGGATGTATTTTAGACTTTCTGTTTTTTCTATTGTTCTGTCTTCTATTCATATATTAGTACTACACAGTTCTTTTAAATTACTCTCAATTTATGTTTTAATATAAGTATTATATTAAATATTACATCAAACATAATATTATGTTATAGTAAGTATTATATTAAATATTACCTCACACATGTTATAAGTATTGTATTAAATATTACATCAAACATATATTATGTTATAAGTATTATATTAAATATTACATCAAACATGTTATAAGTATTATATTAAATATTACATCAAACATATATTATTATAAGTATTATATTAAATATCACATCAAGCATATATTATGTTATAAGTATTATATTAAATGTTATATCAAACATATATTATTATGTTATAGTATTATATTAAATATTACCTCACACGTTATAAGTATTGTATTAAATATTACATCAAACATATATCATTATAAGTATTATATTAAATATTACATCAAACATGTTATAATAAGTATTATATTAAATATTACATCAAACATATATTATGTTATAAGTATTATATTAAATATTACATCAAACATATATCGTTATAAGTATTATATTAAATATGACATCAAAATATTATGTTATAGTATTATATTAAATATTACCTCACACATGTAAGTATTGTATTAAATATTACATCAAACATTATGTTATAAGTATTATATTAAATATCACATCAAACATATATTATTATGTTATAATAAGCATTATATTGGTAGGACTAGTGCCCCTCTCATTAGTCTTCCTTTTCAGAATACTTCTGGCTAATTTTACTCCTTTAGTTTTCTACACCAATGTTAGAATCATCTTGACGAATTCCAAAATCTTCTGTGGTTGTGTGTGTGGGATCATCTTTAATTTAGAGATTGATGTAGGGAAATTTTGCTTCTTTATGAAGTTGACTTTTTCTATCTGAGAACATTATAGACCGTTCCATTCACTCAGGCCTTTTTTGATGGCCCTGAGGAACATTTTAAAATTTCTTTACATAGATCTTGCACATTTCTTGTTAAATTTATTTCAAGGTATTTTATTGTTTTTATTAAATGGCATCTTTTTTTTTATTGTATGTTCTAACTTATTGTTTGTCTCAATGATTTTGTACCCATACAACTTACTGAATTCTCCTTACTCTTCGTAACTTTTTTTTAATTTGTTTTTGTTGCTGTTGTTGTTGTTGTTGTTTGTTTTGAGACGGAGTCTCGCTCTGTCGCCCAGGCTGGAGTGTAGTGGTGCGATCTCGGCTCACTGCAAGCTCCGCCTCCCGGGTTCACGCCATTCTCCTGCCTCAGCCTCCCGAGTAGCTGGGACTACAGGCGCCCGCCACCACACCTGGCTAATTTTTTTGTATTTTTAGTAGAGACGGGGTTTCACTGTGTTAGCCAGGATGGTCTCGATCTCCTGACCTTGTGATCCCCCCACCTCGGCCTCCCAAAGTGCTGGGATTACAGGCGTGAGCCACCGTGCCCGGCCCTACTCTTTGTAACTTTTTTAGTAGATTCCCTTAGATTTTTCCTGATGCAGAGACATATATATAATAGATAATCTGCAAATAATCATTGTTTGAATTCTGCTTGCTAATGTCCCAACTTTTCAGATTGTGAAATACAGCCTAGATACAGAGGACTGTGTAAATCATATATATTTTTTACATGCATTTTCTGCACTTTAAAACTCTACAGTTATAAAGTGAACATACTCAGCTAACCCCCTGGACCCCAGATCAAGGGCTAGAGCCTTGGCCGCCACCCCAGCCCAGAGTGTGTCCCTTGCAATCACCTTCTTATTAAATTTTTCGTAATCTTTTCCTTGCTTTGCATCAGAGTTTTGCCACTGAAGCACACATCCATCCATAAATCATATGATTCCACTTTGCTGTTTTTGAACTTTACATAACTGTAACTGTAATGTATGTTTTTTGTGTGTCTTGCTTCTTTCATGCATCACTGTGTCTTTAAAATCCATCCTTACTATAGCATACTTAGAGTGTATTCCTTTGCATCCCGGTAGAGTATTCCATTGTACAACATTACCATGATGTATTTATCCATCCCACCCCTGCTGAGTATTTGGTTTATTTTCAGCCACCAAATGCTGTGATGAACCATTGTACAATTTTCCTGTGGCTGCTGCAACAAAATACCACAAAGTGGTCGACTTACAATAACAAAAATGGATTCTCCCACAGTTCTGGAAGCTGGAAATCCAAGATCAAGGCATCAGCAGAGCCACACTTCCCCTGAGGGTTTGAGGAGAGATTCTCTTTCTTGCTTCTTCCTCCAGCTTCTGGTGCTCCAGGCTTGAGGCCACATCACTCCACTTTCTACTTCCATATTCACAAAGCCTCTCTCAAGTGGCCTCAGGCCTTTCTCTTATAAGGACACTTCTCATTGGGTTTAGGGCCCACGTGGATAACCAAGGATGATGTAATCTCAAGATCCTTAACTTAATTACATCCACAAAGACCATTTTCCCAAATAAGATCCCATTCATGGTGCCTAGGGATTAGGACGTGGGCATGTATCATTTTTGTTGTGGAGTAGGGGGCACCATTCAATGTATTGCAACCGTCTACACTTGCTTTCTGGGGCCCACATACACAAGTGTCTCTAGAGTTTGTATACTTAGCAGTGGAACTGCTGGGTCATAGGGGAAGTGTGTCTTCAATATTACTACGGGATGCCAACCCTTTTCCCAACGCACACTCCCACCAGCAGTGTGGGAAGTTTCCACTGCTGCACAGCTTTGCCAACTTGCAACTGTGATACCTTTTGGTTTCTGCCAGTCGGGTGGGTGTGTAATGGTATCTCCCACTAACGTCAACTTATAGTTCTGAAATGACAAATGAGGTCGGGCACTTTTCATATGTTGTGAAGAATTGTCTGTTCAAGACTTTGGCCCATTTTTCTATTGTAGTCTATGTATTTTTCTTATTTTTTGTTCCTTCTATCTTCTAGTTACGAGAACTTAGTTACATGTTTGTTTCCCTTCTGTTCTCCAAATCTCCCATCAGAATCTCTCATGTTGCCCATCTCACCAAAACCTATAAGAAAGGGAATTCTGGAAAACATAGTTCAGGCTAGCCAAGTTGACACATTACAAAGCCACCTCAATCCATTTCTTGAACTCTCCTCAAATTACTCAGTCTGCACGTGACAGTCATTTCCTGTCAGACAGCTGACTGTTACAGAAGTGTAGCATGTTTTATCATTCAATAAAATATTTATTAATTCCCATGTTACTGTCCTTGAGCCCTGGATGATTTCAATGTGCATTTCTTCTTTTCTAAACACGTGGGGATTTTTCTAGTTATATACAGTGAGCTTCTTCCTCTCTGCAGTGAGGGAGATGTGCGCCATCTCAGAGAAAGTACGTTAGAAAAAAACCTATTAGATTTGGACTTTTGTGGGGTATTTTGAGGAGGGCCCGAGGAAGCCAGGGTTTGCTCTAAGCACTGTCAGAGAGCGAGGACAAGTCTATGATTGGGTATCTTAGTAAATCTTTTCTCTGGGGAGGGCAGGCTAGAACAAAGCTAAAGCTGTAATTTGTAAAGAAGCAGCAGTCACCCACACTAGCCAAGCAGGAGGAGGACGTTTGGTATTTTGTGGGTTGCACGTTAACCTTGTTTTTATCTGCACTTAGACAAAATAATGAAGTGGCCTTGCTTTGTCTCATTTTCTCATGGTCTCCAAGTAACCTTGTCTGAGGTTAGTATTCTGGGAGATTGTTTATGTCCAATAGGAGAACAGCATGGCCTCCCTGCAAGGGCCAGGCCAGCTTCCAAATGTCAGGGTCTGCTGTTTATTTTCCCTTTCTCTTGGGTTTCTAGCTTAATGACACTGTGGTCAGAGATCACGCTCTGAATGATTTTAACCCTTTGAAACATGGTAAGATTTGCTTTAAGTTCCAGTTTGTGGTTGGTTTTTATAAATATTCCATGTGTGCCCAAGAGAATGTGCAGTCTGCAGTTGGGTGTGATGTTCCACATATGCCCATTAGGTTAAGCTGCCAGTTCCTGTTCAAAACCATATCCTAACTTGTATTTTGTTTGCTTGATTTACCAATTACCGACAGAGGTGTGTTAAAGTCTTCCAACACTACATATGAATTAGTCTTGGAAAAAAAAAAATGAACTCACATCTGATTAACCTTCTGAATCCAACTACCAACACAGAAAATACAGAGTTTACTACCCTACAGGGCTGCAGCCATTAATATCCAGACTGTGGGGAATGCCACAGTATGAATAACACTGTTTTATTCAACAAATACATTGCAAGGGGAAAACAAGAAACAGAGGCAGAACCTGTAGATTAAAAGACACTTAAAACCAGGCCAGGCACAGTGGCTCACTCCTGTAATCCCAGAACTTTGGGAGACCAACACAGGAGGATCAGTTGAGCCCAGAAATTCGAGACCAGCCTGGGCAACATAGCGAGATTCCATCTCTAAAACAAAAAATTTTTTTAATTAGCCAGGTGTGGTGACACACGCCTGTGGTCCCAGCTACTCAGGAGGCTGAGGATGGCTTGAGCCTGGGAGATGAAGGCTGCAGTGAACCTGGATGACAGCCTGGGAAACAGAGCAAGACTCTATCAAAAAAACAAACAAACAAACAAACAAAAACATAAAACCACTATCAATCAATTTATGAACCTCAGATGGCTTCTTATCCAAACAAACTATAAAGGAAATATGTGACAATGGAGAGCTTGAATACCGACTGGCTATTTGACAATAATTAGAAATTATCACTAATTCTTAGTGTGATCATGTCATCATAGGATGTCTGGACTTTGCCTCAAAATACTTCAGGAAATTCTGGGAAGATGGCAGTGGCATAGCTCTCTAATCTCCCCAAATCCTTGCATAAAACAGAACCGGTGGCAGAATCAAAACTCCAAAGACAACATTTACAACAGTGCAAGCTGGAAAGGTCTTCCTAATGAGCTCCAAAATACAAGTCGGTGGGTGCAAACCACCAAGAGCCACAAAATCCACAGAGCAGCCTGAGTGCAGGGTTCTGTTTTATGTGAGGATTTGGGGAGATTAAAGATTCATGCCACTGCCATCTTCCCAGAATTTCTTGAATTATTTTGAAGCAAAGTCCAGACATCCTATGATTTCTCTCATAGATTGTAAGTGTGGGCCTATAAAACATACTCTATTAACATAACTACAATGCCAAGATCATATTAAGCCCAGGGAACAAAAGGACAGGTGACTGACTTGAGAACAGGGGACACCAAAGTAGTCAACAGGTGCTCATTGGAAAACCAGGCAGGCCAATTTGAGAACAGCAGCTCAGTCTGGGAGGGGTTTTGCTGAAGGCAATGGCAAGTGAACAAAAGGGGCCCTCAGTAAGGTCTGGCCTCTGTGAGTACCTGAAACCTGCCAGACAGTGCTCCCTTCTAGGATAGAGCCCCACACTGGGGGAAACTGCTGGAGAGAAGCTGAAATCAAGGAAAACACAGAGAGCAGAGCCAAAAGAAAGAGGAGATCTAGCTCAAGGTCAGCTGGAGGAATTGAGCCAGAAGTTTCAGAAGGCACACCACCACATTTTTTATCATTAAAAGAAAACAATGAAAGAAAGAGGGAGATGGGTGAAGTTAGAAAAGCTATCCTGAACCATGCCTCCTTCTAAAAGTTAAAGAAAAATAATTTCACATGAAAACTATCGTGATAAAATCCCATACCTTTTCTTATAATGAAAGCTGTTTGGAAAAAAAAAAAAAAAAGCTGTACTGTAAGAAAAAAAAAAAAAGCAAATAAAGAACAGATTCCTATCTATCTGAAAAGAACAGATTCCTATCTGGAAAGACAGCAAGCACACCAGAAAGTTATGTCCTCAAAACAAATCCAAACTAGAATTACGATTTCCCAAACAAGCAGAAAGAAATTAAGAAAGTAATGCAAGACATGAAAGAAAAACATAAATCAGAATTAGCAAAACTCGGAAATTAGGTGATAGGACTCAGGAAAGAATTAGAAACAAGATTTTTAAATGTTAAAAATGAAAACTAAATTGGAAGGAGCACAAAAACACAACAGATAATGTATTGAGGGACATAAAAGGTGAAAGCAAGGACTTTTTTTAGCACAAGAAATAATGAAGAAATAGATTAAAAGGATTTGAGACAAAGTGACAAATATCGAAGTGACCTTATGGGTAATCAAGTTAAAATCATCAGAGTGGACCATTATCCAATATGAGTCATGTCCTTATAAGAACATAACAAGGAAATTGGGGCACAGATGATACACCCAGAGGGAAGATGATGTGAAGAGGCACAGGGAGAAGACGGCCATCTACAAGCCAAGGAGAGAGTCTTGGAACACATCCTGCTCTCACAGACCCCGGAAGGAACCCACCTTGCCAATTAACCTGGATCCACTTCAGTTGTTGAAGCCCCCAAGTCTGTGGTATTTTGTTATGGCAACTGGAACAAATCCATCCACTCCCAAATCTGAGTGAATCCCAATTTTCAGCTCTGTCCACTCTGGTGTTTCACTCATCTATTAAGATTTTATTTCAATGAGCATTTTTACTTTCTAAGATTTCACCTTGGCGTTTCTTATCTGCCTATCTTTGTTCTGTGACCTCCCAATTTTCTTCTATGGGTGCTAGTCCTCCTTTCTTTCTTTGGAATTTCCCAGGACTCTCTTTCAGGGCACTGGACTCGTGGTGTGTTTTATGCTTGCAGTCTGAGAGTTTGTCCTCAGAGGGAGAGATTTTCCACTGGGGTCCTGAGCATGCCTGGGTGGTGTGGTAGTCCCCTGCTTATCTGCAGTTTCACTCTCCACAGTTTCAGTTACCCGTGGCCAACCTCGGCCCAAAAATATTAAGTGGAAACTTCCAGAAATAAACAATTCAATTAAATAAACCATTTTAAATGGCGCCCCCTTCTGAGTAGCGTGATGAAACCTCAAGCCTGCTCCATCCTACCCGAAGCGTGAGTCCTCCCTTTTATCCAGCCATAATTTCTGCAGCTTCAAAAACTAGCACAAATTTCTTATTCCTTCTTCACAGTTTCATGGATGGAAGATTTGTTCTTACTGCAGCTCTTAGCAACCTCAACGTGTATTTTAGGGCCATTATTAAGTAAAAGAAAACACAAGCACTGTGATACCGGGAGAGTCATTCTGAGAACCAAGGTGGCTACTAAGTGGCTAATTGGCAGGGAGGCATTGACAGCGTGGAGCCACTGTACAAAGGGAGGATTCACAGGCTGGACAGGACGGAACAAGACTTTATCATGCTACTCAGAGGGGTGCACAATTTAAAACTTTTAATTATTTCTGGAATTTTTCATTTAATATATTTGGACCACAAGTCACTGAAACCACAGAAAGTAAAACAGAGGAGAAGAAGAGACTACCGCCTTTGGGAAAAGGGTCTTTGCAGATATAATTAAGGTAGAGATGTCGAAAGTAGGTCATTCTGGATTAGCGTGAGCCCTAATTCAATGACAAGGGGCCTTGTAAGTGACAGAAGAAGAGAAAGACATACAGCAGAGGCTGGAGTGAGGCAGCCATCAAGCTCAGGATGCCTGGAGCCTTCTGGAGCTGGGAGAGGCAGGAAGGAGCCTTCCCTAGAGCCTCTGGGGGGAGTGTGGCCCTGAGACACCTGGATTTTGAACTTCTGGCCTCTAGGACTGGGAGAGGATCCACTTTCTCTGTTGTGAGCCACCCAGTTTATGATGCTTTGTTCTGGCAGCCACAGGACACTAAAGCCCATAGTGTACCAGGCAGAGTGGGATGTCTACTTGCCAGAGCAGCCCAGCCCAGTGAGAACTTTGGGTAGGGAGAAAGGCTGATACTATGAGGAAGGCTGCCTGCAAGAGGTAGAATCAGGCCAGATCCTGAAGGAAATGAAGGCTTTGATCAAAGAAGCATGAGCAAATGCTGAGATAGGCAAGGATGGCATGTGTCCAAGGCACATACGTGTGTCACCCTGGTGGCTTCTGTGCACACAAAGGAGGGGGCAGGTGAGGCTGTGGAGGAGTCAGGCCAGCTCTGCCACCCCTGGAAAGCATGGCCCTCTGGAAGCGTGCCCCGTTCCCCAGGGTGGCTTTAAGCCCAAGAGGGCAGATACGGCTTGCAGCGTCCAGGGCTCTCAGTGGCTGCAGGCAGAGGGGTTTGGAGACTCTGGCCTGCCAGGCAAGCTGGGAGAAGGCAGTTGGGGTGGTCCAGAGGAGAGAGGGCCAGCCCAGTCAGGAGACCTGTGGCAGAGTCAAGTCAGCCAGGTGGCTGGAGAGGAGGTGGGAAAGAGATCCTCAGGCCTGAGCCACCTGGCCTGGGGAGTGCACACAGCCCTTTGGAGACCAAGGAGTGGCCTTGATTTCATATTGAAGCCAACATGGCTTAATGTGTGCTCATACAAAATAAGCAGAGAAAGCAAATGAAACAGGAAACAGGACAGTTATGAGAGCGCTCCCTCAACCCCTAACTGGCTGGGCCCCAGGGTAGTTCCTGATGGACAGATCCCTCTGCCATGTCACCCCTCTAGGCAGCTGTAGCAGGCCTTGCCCTCCGTGGGCTCCAATTTGGATTCAGTGGTTCCCAGCTGGGCCAGGGCCTTTCCAATCCTTCCTGTTCCCAAATAAGCATAATTAAGTCCTGGATACATGGGACTCGGCTGTTACAGGGATTAAAGCCTCTAGGCTTAGTTCTGACATTCCATTCAGATTGTGCTGTAGATCCCTGCAGAGAGCAGAATCTTCCAGAGGGGAAAACTCACCCCTGGCTGTGCTCTCAGGCTTCTGTCCCTCATGTAAGGCTCAGGGTCCATGTGGCCAAGTCCACTGGACATGCAATGGCCTCCAAAAGATGTCCACGTCCTCATCCCTGGAACCTGTGAATGTGACCTTATATGGCAAAAAGAGACTTTGCAGATGGGATTTAGTTAAGGGCCTTGAGATGAGGAGATGAGTGTGGATTTTCTGGGTGGATTATCTAGGTGGACCAAACATAGTCACACACATCCTTAAAAAGAGAGAAGACTAAGTGATGGAACACAGAGAGGTTGGAAGGTGCTGCTGGCTTTAAAGACAGAGGGAACAGTCAACAAAGTGAAGAGACAACCCACAGAATGGGAGAAAATATTTGCAATACATAAGGATCTCAAAAAACTCTACAGGAAAAAAATCTAATAATCTAATCAAAAACAGGCAAAAGATTTGAATAGACATCTCACAAAGGAAAATATAAAATGACACACAGGCATATGAAAAGATGTCAACATCGTTAATCATCAGGGGAATGCAAATCAAAACTACAATGTGATATTACCTCACCCCAGTTAAAATGGCTTATATCCAAAAGACAGGCAATAACAAATGCTGATAAGAATGTAGAGGAAAGTACACTGTTCATACGCTGTTGGTGGGAGTGTAAATTAGTACAACCACTATGGAGAATAGTTTGGGGTTTCCTCCAAAAAACGAAAAATTGAGCTACCATACGATCCAGCAATCCTACTGCTGGGTATATACCCACAAGAAAGGAAATCAGTATATCGAAGAGATGTCTGCACACCCATGTTCATGGCAGCACTGTTCACAATAGCCAAAATTTGCTAGCAACCTAAGTGTCCATCAACACAAAAGAATGGATAAAGAAAATGTGGTACGCATACACAATGGAGTACTATTCAGCCATAAAAACGAATGAGATCCTGTCATTTGCAACTACATGGATGGAACTGGAGGTCATTATGTTAGGTGAAATAAGCCAGGTACAGAAAGACAAACATCACATGTTCTCACTTACTTGTGGGATCTAAAAATCAAAACAATTGAACTCATGGAGGTAGAGAGTAGCAGGATGGCTACCAGAGGCTGGGAAGGGTCAGTGAGGGGCTGGAGGGGGAGGTGGGGATGGTTAATGGGTACCAAAAATAGAAAGAATAAATAAGACCTACTATTTGCTAGGACAATAGGGTGACTATAGTCAATAATAACTTAATCGTACATTTTAAAATAACTTAGAGTGTAATTGGATTGTTTATAACTCAAAGGATAAATGTTTGAGGGGATGGATACCCCATTCTCCATGATGTGCTTATTTCACATTGCATGCTTGTATCAAAACATCTCATGTACCCCATAAATATATACACCTACTACGTATGTACCCACAAAAATTGTTTTAATTATGGAGGAAGTGTCCGTGAGCTAAGGAATTCGGCTGGAGGTGCTGGAGGTGTGAACTGGAGAAGGTGTGAACAGGATTCTCCCCTGGAGCCTCCTGAGAGGGTGTGGCCCTGCTGGCATCTTAACTGTGGCCTAGTGAAACTGATTTGGGACTTCTGCTCCCACCACAGCCCCCTGTATGAGCTTAGGGCCCTTCACTGCACAGACTTCTTCTCAGGTCCTGGGAGGGGTCCCAGAGATTTTGTATTTGTAATTTTATATTCTTTTCCTTAAAGAGGTCCCTCCAAATTCATAAACTTTAGGCTCCATAAACTGTGGATCCACCCCTACCCTGCCTAAACCACCCACCAGCAAATGGAATGAGACCCCCACAGGAGGCTTCCAGTGGTAGGCAGAATTCTAAGATAGCCCCCAGTTCCCCATCCCCTGGGGTACAAGTCCAATGTGACACCCCAGGTGGTGAATCTGAGGGACCATCACCCCTATGATCGGGTTATGGTACATGGCACAGGTGACTTTAAGAAAGGGAAGCTCTCTTCAGTAGGCCTGACCTAATCACATGAGCCCTGGAAATCTGGGTCTAGAGGCCAGAGACAGAGAAGTCGGGGAGTCCAGGCGTGAAAGGGGTTGAATGAGACAACAGCTCTTCTGCCGGCTTTGAAGATGGGGAAGCCCAGAGCGGCCCCTGTTGACAGCCAGCAAGGAATGGGACCTCAGTCCGATAGCCACAAGGAGCTGAATTTGGCCAAGAACCTTCATGAACTTGGAAGTGGGTTATTCCCCAGAGCCTCCAGATAGGAGTGCAGCCTGTGAGACCCTGAGCCTCAGACCCAGCCACTTCATGCCCAGAGCTTCTGACCCACAGAAAGGAGTGTTCGTGACAGCTGCTAAGTTTGCGGTAATCACTCCCACAGCAATGCCTAACTAATCCCCTTACAATGGCAATTCGGCCCCTGGCGGGAGGGCTGAGCATGTGACCCCAAGATAGGGGCCCTGCCAGCAAGGGTGACACAGGGTGGGGTAAGCAGCTACCCCAAATGCAGATGGGACCCCTGCAGATTATAGTGCAAATGTCCCTTCCTCCAGGGACTCTTCTCTGCCCTTTCTCCTCCTAGATGACACCAGAACTCCTTTTCTGCTCTCAGAACACCTGGCATTCGCCTATACATCACTGTCACCACTTGTAGTTGTCACCTAACTGGGAAGTTACTTTTTAATGTCTAGACCACTGCCTCCACAAGGGCAGGAAGGCTGGCGGATCTTGGCTCACTGCTGTACCCCAGCACCCAGCATAGTGCCTGCCCTGGCACACAGTGGGGACTCAGTGAATGGGGGTGGGGGATGGGTGCATTCGCTTTCATCCTCTGCCTGTAGGTCCTCAGTTGCGGTTTCATGGAGCGGCCACGTTGAAGGCAGGGGAACAAGGGGTGGCGGGAAGTGCTGAAGGGGCGGTTGAGGGGCAGTCCTGGAGTCTGCATGGTGAAGAAAGGAGGCCTGGAAGAGGTTGGGGCCAAGGTAGGCGGGGACAAGGGCTGTTGCTCTCTCCCATCAAGGTCACGGGGATGTAGAGGAAGGAAGAAGAGGCTTCCATTGAGAAAGGGTGCTTGGGAGTGGGAGGTCGGTGGGCAGGTCCAGGGTGCACCCATGAGAGTGCGGGAGCAAGGGGGATAAACAACAGCAGGGACACTCCAGACAAGCATGACTAGATGGGGCAGGCCTAAAGGGGAGGAGTGCAGTGCCAGACGTGACATCGCAGGGCAGAGGGGGTGCGGCCCCTTCGCCTTCCCACTGTGGCACATGGGGCCATGGCCTTGGATGCATGCCAGCCTTGCCCAAGGCAGGAGGTGGAGGAGAAGGCAGACGCAAGGGCCAAGGGCAGGGGCACAGTGGGAGGCCTGGGGGAGGAGGAGAGCCCAGGCAAGAATGCAGGGCCGGGAGGGAGTAGTGGGGAGAAGACTGCTGAGTGCCCACCTCCAAGGGCCGGGAGGTAAGGTGGAGGGATCACTGGGGTCACCTGGATGCCGAGAGTGGGGTGTAGAGGGAGTTTTCCATCTCCTTGGCCAAACTCTGAGTTCTATGTCTGTGCCCTGAGCTCCTAACCCGGGGCCAGCCCAAGTGGGTGCTCCACGCATGGTTGTGTCATCAACACCTACTGCACAGAGGCAGAGGCTAAGGGCTGGGGTGCCTCGAGAACCCTCATGAAGCTCGTGGCCTCAAGAGAGAAAGAGATGGGCATCATGCCAGGAAAGAAGTGGGGCCTGAAGCAATCTTGCTGGTGACAGGAGCTCTGAGGATAGCAGGGATCTGTCACAAATCTTGCTGGTGACAGGAGCTCTGAGATAGCAGGGATCTGTCACAAGCTCTAACACGTCAGAGCCACTCGTGACACTCACCAATGTGAGCCTCTGTTTCCTAACATGTCCAACCATTTCCATCCTGCCTGCTGCACGAGGCCGTGGCCCATGTGCCCCTCTTCTGTAGAACGCTCTCTTGCCTCGCTCAGGTTTCAGATTCAGGGTCACCTACTCAGAGCCCCTTCCTGGAGCCCAGCTGCCAGTCATCTTTGTCCTGCTGGGTCACTTCACAGTACTTCTCCCAGTCCGTTCTTTTTTGATGGCCACCTCCATGCGTCCCCTGGGCTCTCTGGAGCCACATCCACCCAGCTTACCAGTGTGTCCCAGGACCCAGCCCCCGAGGAATCAGCAAAGGGAATGGCTTGTAAGGAGGAAATGAAGTGAGGTGAGGAAAAGCGCCCAGCACTGCATCTGCTACAAAGCGCTTCTGGCATTTCCTTGAACCATGAGATGCAAACAGATTGTAAGTTTAGGAAAGAGGAAAGTTGGTAACCAAAGCAGTGGAGCTGAGAGGGTTTCCTGGCAGGCGGGCTGTAATCCCTGGCCCGCATGGCCACGGAAGCTGCCTGCAGCCCTTCCTGGGCAGCCGTGCACAGACTGGCGGCCCCAGCCTAAGTCACAGGACTCTGAGTTAGAGCATGTTTCTGTTGGCCGAGCTGTCACCCAGGATAGCTGTCCTTGTCAGCACTGGCCATCCTCCCAGTTCTCAATCTCGAGGCCTCGGGGCTCTGCAATAGAAGCCACCAAAGCAGGTGGAAAAGAGGTCAGCTGACCTTCAAGGGGCCACTGAGGGCGGCCTTCAGGCCAGAGGGTGAGACAGAGGTGGCCTGTGAGGGCACCAGGCACCCAATGGGGATGTGCGCTGGGCTATTTGAATCTTTTGACAAAATCTGTCACCTAGCTCCTCTGGGCATCAGCAGAAGGTGAGGGTGACCTCCCCAGGTGATCTCGGCCTCCTTTCTGGCTGGATACTGGTGACGTGAATACAATGCAGCTGGGCCCCCCAGAGACCCATCACCTGCCATTGTCTGGGAGGTGGACTTAAAACTGACTTTCAAGGCCTCAGACAGGCACCAAAGGCCTTTTCTCCTGGGAAGCAACAGTGGGGTTGGAGGAGTCCCAGGGGAGACGGTTCAGCTATTCACCTTCATGAAGACCTCACCCCACAGGCTGGAGGGCCCCAGTTCCTACTTCTCTCCTTCAGCCCAAGCCAGAGGCCTTGGGGACTCAGACCCACAGACCGCATAATGGCCCCAAGCCCAAGCTTACTGAAATAGAGGAGGCCCTGCTGCCTCTCTCTGATTTCAGGGGGCCAGAGAAGAGAGGTGTGAGAGCTAGGGGGTCACCAACAGTTGATCTTGGGCTGAGAAATTAGGAAAAAGATCAAATCCTAAATGACAAGATTTTCTTCTAGAACTACCATTCGCCTTTCTTGGTCCACAGTGAGCTCAGATGGACTAGGAGCATCGCAGGGCTTGTTTATATAGGGAAATGCTCCTGGCGTGGATTTGTGGACTGAGCTAAACTCCTGAAGCCAGGGCAGGTGGAAAGGCTCCTGTCATGTGCACGTTTGTCTACCAGTGGCGCCATGTGCCTGGCTGGCTCTGGCTGGCCAGTTACATATGTTGAACTACCAGGGGCTCTGTGTCTTTTAAGGACATGATTCCAGATTCCACTGGAGTCAAACCTATTTCGTGGTGCAGAGTCGCTGGGCAACTAGCAATCTGCATGTGGTTTTCATCGCAAATCTCATCTCCCATGTCAGATGAGTAGTCTGCTGTTGCCGTGGTGAATCAGTATTATACTGTGACCTTGATTCTGGGCAGAAATGTACGTTGCCTTGACCATGATTACACAAAATACGTTGTCTAGGAAACAGCACAGTTCCGAGAACAGGAAGGGCTAGATAATTCTTGGCTTTGCTTGGAAGCCACACAGTGTTACCTTGTACCCAGCGGGGTCTCAGCTTTCCTTGGAGGCCCCTCTGCTGTCTCTGTGTGTGACACAGACAGAGAGGCAGGACAGAGCCAGGGACAGACAGAAAGGGGGAAACATCAGAAAGTCACAGGCTAGGGTGAGCCTCTGCAGCTGCTGTGTGAGAGCTGCTGGGGAGGGGGCCAGGCTTCTGGCCTCTTGCCCAGTCTCTGTCACCCAATGCAGTTCCAGGACTGGGGAGGTGTGGCACTGTGGGAGGGCATCACCCACCTCTGGGAAATGTTGGTTGCCTGGCTCCATCTATGGGAAGCTCTGCAAATACATGCACCACAAACCCCCCAAATTCCCCACACACAAACACACACACCATACACCCCACACACACCACACATGAACACACAAACACACCACACATGAACACACACACCACACAGACCACACACAGCACACACCACGTACATCCCACACATGAACACATGCCACACACCTCACATGAACACACACTACACACATCACACATGAACACACACCACATATGAACACACACACATCACACACACCACACATGAACACACACCATACACCACATACCACATGGACCACACACATGAACACACACCCCACACACCCCACATAAATACACCACACATGAACACACACACAGCACACATGAACACATACACACTACATACACTCCCCACATGAACACACACACCCCCCATATGAACACACATACCATATACCTCACATACCCCACATGAACACACCCTCCACATAGTCCCATATGAACACACACACCCTACACATGAACACGCACACACCACACATGAACACACACCCTGCACACCACACATGAACACATACACCCCACATGCCACACATGAACACACACCACACACAGTTCCCTGCATGAACACACACACCACACACACCTCACTTGAACACACACACCACATACACCACACACGAAAACACACCCCACACAACCCACACCACACATGAACACAAATACACCACACACAAACACACACATCACATAGACCACACACACACCCCCACACACCACACATGAAGACACACACCCTACACATGAACACACATATCACACAACCTCCACACATGAACACACACACCCCACATGAACACATACACTACACACACCCCACATGCATCCCCACATGAAAACACACAACACACATGGAAAACACTCCACACAGCCAACACACACCACACATGAACACAAACACACCACATGTGAACACACATCACACCCCACACACACCACACAGACCACACACACCCTACACACACTACACATGAACACACACAGACACACCCTACTCATGAACACACACATTACACAACCCCACACATGAAAACTCACACGCCCCACAGCCTGCACCCCCTATACAGCCCACACCACACACACACCACACACCCCACATACACCACACACACCCCACATGAACACACAAACCACACATGAACACACACACCACACATGAATACACACACCACACATGAACACACAGATCACACACACACCACACATGAACACACACCACACACCCCACATGAACACACACACACGATATATGAACAAACACACCACAACCACACCCACACATGAACACATGCACCACACATGAACACAGCACACACATGAACACACACCACACACCACACAGACCCCCCACGTGAATACACACACACCAGACACACCACACACACACACACAGGCACACATGCACCCCATGCCAGGGGCAGACTGACACGAGAGTAGCATCTGGAGCCTGGAGTCCATTTCTCTCCCCTTATAAGGCATTCACTCCCTCAACGCTCTCCCAGCATGATGGCGGAAGTGAGAGACCGAACCCAGAGGAGAAGGCTGTCAAGGCGAGGTCTGCGCCCTGGCAGAGGCTGCCCACAGGGGGAAAGGTGGTGCTGTACCTGGTTGACTTCCAGTCCAATGTCTTGCTCATCCCCCCGCTCACCATGGGTTCTTCCATGCCAGCAGCCCAGGCTGAACCCCTCAGCGTCATCCAGAAACCCCCACCCCACCAGGCACCTCGCTCATTACTCATGAACTCCTGCTATCTGGGCCCCTCAGCAGCCCCCAACCCATCCACCACTCCTCTCCACACTGCCTGCCACCTCCTCAGACCAGGCCCGTAGCCCCACTCACTCGCACGCAGGAGGAGCACAGCAAATACTCCTTGAATCAATAACTGAGAAGCAGAGAGAGACCACCATGAGCCAACTAGCAAGGAAAGCAGGAGAGAGAGGGCAGGCTTGCTAGGGAAGGCCGAGCACCACAGAAAAGTTCAGGGCAGCATTGTGTCCACCCCACATCGCAGCACCTAGAATGCCACCATGAACATCACCCCAGACCCAGGACTGTGAAAGACGGGCTGATGAAGGAACTGGTGGGTGGCAGAACAATTTCCCCAAAATGGGGTCATCCAGTGTGCTCAGTGAAAGAAGCCAGACACAAAAGGCCGCATATTGTGATTCTATTTGTATGATATGTCCAGAAGAGACCAATCCACAGAGATGGAAACAAATAAGTCGTTGCCAAGGGCTGGGGCTGGGAGGAGTGGGGAGTGACTGCCGATGTGGACAGGGTCTCCTTTAGGGTGACAGAAACGTTCTGGGGGTAGATAGTAGTGATGGTTGCACAACTCTGTGAACATATTAAATACCACTGAATTGTGCACTTGGAAAAGATGAATTTTGTGGTATGTATATGACCCATCTCAACAAAAATGGGATCATTATATGTCTATACATTGTGTTTAATCAAAAGTAGTATACTCATCTTATTTGTTAACACTGAGGGCCTGGTGTGGTAGCTCACATCTGTAATCCCAGCACCTAGGGAGGCAGAGGTGGGAGGATAACTTGAGCCAAGGAGTTTGAGACCAGCCTGGGCAACATAGTGAGACCCTTGTCTCTACAAAAAATACAAAAATGAGCTGGGCACGGTGGCATGCACCTGCAGATCCAGCTACTCAGCAGGTTGAGGTGGGAGGATCACTTGAGCCCAGGAGGTCAAGGTTGCAGTGAGCCGTGGTTGCACCACTGCACTCCAGCCTGGGCAACAGAGTGAGACCCCAGCTCAAAAAATTTTAAAAAGAAAACAAACTGAAATAAAGCTGAAAGGATTGTTGAACTTGTAATAAATGTTTCTTCACAAGTATTAGTTCCCAAAAAAAAAAATCCCACTAAAGGAATAAAACTATGAAAAATGCTAAGCTATTTGAAATATTCTGTTTATAATAATTGCATGTTCTGGCCGGGCACAGTGGCTCATGCCTGTAATCCCAGCACTTTGGGAGGCTGAAGCGGGCGGATCATGAAGTCAGGAGATCGAGACCACCCTGGCTAACACAGTAAAACCTGGTCTCTACTAAAAATACAAAAAATTAGCTGGGCATGGTGGCACGCGCCTGTAGTCGCAGCTACTCAGGAGGCTGAGGCAGAAGAATCGCTTGAATCCAGGAAGTGGAGGTTGCAGTGAGCTGAGATTGTGCCACTGCACTCCAGCCTGGGCGACAGAGCGAGACTCTGTCTCAAAAAATAATAGTAATAATAAAAATAAAAATAATAATAATAATAATTGCATGTTCTAACACAGTGCCTGACGATTCCTTGCTGTAACAGATGAAGACATCTCTCCTCAGCCTCAGTCCTTCACCTGGGATCTTTGTTAATTTTCTAATGTCAAGGTTTCTCACCTTTAAATTCTATAGGAGGCACCAATGCGTAATTCCACACTTGTTTAATATTTGATCTGTATATAAATGGATTCAATGTTCGCAATTGTTCCTGCATTTCTGAGTTCTTTTTTTATTACATCTTTTAATTGGCTCAATTTTATTGTCCTTTTTGTTTTTTGGATGGCTATAACATTATTGAAGCAAACCGAAGTTTGTAAACTTCAGACAAACTTCGAAGTTGGTAAACCTTGCCCCACTGTCTTCTGGCATTAAGAACTGATCTAGAGAAGTCTAAAGCCAACATGATTCTTTCCAAGTCTGTTTTATTTGGTTTATTTGTGCTGTTTTTCAGGAATATCATGCTATGTACGCAGTGTCTATTTTTCTATCTTCCATAGTCTCTCTTCCGCTTTGTGTCATGTGACTTCTTCAAGTCTTGCCACGAAGTCCCCAGATGACCAGTATGTCTGTGGTTTAGTTTCCTGAAATTGTCATTGCTTTGCATGGGATTTTCATCCTGGTAATATTTTTATTCTTTTCTTCCATTCTTTTCCCTGAGCTCTGCGACCTTCATTTTATTTCCTTCTGTTTTCTTGTCATCTCTTCTCTGAGCACTGCATCTCTCCTTTAAGCTGTGTCTTTTGTTCTGAGAGTCATGTTTTCAGGACTTTCTCTGAGTCTATGGAGCATTTTTTTTTTTTGTCTGGGGGCTTTCTGCGTTTTCTCGTAATTCCTCCTTGTGGTTTTCATCTGCTCTTAGCTCTCCCTTCCACCTATTGTTTTTGCCGTTGTCGCTGTTGCCAACGTATGTGTACAACCCGCATTGGTTTGCAAAGGCACTGGATTTCACCAGCATCTTCCCATCGTCTCCCTCGTCCGCATCATCTGACCGGGATGTTCTGCCACACCAGTGGCCTGTGGCCTTCAATTTCATTAATCTAGTCAGAGATTTGTTTTCAAGTGTTCTATTACTTTGGGGACAGTGACCCTTAGCTTGGGGGCGATCTGATTTCTGCCTCAGTTCTGAGGAGGCATTGCCGGCTCGGCTCGGCTTGTTCTCTACTCCCTGTCCAGACTTAGCAATGTGCGGCTGGGCCTCTGGCTAATTTGTGGTCTGAGATTGTAGCAGTTTTCAATGGTATTTTTCTCTTTGAAGTTGTATTTGAAGCAAGGCCAGCCCATCATTTTTCTGTATAACTAAAAAAGAAAAGTGCCAAGACCATGAAGGAATGTTGTTTCTTTAGTCTGTATCTTTTGCAAGCAGATAACATCATAGGCCATGCCCATATATAATATATAGTGCTCAGCTCCATCTGTTCCCAGACCATGTCAGTCACTGGGAGGCAAACTTCCAGGAGCTCTGGACTGGGGAGGGGGCATCTGTAGCTCCTGCTTGAAGGCTACTCCAGGCCAGGAAGACCCAGCCTATCTCAGCTGGCAAGATGAGGCTTTTCAGGCAACTCTGGACTGTTTCTTAAACTGTGACCTGGGACATTGGATCAAGGACCTTCAATCCACTTGGGAAAACGTTAAAGAGGATGTGGCCTGGAGTAACTCCTGAAAGGCCAAGGCAGTGAGGTCCGCAGGCAAGGAGAGCGGGTGCCCTGACTGCAAGCATCTCTCAGGAGTCCCAGGAGGACAGAGCAGAGCAGGGAGGGTGAGGAGTCCCAGGCTGGGAGAGGGGGCCAGGCCGGGTAGGCCAGGGCAGGAGGGCCCTGCAGGTAGAGTGGATGAAGGTGCTCTGGGAACAAGCTTGACTCCAGCCCAGGCCTGTGGTGTGCTGGTTAAGGTTTAGTCCCAAGAAGAACTCCCACCTGTGGGATCACAGTCATCACAGAGCCGAGGTGGAGCACCTCAAACCTTCACAACCAGGGACCAGCAGGAGTCATGCCCACCCCATGCCGGAAGAAGTGGAAAGCAGGGGTGTGGTGGGGGCAGCAGATGAAGGCCCCGGAGGGTCTGCTATGGCTCCCGGCCTACCACAACCTCCTGGGCGTTTAAAGGAAAAACAGCTTCGGCTTCATTTCTTCTTTCCAAATCTCAAGCAAATTTCTCCTGTGCCCAACCCTAACCTGAGACCATAAAGGACAGGGCATTCTGAGAAGACTTGTGCCACTGCAGCCCAGGGGATGCCGCACAATTGACCCTTGCTGGCCCCTCTGTATGTGCAGCTGGGGACATCAGCCTTCTTCAGAGGTTCCCCAAGCCCCCACACCCTGCTTTGCCAGGTGTGCCACCTGCACTGCTCAGCCGAACCTAATGCCCCTCTACCCAAAGAGGATCCAGAGTTCCTGGGGAGCCACTGAGCGGGGAGCGGCCCATGCCCAGGCCATTGGGAGCAAAGCCAGCAAGACAGCTGTGCACTTACACAACGATTCTGGGGCCTGTCCTGCCTGGGAGCAGGGCTTTGGCAGCTTCTCCAGCCCCAAACCTTCAAAAGACATGGAGACATGGGCTTTGGGTCCTACAAGGTGCCCAGTGAGGCGACAGGAGGCTGCCAGGCTCAGCCACGGCTCACCAAGCATTTCCTTCCTGGCCACCCTGAGCCCTGAGCCCTGAGCCCTGAGCCCCTGCTCACCCAGAAATCTTTGGCTCCCTGGGTAGATGGCTGCCAGGAGGGTCTCTGTAGCCCTTCTCCAGTGGACTTGTACCCCAAAGCCCAGGGTGGCCTCTCAGTAATACTCAGGCTTCCACACCAAATCCCTCTGGAGGAGCTGCTCGAGGCCAGTTCCCGAATGCCCCAAGAAGCAGGCACCAAGTCACTCACCAAGCAGTCTCTCCACAGCGGGGACCCAATGCCCCTCTGCTGAATACCATCTCCCCCTCCACAGACAGGAGCCGGGCAGAGTGTACTGGGCTTTGAGGGAGGCTGTCCACTGTGCAGCAAGGTGCTTTACCCTCTCTAAGCTGTGGCCCTTGGCCTGCGTCAGCTCTGGGACCTGACACTCGCGGTGGACAGGGTGGGTGGGTGGGGTGCAGGGGCTGCAGGCGGGTGCAGGAAGGGGCCAGGCCAACATGCATTTGGACCTCAAGTCTAGACGGGGAGCACAGCATGGAGACTGAGAAGGAAATGTGAATGGTGCCATCGAGGCCTGTGGAGAAAGCTCTCACTTCGTCCCTCAAAGCTTCTGGTGTTTTACTCATGTCCCAGAAGCTTCGGGCAGGGGCAGCAGGGTGGGGAATTGGTGACAGAGCACCCCCCAGCAGCCAGCCTGCTGTGCCCCCCAGTTGGCTGAGCTTTGCAAGGGAGGCATGCCGCCCTGGGCTGGAGGTGGCCCTCATGCCCTTGCTGTGGTTGGTGGGCGAGAGGGAAGCCACTGGAAGTCTCCAGCTCCTGTCAGAGAAGATGAGACCAGCTGAGAGAAAAGCCGCCCTGCCCAACACACACTGCAAAGCATGCACACTCACACACCACACACACTCACACACCACACACACACCACACACACCATGCATACCACACACACTCACACACCACACACACCATGCACACCACACACACTCACACACCACACACACCATGCACACCACGCACACACACCACACACCATGCACACCACGCACACTCACACACCACACACACCATGCACACCACGCACACTCACACACCACACACCATGCACACCACGCACTCACACACCACACACACCATGCACACCACGCACACTCACACACCATGCACACCACGCACACACACACCACACACACCACACATACACACCACACACACCATGCACACCACACACACTCACACACCACACACCATGCACACCACGCACACTCACACACCACACACACACCATGCACACCATGCACACTCACACACCACGCACACCATGCACACCACACACACACACCACACATACACACCACACACACCATGCACACAACACACACTCACACACACCATGCACACCATGCACACACAACACACACCATGCACACCACACACACTCACACACCACACACACCATGCACACCACACACACACCACACACACCATGCACACCACGCACACACACCACACACCATGCACACCACGCACTCACACACCACACACACCACGCACACTCACACACCACGCACACCATGCACACCACGCACACACACACCACACACACCATGCACACCACGCACACTCACACACCATGCACACCGCGCACACACACACCACACACACCATGCACACCACGCACACCATGCACACCACGCACACTCACACACCACACACACCATGCACACCACGCACTCACACACCACACACCATGCACACCACGCACACTCACACACCACACACACCATGCACACCACGCACACTCACACACCACACACACCATGCACACCACGCACACACACACCACACACACCACACATACCACACACACCATGCACACCACACACACTCACACACCACGCACACCATGCACACCATGCACACTCACACACCACACACACCATGCACACCACGCACACTCACACACCACACACACCATGCACACCATGCACACTCACACACCACGCACACCATGCACACCACACACACACCACACACACACCACACACACCATGCACACAACACACACTCACACACACCATGCACACCATGCACACACACCACACACCATGCACACCACACACACACCACACACCATGCACACCACACACACACCACACACACCATGCACACCACGCACACACACCACACACCATGCACACCATGCACACTCACACACCACACACACCACGCACACCACGCACACCACACACACACACACCACACACAACATGCACACCACGCACACACACACCACACACAACATGCACACCACGCACACTCACACACCACACACACCATGCACACCACGCACACACACCACACACACACCATGCACACCACGCACACACACCACACACACACCATGCACACCACGCACACACACACCACACACACACCATGCACACACACACCACACATACACACCACACACACCATGCACACCACACACACTCACACACCATGCACACCACGCACACCATGCACACTCGCACACCACACACACCATGCACACCACGCACACACACACCACACACACCACGCACACTCACACACCATGCACACCATGCACACACACACCACGTACACCATGCACACCACACACACACCACACATACTCACACACCACACACACCATGCACACCACACACACACCACACATACACACCATGCACACCATGCACACCACACACACTCACACACACCATGCACACCATGCACACACACCACACACACCATGCACACCACACACACTCACACACCACACACACCATGCACACCACACACACACCACACACCACACACACCATGCACACCATGCACACACACCACACACCATGCACACCACGCACACTCACACACCACACACACCATGCACACCACGCACACTCACACACCATGCACACCATGCACACCACGCACACTCACACACCACACACACCATGCACACCATGCACACTCACACACCACGCACACCATTTACACCACACACATTCACACACCACGCACACCATGCCCACCACACACACTCACACACCATGCACACCACACACACCACACACACCATGCACACCATGCACACACACCACACACACCATGCACACCATGCACACACACCACACACACCACGCACACCACACACACACACCACACACACCATGCACACCACGCACACACCACACACCATGCACACCACGCACACACACACCACGCACACCATGCACACCACGCACACTCACACACCATGCACACCATGCACACTCACACACCACGCACACCATGCACACCATGCACACTCACACACCACGCACACCATTTACACCACACACACTCACACCACACACACCACACATACACACCACACACACTATGCACACCACACACACCACACACACCATGCACACCACACACACACCACACTCACCATGCACACCATGCACACACACCACACACACCATGCACACCACACACACACCACACACACCATGCACACCACACACACACACCACACACACACCATGCACACCACATGCACTCACACACCACACACACACACCATGCACACCATGCACACCACACACACCATGCACACCACACTCGCACACCATGCACTCACACACCATGCACACTCACACACCACACACTCACACACCATGCACACCACACACACCATGCACACCACACACTCGCACACCATGCACTCACACACCACGCACACTCGCACACCACACACACTCACACACCATGCACACTCACACAGCACAGCCACTCCTACACCCCCACCCCCACCACTGAAGCATTGCCAGACGCCCCCTTCCCATTGACTGGTGCCACCTAGCTGGCAGCAGTGTCTGTGGGAAGGACCCAACTCTAACTGGGGCTGGGAAGCCTTCTCCAGCAGGGCTTACACTGGATTGGGGGCTCCCCAAGGCCCTCACCTTCAGCTCCGAGAGCTTCCCCCAGACCTGCCCACCCAAAGGGCCTCAGCACCGGCACCCTGCCTCCACCAGGTCACAGGTGGGCAGCAGCTCTGCAGTCCATGGTGGACATGGAGTGTCTATGGCCCTTCCAGGGCAGTGGCAGAGGAAAGTGGGAGGGAGCCAGAGACGTTGAGTTGCTTTCTTTCCTCTGAAACGGAGAACTCGGGCACGGGTGGAGCCCCAGACCTGAAAACGGAGAACTCACCATTGGCTGTGTTGCTACATGCAGGCCACCCCCAGACTTACTCACTGGCTGACCACTCTCTGGGGCTCATGGAACACGATGGCCCCAGTTGGGACGTGTGAGGAGCTTCTTCATTTGAAGAGAGTTGGGGGCTTGGTCACGTGGGACTGCCCAGGAGGGGCTGTGAATGTCAGTGCGAGTGTGCTCGGATAGGGTCAGCCTGAGCCAGTAGAGTCACCTACAAAAACTCCCCGAGGAACCGCTGCCCCCCGCCCCTCTCTGGCCATGCCCAACACAGGGGTGAGCAAGACACACCCCTGCCCTCCAGCTGCTCCCACCTAGGGGATACTTTGAGCTGGTGCTGAGGATTTAGCAGAGTTGAGGGAAGGCAGCTGCCTCGAAAGGACCACATGGCGGCCAAGAGAGCGGGCAGCATGCGCCAGTCAGTGACCAGCTTGCACCGGGACAGCCTGTAGCTCTCTCAGGCACAGTGAGGACTACTCATCTGGCTCCTAGAGGCTTATGGAAAGGGCAGGAGACCAGGAACCGGGTTTGGAACGCTGGAATTTCCCCAGGGATTCCAAAACCAGAGCATAGGCCAAGAGCAGGGGCAGGCCAGCCAGCATGCTGCCGCCACCACCTGGGTCCAGGCCTCCAGCCACCCCTGTCCAGGCACCTCAGGTTCAGATTCAGAGACCCAGGACAAGGCATTTGATTAGCCAAGCCCAAGTCACATGCCCACCCCATAGCTGGGCCCAGGCAGAAAGAAAAGAGCTGGTCCCTGTGCGTTTAATGGTGTGACAGGGCCCTACTTGCCACCAAAATTGCAAACAGTGAGGGATTCTCTCAAAATCCCTAAGAGAACTAAGAGGAAGGGCCGCTGCATTCTGGGTAGCCAGCAACAGCGGGTCCAGAAGAACTGCCAGGCCTACGGCACTATCCCATGATTGGTCTGGGGAGGGCTGGAGAACCGGGCTAGGAGGCTTTGCAGAGAGGAACGAGGTTCCAAATCCCAGGAGTGCTGAGCAGGGGAGGCCTCCCCTGTGGCTCCCACCCACAACTGAGTGGGCACAGACACTGTGGGACTCAGGGTGCTGCCATGAGAACCATGGTCATATAGTTTGGATATTTGTCCCCGCCCAAATCTCATGTGGAATTGTAATCCCCAATGTTGGAGGTGGGGCCTGGTGGGAGGTGTTTGGGTCATGGGGACAGTTCCCTCATGAATGGCTTGGACTATCCCCTTGCTGATGAGTGAGGTTTAGCTCCGAATTCACAAGATCTGGTCAGTTAAAAGTGTGTGGCACCTCCTCCCCTGCTCACTCTCTCGCGCACTCTCTGTCTCTCTCTGCCACTCTCTCTCTCTCTGCCTCTCTCTCTCTGTCTCTGTGTGTGTGTGTCTGGCACGCTCGCTTGCTCGCTCCTGTTTTCACCATGTGAAGTGCCTGCTCCCTCTCCCCCTTCCACCGTGAGTAAAAGCTTCCTGAGGCCTCCCCAGAAGCAAATGCTTGTACCATGCTTCCTGTACAGCCCGCATTTAAACCTCTTTTCTTTATAAATTACCCAGTCTCAGGTATTTCCTTATGGCCATGCAAGAGTGGCCTAATGCAGCCACCACTGATCCACTGAATCTGTGGCCCCTGCTTCTTCCCACCTTGGGCCTCAGACTCAGTGGGCAGTGGGTGCATTTGATTGGTGGAGCCCAGGTCATGCACCAAAGCCCTCGCTGCAGGAGAAGCTGGGAGAATACAGACTTGGCATTTTCTGCTCCTTGTGAGAGGCCTAAATCAGCCAACAGCATCCTACTGCCCTGAGAATTAAACCTGACTCCTCCCCATCTCCACAGGACCCCAAACAGTCTCTTCCTCTGCACCCTATTTCCTCAATTTTCAGCACAAAAATGCCAAGCTCCAGCCCTTCTGGGGGCCAGGTTATGTGCCACGCCCTTGACCTAGTTAAAAAGAAATGTAATTAGATCAAAAGGCTGGGACAGCTCCCATGCCCTGGATTCCTACACAAGCAAACTTAAGCCCAACGTAAACAGTAAAGCAAAACACAAGTTTGGCCAAGGAGAAACTGCCATCTAACCTCTAACTAGGGACCACCCACTGTATCACACCCAAGTGAGGCAAACGCCTCACTGCAGCCGATTCAGGAGCTCCTTTCTCTGCCTCCACATTCCTCCTCCCGCTCTTTACGCGGCTGCAGCACAGCTCTCTGAACTCCCCATCACCAGTGCTGCCTGATCCGTGAACCCTTTCATGCTCAAATAAACTTTATTAAATGTATTTCGTCTAAAGTTTTTCTTTGAACAGACTGCCAGTCTTTGCCCACTCGCAGCCTCTAGCTCTCAGCCTGTCACCGCTTCGGAGAGCACCCGGGCTCCTGCAGGTCCCCACTTCATTCTGCGCCTGCCTTGCCTCTCCTCTTCCTGGATAGCACATCTCCCGTCTCAGGTGGAGATCGGATGAATGTTTGCACCCATCCTCCCGGAAGCCCCACTAGGCTCTAGAGATTTGAAGTTGCTCATTATTGTTCCATAGTGACATTTTCAAGTTTTAGGATATCTCAAGTTTTAAAACATTTGGGGGTTTTAGGAAACCCCTGTAACTCTAATACTGGCTTTCTCATTGTGGGTGCTATTGACCTTGTGGGCAGGACTGATCTTTCTTGCATGGCCTCAGAAACACGTGACCCACGTTCAGAAGTCCTGAACCCTGAGGACGGAATGCCAGTGGCACCTTCCCCCAAATCGAGTAAACAACCAGCATCATTCCCACACATTTTTAAAAGCTGCAGGGAACAGGACAACACAATCTAAGGACGAATGAAACCCCAAAACTTGACAATTCACCTATAAAATATAAGAAAAGCCCTTGTCGTGCCCTCGCATGCTGGTCAAAGTGCTCTCACTTACACTCTTTTTGGAGATGTCCCCCAGGGGTGCTGGGCAGGAATATTTTTCCTCTCCTCCATGCCCACCCCATCCCCAGCCAATCCCCCTCCCCTAGTTTCCCACAGCAGAGGCGAGACCGGCTGGAACACGGAATGAAATTTATTGAAGAGAAACATATACTGAAACTATTGAAGAGAAGGAAACCACAATACAGAGAGAAACTGTAAACAGCCACCACAGGACACAGGTCCCAGGCCCCCTCCTCCTGGGGTTCCTGGCAAGGCACGTCATCTGCTCCCCCTCCCGCTGCTGCCCCCGCTGCCACCTCCCTCCTTCCCGAGGGCCCCAGGGTCTGCCTTTTGCCAGGACAGTGGACTCTGGCAGTGTCCACTGGCTTCAGGGAGCCCCCTCCTGAGCCCATCCCTATGGCCTTCACAGGACAGTCACAGAACACTGGGAAACACCAGGGAACACCCCACCAGGCTGAAGAAACTGAGTCACAAGTAACAACAGGGGTGAAACGCCAAAGCATAGTTCTTGTGGATCCTCACGCAGCCCCGCTGTGCCCCGGGTCCGGTTCTTCTTCCCGCAGTCAGGGTCACCATCGTGGTCACGGGGTGAGCGTCCGCCGTGCCCTGGTGCCTCCTTCCCGCCATCTCCTGGGACTGCGCTGGGGGTCTCCGGGGAGAGGCTGCTCAGAGAAGAACACACGCAGCTCCACGAGAACAAGCAGCCCCTGGCCTAGATCTACGCCAGGAAAGCAGAGGTGGTGCTCACGATGCAGGACAGCAGCAAGCAGAGCCTGGGCTCGCAGGAAGCTCACAGCACGTGCCCCGGGCCCAGAGGTGGCCGCCTGCATGGGCGCACAGTACATGACTTTTCGCAGAAATGATGGCTAGCAGTGGGTGGGCGTCTGCTGGGCGCGTGGGTCACACAGGTGAGGGTGAGCTTCCCGGAACAGAGGGCAGCCTGCCCCGGAGATGGCAAGTGGGCTGACCCCTCTTGAGAGACCCAGGCAGCTGGCAACCTTGAGAGGGCCTCTTTCCCCCTGTCTCTCCCAACTCACGGCCTGGGTTGGGGGCAGACATCTTCAGGTGCCCCCACCCAGGCCACAGCTGCCCACTCAGGGCTCCCTCCAGGCCAGCCCCCCGTGGCGGCAGGGTTTGGGGCTGGGGCTGGGTGTGCTGGGTGCAAGGGAGCGGGGGGGCGCCTCTCCCCACCCCATTTTGTATCAAACGTGGTCATCCGGGTCACAGGGAAGGAATGGGGGTGGTGGCCAGAGCCCCTTGGGGGAGGTGGGGGGCCCTTACTCCTGAATGTGGGGTGAGGGACTGGCCCTGGCCTGGCCTCTGTCTGCCTCCAAGGCGCTGCTGCCTGAGAGGAGAGGAGGCCCCGGGGCCCTAGGAGCCTATTTGCCCTGGGAGGACTTGGGCTGGCCCTCGTCCCCGGCCCCATCCTCATCCTCGTTTTCCGGCTCCTCCAAGATGGTCTGGAGCCCCTCCAGTGGGGGTTTCCTGGCTTCCTGGCCTCTCACCTGGATGAGGCCCTCTGGACCCCAGCTAAGACCTCTTGGGAACACCCAGACAGCACTGCTCATCCGGGCTGGGGAGGAGCCCCAGGGGACCTCTATGGGCCTTGCCTGACCTAGGCCTTCGGGGCCTGCAGGGGCACTTTCACCTTCCCCAGCGGCAGGGGCTCCCCTTGCAGCCTCTTTGGTGGCAGAAGCGGCCTCGGCAGCATCTTCTGCTCCGGGACCAGCCTCGCTGGCATTCCCCTGGGCTGGGGAGGCCTGGGCAGCAGCTGGGTCTTCACTCTCCACTGGGGCCGCTGCCCAGGCCACACCCTGCTGGCTCCTCGCTGGGAAGGCTGCCCATGCCTCCATCTCCCGGATGAGCCGGAGCAGCCCCAGGAAGCCAGGTGGCCTCTTCTCCAGCTGCATCCCTCTCAGGGTATCCTGGAGTGCCTCGCTGGGGCGGGCCCAAGACAGCACCTGCTGTAGTCGCAGGTAATTGGCCAAGGCTGGGCAGACGGCCCCCTTCTCCACAGCCCTCTGCAGCAGGCCTTCCAGGCGCACCACGAAGGCAAACAGCCCCTCCTGGGGCCCCTGCGTGCAGGTCAGGAACTTCAGCCTCGAAGTCATTCGAGTGTCCTGGTTCCTAAATACCTGCCCCAGCGCCGCCAGGCAGTCCAGCGCGGACAAGTTGGTATCTTCCTCCAGGAGGCCGCTCACGACTTCCAGGGCCGGGCCGCCCAAGCTCTCCAGCAGCCACCTCTTCTTCTCCCTTTCCGACGCATGGCACCACAGCTGCAGCATATCCTTGGCATGCTCCACCCAGCTCTCAAAGGACTCTTCCTCGCAGCCTGGCTGCTCCCTCCTGGAAAAGGGTCTCAATTCCCGGTAGGCCCTGTTTTCCAGCACAGGCTGTAGGGTGCAGCGCCAAGGCTGGACCCAGGCTTTTGTTACATTTGTCCCTCCTGCTTCACCCACAGCTCCTGCCTCACCTGCAGCTCCTGCCTCACCCACAGCTCCTGCCTCACCTGCTGCTCCTGCCTCACCCACAGCTCCTGCCTCACCTGCTGCTCCTGCCTCACCTGCTGCTCTTCCCTCACCTGCGCCTCCTGCCTCACCTGCTGCTCCTGCCTCACCTGCGCCTCCTGCCTCACCTGCTGCTCCTGCCTCACCTACACCTCCTGCCTCACCTGCGCCTCCTGCCTCACCTGCTGCTCCTGCCTCACCTACACCTCCTGCCTCACCTGCGCCTCCTGCCTCACCTGCTGCTCCTCCCTCACCTGCTGCTCCTGCCTCACCTGCGCCTCCTGCCTCACCTGCTGCTCCTGCCTCACCTACACCTCCTGCCTCACCTGCGCCTCCTGCCTCACCTGCTGCTCCTGCCTCACCTGTTGCTCCTGCCTCACCTGTGCCTCCTGCCTCACCTGCTGCTCCTACCTCACCTACACCTCCTGCCTCACCTGCGCCTCCTCCCTCACCTGCAGCTTTTGCTACTGCTTGACCCTGGGGCTGTGCAGGAAAACTGGGCATATCCTGAAACTCAATAACAGGTACTTGGGGCAGGAAGATCACTTTCCAGGGCCCCCCATTGCCTGGTATTTGATGGGGAATCAAGCTTCGGTTTAAATACTCAGCGAACTCCACCAAGGCTGCCTTGGCCCCGAGCTCCTTTCTGAAGTGCTTGGTGAGTACTCGGTACCTGCCCAGGGGCGACAGGGCAGCCCGCACGGCCTCCTGGAACTCATGTTCCTTGCAGTCATCAGGGATACCCAGGATGAGCAGGGAGCGCTCTGCGTTCGCACCCATCCACCTGCACCAGTCCCGAAGCATCGCCAGAGCCATCGCAGAGGACTTGAGGGAGGGAGCCTGATCAATCAGGAATGTGTGCTGACTGTTGCAGTCTCCGACACAGCCTGTGAGTGCAAAGAGAGAAGCTTGTTTGTGCCAAACACTCACTCCCACCACTCATCTGCCCCTACGTGTGTGGGGGTGAGGGGGCAGGGCTGGAGTTCCTCTGCCTCCTTGTTTTGTCGCTTTGATTTTAGTGAAATTTTGATGGCAAAATTAAATTTATTTGCAAGATACAGGGCTAGTCACATTTTCTATGCTACTTGGTGCCATTTGTAGTAAGTTACTTTTTTTCCCCCACAAAGGAATTGGGAAGCTTATCTCAGTTTTCAAAACTTTTGATAAAAACTTGTTCACAATATTCCCTCTTTATCTTTTTAATGTCTATATGATCTGTAGTAATATCCTGTCCTTCATTCCTGATATTGATTAGTGTTCATTCTCTCTTGTGTGTTGTGTGTGTGTGTGTGTGTGTGTGTGTTGTTTTTTGTTTGTTTGTTTGTTTTTTGAGACAGGGTCTCACTCTGTCACCCAGGCTGGAGTGCAGCAGCTTGATCTCGGCTCAGTGCAGCCTCGACCCCCTGAGCTCAAGCGATCCTCCCACCTCAGCCTCCTGAGTAGCTGGGACTACCGGCACATGCTAACACACGTGGTTAAATTTTTTGTACTTTTTGTAGAGAAGGGGTCTCACTATGTTGCCTAGGCTGGCCTTGAACTCCTGGGCTCAGGCAATCCTCCCGCCTCAGCCTCTCAAAGTGCTGGGATTACAGGCATAAACCACTGTGCCTAGCCCCCTCTCATCTTAATTAGTCTTGCTAGGGTTCATTAATTTTGGTACTCTTTAAAAAGCCTAATATCGGGGTTTACTGATTGTCCTTTTTATCTCTGTTATTTCTTTATTTGACTCATTCTGTGTTTACTTTTGCTCTTTTTCGAGCTTCTTTAAATGGACTGTTCGGCCATTGATTTTATGTTCTTTTTTTCTGTTATGAGCACTGAAAGCAAGAAATTTTCCTCTGACCACTTCCTTCCTTCCAAATGGCTAGTAATTTGGGTAAGTTGAATGTTTTGTGCAGTTTGAAATATCTTGTAAGTTCCTTGGTGATTTCATCTTTGACCCATGGATTTCAAAATATCTAGACATATGTTATTGTTATTAATTTCAAATAAAATTCCACTGTGATCAGAGAACTTATGAAAACGTGCGATCCTTTTCAGTTTCTGAAGATTTTTAAATGGCTCGACATATGGTCTATCTAAGTGAATGTACAATTTGCCCTTGTCATGAATCCGTATTTTCTACAGAGGCCAAGGTCTGCCCCCTCCAACCACTGCAACTCCTGTCGCCATTCCCCACGAAGAGGCGACCTGAAGCCTTTCCAATTCCACCTGTAGGGGGCCAGGCTCCTCACGGCACTGCCACGCCGACAGCCTCCAGGGGGCGCTCACCGTCGCCTGTACCACTGGCCGCCAGGCAGCCTCCGGCTCCGCACCCCGTGCACCCTTAGGCATTGGCCCTCCTTCCAGCCCATCCCCCACCGCACACCGGGGACAGTCCCTTCCTGCCCCCAACGTGCCCTTCCACACTGGGCGCCCCCTAAACCCAGCTGGCAGCACTCCAGTCTAGCCCCGGGCAGCAGGGCGTCCCACGTGCTTAGACATGAGCCTCCCTCTGTGGCCTCCCCACAGCCAGGGGCCCGACAATCCCGCCCTCCACCCCCAAGTCAGGAGCCCCCATAGCCCACAGAGGCAGGGCACCCTCCGCTCTGGTCGGCCCTCCACCGGGCTTAGGAATCACCTCTGCCCTCACCCACCCAGCCCTAGGACCTGACCACGGCACCCGCCAGGGGCCGTCCCCTCTCGCGCCTCAGACCCAGGCTGGGCCGCCCTCCGTCCCGCCCCACGCTTGGAGCCCGCCAGCCTGCTCTCCCACGTGGCGCTCCACAGCCCCCTTGCCCTCCCACCCCAGGGAGCCCCCTCCCGACCCCCAGCCCCACAGCCGGAAGCCCTCGACACCCCCTCACCCCAGCACTGGGCGAGTCACCCTCCCTCTTGCCTCTTCTACCCCGCGTGCTTGGCGACCCTCTCCGCCCAGGGACCCAGGGGTCCTCCTCTGGCCACCCCGCACTGAGGAACCCCTCCCCTCAGCCCTCCTTCCAACCGCCCTCCCGAGGGGGCCTTCCTTGGCGGGAAGCCCACCGTGACAGCCACGCCGCACCTAAACCGGGCCAGGCGGGACCGCCGCCCCCCAGCTCCGCAGCCGGCTCCTCACGGCCTGCCACACCGCCTGCCCCCCCCCCACACCCCGGGAACCTCCTGGGCCGCCATCCTGAGCTCCGGCAACACCTCCTGGGCCTGGGTCCTGGCAAACCCCCGCGGTCTACTCACTTTCTCAAACTCTGGGCAATTCCGGGTCTCTCAGTGGGAAGTCAGATATCTGGGTCTCTCCGAAGGGTCTGAAGAGATCACCTCAGCTCCGCAGCGTGGAAGCGTGTGGCTCTCTGAGGCACTTGGCGCCAACAGTCACCCGGGCTCCCAGAAACCCCTGGTTCTCCCGGAAGCCACAGGGAGTTCCGAAAGAAAGTTCCAGACTGGTGTCGCTATGCAAGGCAAATGATTGGATAGGGAGAGCACAAGAGAGGAGCACGTGGGAATGCACTGTTGTTACCATGACGACTACACGTGAATCAAAAGGTGGAAAGGCTCGAAGCCCAGAAGCGGCAGGCACACCGATTGACCCTCCGCCAATGGAAAGGCCTGCCCACGAGGATCGGCGGAGTACATTTGCAAAGCGAAAGTTCATTGCGGTAAATCGGTCCAATTTTTTCCACTGTTTGCTTTCCAATGTGCTTGGTAATGTCATAAAAAGATCCTATGTTTTGTTTTGTTTTGTTTTGTTTTTTGTTTATTTGGTTTTTGTTTTGTTTTGTTTTTGTTTTTGTTTTTTTAGACTGAGTCTTGTTCTGTCGCCAGGCTGGATTTTTTTTTTTTTTTTTTTTGAGACTCGCTCTGTTGCCAGGCTGCAGTGGCGCAATTTCGGCTCACTGCAACCTCCGCCTCCCGGGTACAAGCGATTCTCCTGCCTCAGCCTCCCGAGTAGCTGGGACTACAGGTGCGCACTACCACGCCCAGCTAATTTTGGTATTTTTAGTAGAGACGGGGTTTCACCATGTTGACCAGGATGGTCTCCATCTCTTGACCTTGTGATCCGCCCGCCTCGGCCTCCCAAAGTGCTGGGATTACAGGCCCTATGTTTTTATTGATCCCTTTTCTAGCAGTAACAATGACTGGGGCAGGAGTGTTAAAATCTCCAATTATAATTGTGAAGATGCCGATTTCTGTCTTTATTCTGTCAACTTTTGTTTTATGTATTTTGAAGCTCTGAAGCTCTGTTATTGGGTGCAAACATATGTATGAATTCGATGTGTTCCTGATTAATTGATCCTTGTATCATTATTACCTTTTATTTTACCTTTTCAGCAATAACATTTTGCATTGTTTTCTAGTGGTTGCTCTAGGGATTCCTATATATATCCTTTACTTTTCACTCTCTACTTACAGTTTACATTGTACCACATCACCTAAATTTAAGACCATTTTCATTATACAGATTACTGCCCCCTGCACCCCGTCCTTTATGCTATAGTTGTCATATATATATCTACATGTTATAAACCCTATAATACATTATTTATAATTTTACCTTAAACTGTCATGTGTATTATAAATAACTTATAAAGATAAAATAAATATTCCTTGATATTTACCCACATATTTTGTTATTCATTTCTACCCAAAGATCGAGATTTCCTTCTTTTCCTTAAGATCGAAAGTCTTTCTGTAGCATTTATTTTAATGCAAGTCTGTTGATGAATTCTCTTAGCTTTCATGTATCTCGAAACATCCTTATTTCACCTTCATTCTTAGGAGTATTTTCCCTGGATATAGATACAGAGTTCTGAGTTGAAAGGATTGTTTCTTCTCTCTCACCACTTTAAAGATCCTGTTCCATTCTCTCTTGGTTTCCATTACTTCTGATGAGAATTCAGTAGAACTTGTGAATGTTCTCTTCTTCTTCGAGTTGCATTTTACTGTTTTCACAATTCACTCATTACTCTTTGTTTTCGGTACTTTGACTGCAATGTGCCTACACGTGTTTTTTCTTTGTATTTATCTTCCTTGGAATTCACTGAGCTCCTTGAATCTGTAAATTATGTCTATCTCCAAATTTTGGAAATTTCAGTCATTATTTCTTCGAGTAGTTTTTCTTCCCCATTCTCTCCCTTCTCTCCTAGGAGTCCATATACACATTCATTAGACCTCTATATATTGTCCCACAGCTCACTGAGGCGCCCTTTTCATTTTTTCCTCTTGGTTTTTCAGAAAAGATTATTTCTATTTATCTGTAAGTTTGCAACTCACCTGTCATCTACAATGTTATTAAGATCATCCAGTGAAGATTTTACTTCCAATGTTGTTTTTCAGTTCAGAACTTACCCTTGGTTCTTTACTTACACTTGCAACTTACACAGTCCTTGATTTATGACGGTTTGACTTATGATTTTTCAACTTTACACTGGCTTTACTGGGACATCACCCCAACCTAAGTCAAGGAGCATCTGGGTTTATCGGGACATTAAATGCATTTTCAAATTACCATATTTTTGACTTACTACTGGTTTGTCAGGACTTAACCACAGTAAGTCAAGGAACATCTATAGTTTCTATTTCTCTTCTGAAATTTCCTATTTGAAAAAATTCATAATCAGTGAGCAGTGAGATGGGTTTAAAAAAAAATGTTAGGTGGCTGGGCATGGTGGCTCACACCTGTAATCCCAGCACTTTGGGAGGCTGAAGTGAGCAGATTGCTTGAGGTCAGGAGTTTGAGATCAGCCTGGGCAACATGGAGAAACCCCATCTCTACAAAAAAATACAAAAATTAGCTGGATGTGGTGGCACATGCCTGTAATCCCAGCTACCTGGGAGGCTGAGATGGGAGGATTGCTTGAGCCTGGGAGGTGGAGGTTGCAGTGAGCCATGATCACACCACTGCACTCCAGCCTGAGTAACAGAGCAAAACTCTGCCTCAAAATAAATAAATTAATAAAGTATTAGAAGCATGCTTCTTTTTTTTTTTTTTTTTACACAGTGTCACTCTGTTGCCTAGGCTGGAGTGCAATGGTGTGATTATGGCTCATTGCAACCTCCACCTCCCAGGCTCAAGCAATCCTCCCACCTCAGCCTCCCAAGTAGCTGGGACTACAGGTGCACGTCACAATGCCCAGCTAAATTTTTTGTATGTTTTGTAGAGACAGAGTTTCACCATATTGCCCAGGCTGGCCTCAAACTCCTAGGCTCAAGCAATCCACCCACCTCAGCCTCCCAAAGTGCTGGGATTACAGGCAGAAGTGTGCTTTATCTCCTTAAGAATATATATTTTTTTAATATTGTGAATTACTAGGGTCATCTCAGAGGTTGGATTCTCTTGAATGCTTTTTTCCTTGAGTATCAGGACAATTCTTGTTTCTTGTAGTAATCTAGCATTATATCCTAGACACTGTCCATAATGAGTTCTAGTAGCTTTGGCTTCTTGGTTTCTGTTATATTTCTCCGAAGATGAGTCATTGTTTGTTATTGTTGTTGTGGTGGTGGTGGTGGTGGCGGTGGTGGTTTGTTGTCCTAGTAGACAACTAAACTAGCTAAACTCACACTAAGTCTCCCCTGTGTTGGGTATCAACTGCAATCTCCAGACTCCGTTTCCACGGTATTGGGCATCAGCTGAAACCTCTGCTCAGTTCTTTTCTTGGACTCTGCCTTGTGTATTAATAGCCCTGGGGTCAGCCAGAGATTTGGGCCAAGTGTACAGGCCAAATACGGGGCTCCTCCACATGGTGCTTCTCTGCTCCCAGGTGATACCCCTCATGCTTTCCCTCTCCCGTGGCCATCCCAAAGTCTACTCTCTGAGTCTCTGAGTTTTGGTCACCCAGCACGGTGTCCTCTGTGGCCCATGCTCACATGTAAGAAACTCACCTAGTGCCAGTCTCTTCTTCGAGGTGTTAACCCCCTATGGTTTCTGCCTCTACTGCTTAGTCCCTCATGCCATCAGAAGGTTTTGTTGTTAGTATTTCATCCTGGTTTCATAGATGTCATCTGTGGGAGGGTTGGTCTGATAGGAGTGACTCCACCATTGCCGAAGGCAGAACCTGACTTAAGTTTTAACAAGATCCCTGGGGCCAACACTATGGCAAGTTTTAACAAGATGCCCCGGATGACAGTTTCGCTGTCGCCTTGTGAGTGACCCTAAGCCGGAACCTCCCAGCTAAGCCACCAGGAGTAATTTGTTATGTAGTGATAGATAACTAAGGCTCTAACCCCCACTTTGCTTCAAGTGTTGTCGCCTCTCCAACCCATCCTCTCATTCATGGGACCTGATGCAGTTATCATAGGTGACTAAAAAGAGGATTTGAAGAATACGTCCACAAACTCTGTGATACTCCCCTTTCAAGAGGTGTAGCTGGATCCCTCTCCCTTTGAGTGGAGTCTAGACTTAGTAACAAAGAGTTCAGCAGAATCTGTGGGCTGTAACTGGCAAGCGTGGCTTCTCAGAGAAGGCAGCGTGTGTCTTGGGTGCTCTCTCTTACCTTCTTGCACTTGTTTCCCCTTTCTCCTTTCCTCCCCCGCCCTTTCCTCCCTCCCTCTCCCTTTCCCCACCCTTCACTCTGTCTCCCCACACACACATAGATCCCCCTGCCTCTCTCACTCTCTCTCTCTCCCTCACCCCCCAAAATAGATCACTGTTTTGCAGGAAGCCCTGCTATGAGCAGCCCTATGGAGAGGCCCACGTGCTGAGGAACTGAGCTACTTGCCAACAGCCATGTAGCCACGTGAGTAAGCCTGGAAGTGGATCCCTCAGCCCCAATTAAGTCTCAGAGGCTGCTGCCCTGGATGAAAGTTTCACTGTTGCCTCATGAGTGACCCTAACCCAGAACCCCTCAGCTAAGCCATTGGGAGTAATTTGTTATGTAACAATAGATAACTAATACTCTAATATCCCCTTAATGCCCAGCAGTCTACAGTGGCCGGTGAGATTTCCTCCAAGCCTACTCTTCTGAGCAGCATTGTCTTAGTAAATGGCACCAAAAGTCACCCAGGGAGGCATTGCCTGGTGGGCCATCAATCCCGCAAGTAATATGAAGCCTCTAAATATTCATAACCATGAACAGACACCAATCTTAGAGGAAAGATGAAGTAAGAAGAGTCAAAAAAGGACTCTGCAGAGAGCTGCTCAAGTTCTGAGAAGCAAACCAAGGGCCAGTGGCATCCTGAGCCCGGGGAGGGGAGCATTTAAAGCAGCGGGAGATTCGACGGCATCGGCGGAGAGCTAGTCCCTCAGGGTTCTCAGTTGCACATAACAGGAACAGACTGGCTGATGGAAGCCCAGGGAAAACCAGCTAGAGGGTATCCCACAGGCGTACCTCGGGCCTCACACTCAGTGGGTAGTGGGTGTATCTGATTGGTAGAGCCTGGGTTAGGTGCCCATGCCATAGCTACAAGGGAAGCTGGGAAAGCCCAGACATTTTCCACTCCTCTTTTGGGAGGGAAGCTCCCCATCAGGTGAGAGAATTGCATGTGCAAAGGTCCTGGAGCTGGAAGGGACATGGAGAGTACTGGGCTGAAAGGTCGGTGTGACTGCAGGGTTGGGGATGCCACGCACCAATGCTGCGGAGGCCAGACAGTGCAGACCTCATGGACCTCAGAGGGGTTTCATCTTCATCCTGAAAAAGCTGAGAACTCACTGACAGATGTGAAGCCAGTGCTGCACATGCACGCACAGACATGTATTTGTGTGAGTGACACGAACTCATTGCATTCTAAAGAGTTATCTCTGGTTTCTTTGTGGAGAAATTATTTGGGGACCAGAGTGGATGCAGTAAGACTAGCTAAGGGTGGCTGGAGTTGTCCTGTGAGAGATAACTAGCCTAGATGACATCAAGGACAGTGTCATGGAGCAGATAGAGAGGGTCCGTTTAACAGACCTAAAACGTGCAGAGAACTAACCAGACACCGTGAATGATGGGAGGTGGAGGGTGGGCAAGGGATGTATCCCCACTTTCTGGCCTTTGACACAGGCGTGTTCCATTCACTGCAGCTGGGGACTTGGTAAGAGCGCTAGCCCTGGCACGAGATCACAAGCTCAGTTTTGGATGTGTGCATTGGCGCATCCAAGTGCAAATACCAAAAAAGCAGGTGCATCCAGGTGGGGACATGCCAGGCACTGAGGCTGGGGAGGCCAGCCAAGAGGCCAGGCACAGCCACGCTCCAGCTCAGCCTCCGGGCCAGTAGATGGCTAAGCCTTCTCCTCTGCCAGGAAGTCTTGGCAAGGCTGGGTGACTCTTCAGCTCCTTACCCTTGGTGACCCTCCTGGCTTTGGTCCCTATCACCTGAAGGAATGTCTGGAGACTAGACACTGCTGGCTGCCCTCCCAGCAGCCATTCCCCCTCTTTTTTCCTCAGTGGACTCCTGCTTGTTTTAGAGTCGGGGTCTCGCTCTGCTGCCCAGGCTGGAGTGCAGTGGGGCCATAATAGCTCACTGCAGCCTCAAACTCCTGGGTTCCAGTGATCCTCCCACTTCAGCTTCCCAAGTAGCTTGGACTACAGGTGCATGCCACTGTGCCCAGCCAAAACTTTTTTATGTTTTGTAGAGATGGGGTCTCACCGTGTTGCCCAGGCTGATCTCAAACTCCTGATCTCAAGCAGTCCTCCTGCCTCAGCCTCCCAAAGTGGTGAGATTACAGGCATGAGCCACCATGCCCGGCTAGAAGCCCCTTTTTGTTCCAGCCTCCGTCCCTCCCCCACGTGGCTCAGGGCATGGTGACTCCCATCCCCAAATCCACAGGTGGCTCCTGATTGGTTCAAATGCAGCTGCACATGTGTTCCTGGGGCAACTGTTAGTGATCCGAGCAGTCCATGGCCCAAATGGCCCAGTCAGACCAAAGGGAAGTTTTCAGATTTTATCCACAGAGGAGGGGCCTCTCTTTCCTTGAGCAGGAACAAGGAAGCACGTGATCCCAGCGGACACTGACAGACATTCTCTAGCACACAGGCAGCAGCCTGAAGCCAGAGCCAAGACTTGAGGTTGGAAAGAGGCTGGGGCCTGGGTGACAGCTCAGGACAGTGAAGCCACTGGAGGGGGCACCATAAGGATAGCTGTGGCCACACTGGGAGGGATAGTTGAGAAACAGTTGTGATCAGACTGGGAGAGTCAGTGAAGGGAGAGGGAGGCCGTCCTGGGAGGGACAGTGAGAACGGCAGTGGCCACACTGAAGAGGATCAGCAGAGGGCCAGTGGTGGCTCCCCTCTGGGACATTCAGGAACCGGAGCCACAGCTGCAGCCATGAGAGAAGCTGCCACTCAGGCAGTGGACGGCCACCTCCTGGGGCAGGTGCCCAGCTGAGCTTCAGGGCCTCAGGCTTCTGAAGGCCAAGACAGCCTGCCCTGAGGCCTGGGCATTGCTCCCTCCTGGCACCCAGGCCTGACACTATTGCCCCTACCGGCCTCATCCTGAGGGTCCCATCAATCCTCAGGGGTCGCAGGGTTGGACAAACTGGCCCACATGACACAAGGCATTCTCCATGCCATGAGCCACGCAGTACTCCGACCCTTCTGCAGGGTCAAGGAGCAACCTGCGTGACCTGAGGCATTGCCGCGTGCATTCCATCCCCTGCTTTCCCCAGAGCCACTGTCTCCTGGGACTGCAGCCTGGACATCCCCTCCCCCACTCACTGGCTGCACCCCATCTACAGCACTTTTCTGGCAGGGGGGCGGAGGCAGGAGTTGCAAAAACAGCTCATCCAGTCCAGACACACATCCTGTCCCCACAGGAGCTCACAGTCGCCATCACCCTCAGTGGATATCTGAGGCTGGCAGCATATTCCCAAGGCTCTGCATGCAGCCCAAGACCACCTCCCTCCAAGGGCACTCCAGCAGAGCAGTCAGCCACAGCCCAGCTGACCCCTGGGAGAGGTGCCGCCCTGACCCCTGCCCTGCTGTGAAGGTGGCTTACAGCCCCCTTTGGCCTGGCCTTCCCCAACTTGCTCACTCACTTCCCACAGACAGCTTGACGTCACCCTGGACCTCCCTGCTGGGCCCCTGGGCACCTGCTGTGGCTTGGGAGACCGGCTGCCAACCTGCCCCCAGGAGGGGGCTGCCTGTGACCTGGCGGGTGCCCACGGCACAGTGGGCAGCACCACAGCTGTGGGAAAGCGCCCACTCCCCTGCCCCCCGGCTACCTCACCTGCCCGTCCTGGGCCAGCCTAGGGCAAGGGGAGAACGGGAGACCAGAGCTGGGGAGCAGCCAGGCCAGCCGGACTGTGAGAGGGCTAGGTGTGGTGGGAACCCAGGGAGGAAAGGGGACCTCCCCACTTCCAGACCCCAACTCTTCCTCCCCAGGTTCTGAATCCGGGTTTGCTGCCCGGGAGGCCCTGCCCCTGCCTAAAGCAGAGATGGAGATACCTCTCTCAGGAGGCCCCAGGCCTCAGGGCCACAATAAGGGGAGTGGAGAGGAGGAGAGAGGGCCGTGTGAGGACCGCCGGGAGGGCCCGTGTGCCCTGTCATCCTCTCTAGGTTGGGCATGGGTTTGCAGTTCTTTACAGTAAAAAACTGAAAACATGCTGGAAGGGAGATTGATCTCCCGACAGGATCGTGGGCTTGTCAAGGTCGTCTTCACTTGCTCTAGGCGTCGCGCTCTTCAGCTGACCGCGCTGCCGCCTCCACCACCAATGTGTCCACACACGCGGTGCCAACAATGGTGCACACGGTGACCCCTGCTCCCCCATTTCTAAGCTTGTGTGGGACCCGCAGCCCAGTGCACATGGCCCTTTCTCTTGCAGTGGAAGTGGGGTGCACTCCCAGGGGCCCCCTTCCCCTGCCCGAGGCACACACTCCCCAGCCTCCATGCAGGTTGGCCGCTCACACTCTCTGGAAATGAGCCAAGGACAACAGGAGCTGCCTTCCCAAGGTCGCCCCAGTCCCCACCAGGTTACTGGATGATGCGGGTGCAAAGGTCCCCCCGCCCCCTGCCTCCATGGCCCAGGAGGACTCTGGGCTCAGCCTATTCCCTCGTGTCGGAGTGGCCTGGGCTGCCGCAGCAAATGACCACAAACCGCTTGGCTTCAGCCAACAGGAATTGACTCTCCCAGTTCTGGAGGCCGGAGTCCAGAATCGGGCGCTTCCTCCGGTGGCTCTGGGGGTGGATCCACCCACCTCTTCCAGCTTCTGGGGGCCCTGGGCACTCCCCACCTTCGCCTCCACATGGCCTTCTCTGTGTCTCTCTCTCCTGTCTCTTCTAAGGAAACTGTCCTTGGATTTGGGGCCCCCTGGATCATCTGGGTTGCTCTCATCTCCACATCCTCAATTTAATGACATCTGCAGACACCCTTTATTTGCATATAAGGCCCTGATCACAGTGCCTGGGTGTTAAGATATGGATGTATCTTTCAAGGGGCACCAACCAGTCACCCCACAACATCTCAACAGCCCAGATCCCAGCCTGCCCAGCCAGAGCCCCGGTGAAGGGACAAGCTTGGGCACCAGGACACACAGCTGAGGGCCACCGGGAGACTCCCTGCCTCTGCGCCGGGAAAGGGGCTCCGAAGCTCTCCCTGCACTGGGCCCCCTGGGGGCCCTGCTCCCTGCAACCGGAGGTTCCCTGAGCAGCGTCCTCGCCCTTCCCCTATGCCCCAGATGGACGGCTTTTGTTCTGGGAGCGCAGGCTTGCCGAGGGCTCCTTGCTGCGGGCTAAGTGCTCCTGGCCAGGGCCCAGGGTCTCTGAAGAAAAGAAACCCCTGAACTCTGGTTCAAAGGCCAAGGAGGCTCCCGCCTCGTGCTCAGTTCCCAGTGGCCGGGGCTGGGATATGTGATGTGGCTGATTTTTCCCTGTTGCTTTTCTTTTACGGTCTTTTTCATACGCTTCACTATTTGTCAAAGGTCTCACAATTGTCATCAGAGCAATATCCCAACCAACCTTGGATTTCACTCCCTGCTCTACCACGTGGAGCATGACCCTTTGGAAAATGACAAACTCCAGGTGCGATCCCCTCCGGTAACCTGAGGGAAAGCCAGATGCACCCAGAGGGTCTTGGCTTCTTGCACTTCCCTGACCTCCTTTTTCCCCTCCTCGTGTCTCCACACCATGCTCCCTGAGTCACCTTTCACCTCTTCCCCGCTCTCTGATCCTTGCCATCCTGGGTCACTCCTTTACTGAGTGACCATGGCCGGGGTACTTGGTGCTAGCTGCCCTGCAGAGGTCCCGGGGACCCCAGCGAGATGAATAACTGAATGAATGGACGTAATAACGCCCAGGGGTCTAGCCCATGGGAGGTGTTCTGCCAACGCGGGTCCCTCCCGTCCCCTTCAGGAGCCGCGGTGCGCTGACCACTTCGACCCCAGCCTTCAGAGCAGCCCAGACAGAAAGCGGAAGTGCCTCGGGGCGCGTGGGGAGCCAGGCCAGACGCCCCTGTGGGGCGGGCGCGGGGCGGGCCGCCATCCCTCTGCGCCGCGCATGCTCCATGCCCCCCCCACAACGCGCCCCGTTCCCACGCTGCCGCCGCCCCGGCCCCGCCCGCTCCCGGCCCGCTCGTCGGCGCACCAGACTGAGACTCCCCTTCAGGACGCTCTTCGCGAGCGGTACCCAGAGGCGAAGTCGAGACAAGCCCAGGAGCCCCCACCCCCCGCCCGCGTTTCCTGGGGACGCGGCCTCGGAGGGCTTCTAGGAGGAGGCGGCGGCCTTGGCCTCGGGCCTGCCGGGAGCAGGAAGGGAGGCCGACTCCCTCGGCTGCCCGCCGAGCCCAGGTAAGAGGGCCGAGCTGGGCCGCAGGGGTGCGGGTAAGCGGGTAAGGGGCCCGTCTCGGCAGGGTGCAGGTGTCGAGGGGGACGAGGGAGCTGCGGCGGCGGCGACAAGCAGGGACTCCCTGGGAGGCGGGCTAGCACTGAGTGGCCGGACCAGCCCTCGGGGCCGCCCCGTACCAGGGGCGCCAGGGGAAGAGCCATCCAGGGCTGGGCGCTGGGAGCTGCGGCCCGTGTCTGTCAATTTCTCTCCTGATTGGTTTCCAGCCACCGGTCCCGAGGCTGGCTAAAGAGCATCCTGTCGCTGATCTGCCTGGTGAGTTTGGATTTTGCACCTCTGGGTGTGAGAGTGCTGGGCAGACTGGCATTGTGAGGTTGTGGCACCGCTGCCCAGGCACCGGCCCTGAGGGTCTCCAGATCGGGGCAGGATGCCCAAAATTGTGCTCCAGAGGGTATCAGGTGGGGGCTGGTGCCTCGCGGTGGTGCGGGATGTTGACCAGGTGACTGGCATGCCACGGAAAAGCATCAGCTTAGCCAAGCCAAGGAGGAAGCGAAGGGCCGATGGAAGTGGTGGGCAAGGGTGAGAGAAGGAGCCAGCTGAGCTGGGCAGAAAGCGGCACCCAGCGCTTCCCTACAGGGCTAGTTGTGACTGATTCACTCCCACAGATACCTCCTGAGCAAGCATTTGAGATCTGCCAGGGACACGGCGGTAGTAAGCCCTGCCCTGTTGTTCTCGTTCTAGTGGCTGAGCGCAGACAATAAGCAGAAAATGTTTTCCATTAGTAATTACAGAGTCTGTTAAAAGGCAGTAAGAGCCGGGGAAGGGAGGTCTGGTTGCCAGTTTAGGTGGTTAGAATAACTTATTCTAGAATAAGTCTCATTTCTACCAAAACTTGAAGGTGGTAAAAGAGCGAGGCATGTGGTTATGGTTTTGGAAGAGCATTCTAGGCACAAGGAATCCCCTGTACAAAGGCCCTGAGGCAGGGGTGGCCTGGCTCAAGGGAGCAAGAGTGTGGCAGGAGCAGAGGGAGGTGCAGAGGTGGGAGGAGGGTTGGGCAAGGTCAGGAAGGGTTGTGTGAGTTTACTCTGAGTGACACGGGCATCCCAGGGATAACTGTGAGCAGAGAAGGACAGGACCCGACCCGCCTGTTAGAAGGATCCCTCAGCGAGCAGCCTGGGTGGCCCCCTTTTGGCTAGGTTACCCTCTGCCCCCAGAGGGCAAGGCCTGCCCAGCTGCAAGGAAGCTCCTCAGAGGACTTTTTCAGGCTAGGCTGCATGGAGGGCCCCGGTCGACCCATGCAGCACCCAGGCCGGGCCTTGGCTCTGGGTTTCTCCAGTTTCCTTCTCCAGCCGTTCTGCCAGGTGGGCAGCAGGTGACTAGGGCCTCGGGCCAAGGAAAGCTGATGGGGCTGAGAGAAGCAAGATCCCCCAGGACGGAAGAAACCCAACCAAAGTGGTGATGCCTGTCCCTTGCTGTGGATGAAAAAGCCCAAATTCCTGCTCCCACCGAGTGGGACTGCTGGATGCTTTTCTGATTGTTGTTTGTTTGTGTGGGTTCTTTTTTCTTTTTCTGGGAATATCTCCCCATCTAGTGGTCGTCTTAAGGCATCCTGCTAGAGCCAGCTCTCCCCTTGGTTGGCCAGGCTTCCTTGCTGGCAGTGGCCCTGCTCTCATCCCCTTCCCAGCCCTCCCCGCGTGGAGCACCCTGCATACTCAGTTCCACCCATAGGCTAAGGTCCGCAAGCAGGGGTCCCGGGTCCGAGGCCCCTCACAGAGGTGGAGCAGCCCTGGAGGGGCCGGCAGTGGCACCGGTCACCCAGGTTGATGGGCCTTTCTGGCTCCTCACCTGAGGCGCCAAGGTCTGGTGGATTCTCACCTGTGTGCCCGATGCTGTGCCTCGGGGAAGCCTGGCTTCAGAGCCCAGGATTATCCTTCTGCTTGGCCTCTGCTCTGCTGGTCCCCAAAGGTCACAGGGTCTTGCTGGTCCAGCTGGAAGAAGCTGCTCTCTAGTTCCGCCAGGTGCCTTCCAGGTGCTTCTGTCCTCAGATGCACGGAGTAGTGCCCACCTGGGTGTTATTTGAGTTCTATGGGCACAGGGTTTGTCGTGTCTTTCTTTCCAGGAGTTGAAATTGTAGATGATTTTCGGGAACTAGCTCTCAAGGACAGGCACTGCTCTGGGTGACGGCTTGGTGTGGCCAGCACCTCCGCTGGGTCTTCCGATGCTGCACTTGAGTGCGGGTCTCCGTCTCTGGGCGGCCTCCCGCCGATGGGGTGTTCACTCAGGGGGTCACCACTCAACAGTGCTCTGCTCCCTTGGGGCTCAGACCTGCCTCAGTAATCTTGGGGTGGAGGGACTAGAGATAACTCCTCCCCCTTTCAACTTGTCCAAAATGGGTAGTGAACTTTCAGTACTGTTATGGTAAGGAAAAAAATGAGCTTATGCTGCTTTTCAAAACAATAATTTTATACTAGTCTGAAAGCACTGGCAAATTATCAGTAATACCTCCCCACGCACCTTTAGTTTTGCAGGGGTCCCAGTGACTGACAGTGTGTTATAATGAAATGAGGTGTGGCCTGCGGACATTAGAATGATTTTACCTACAGGAACATTTCTTTTCCCTCCTTTTTGATTGAGGTGAGATTCACACAACATAAAAATTAATTTTTTGAGACAGAGTCTAGCTTTGTCGCCCAGGCTGGAGTGCAGTGGTGCAATCACGGCTCGCTGCAACCTCAACCTTCCCAGTTCAAGCCATCACCCCACCTCAGCCTCCCAAGTATCTGGGACTACAGACACGCGCCACCACACCCAGCTAATTTTATGTATTTTTTGTAGAGATGGGATCTCACTATGTTGGCCAGGCTGGTCTCCAACTCCTGAGCTCAAGTGATCCACCCACCTCGGCCTCCCAAAGTGCTGGGATTATAGGTGTGAGCCACCACGCCCGGCCAAATTAACCATTTTAAAGAGAACAATTCAGAGGCCATTTAGTACATTCACCATGTTGTGCAGTCACCACCTCTACCTGGCTCCAGAACATTCTCATCGCCCCATAAGGAAACCTCTAGACCCATTAGCACTCACTCCCCATCCCCCCACCCCCGGGCACCCACCAATCTGCCTTCTGACATGATGGATTTACCTGTTCTGGACAGACATGTTTTATGAGAGTTAAAGGTTCTTTGGATGACAGGACCCTGGGATAGATGAAAGGCACAGCTTTTTGTTCTGTATAGCTCTGAACGAGAGAAGGCTGCCAGGCAGGGCCACACAGAGGTTAGACCCGGGGACCGGGAAACAGCAGCTGGGGCCGGAAGGGGCCAGCAGAGGCGGGTGGCTAGGTTTCTCCAGCTTCCTTTGGATTGATTGAGTTGCATAAGTTTTCAGGCTCCAGGACATAGGGGCTGTCCCTACTTGTCTGGTGCCTGGCCCCAGAGTGTGGGGGCCCAATGAGGCAGGGGCCGTTGGAGTGTGTGTTTGGTGGCCCCAGAGAGAGGGAAATTGTAAGAAAAGTGGTGGGAGTGGGGACTTAGCAAACTGCCCTCGAAGGGCATAGAGATGAGAGGTTTTAGCCACTATTTCAAAACTAGGTCAAGACGGCTCTTGGGAAATGTGATGTTACATCACAAAATGGAATCATACAATATGTGACCTTTCAAGTCTGCATCTGGCTTCTTTCACTGAGCAGTGTCCTCAGGGTTCATCCACATGGTAGCATGTGTCAGAATTTCCTTTCTTTCTATGGCCAAATACTTTTCCATTGTATATATAGGCTCATGGTGTTGGTCCATCCATCCATCGATGGACATTTGGGCTTCTTCCACCTTTCGGCTCTAGTGATTAATGCTGCTGTGAACACAGGTGCGCAAGGGTTTGTGTGAACCACCTGTTTTCAATTCTTTGGGGGTATATACCCAGAAGTGGAATTGCCGGGTCATATGATAACTATGTCTAACTCATTGACAAGCCACCAGTCTGTTTTCCATAGTTTTTTTTTCTTTTTAATCACCATCTTGCCTTTTTTGTGTCAGCTTTTCTCTCTTTCTCTTTGTGAAAGGTTTTAAAGTAAGTTGCATGCCATTCCCTCCCCCAAATGCTTCAATATGCATTTCTTTAAAAGGGACATTTTCTTCCATGACCCAGTGCCACTATCCATCCAACACATGAGCAGTTATGATCCCCTACTTCCTTCCGAGGGCCACCCCATAATCACCCTCTCCCAATGATCCCTAATCCCTTTGACGACTCTCTCATTTACGCCAGCATCTCATTGACGACCCCTCTTGCAGTTGGGTGTTGGACCCCGTAAATCTCTTTTCATCTAGAACAGCCTCTCTCCCCAGTCTCCTTTCTCCCCCCATGACACTGATTTGCAGAGGATACGGGACCCGTTGCTCTATGGAACAGCCCCTTTCTGGGTCAGGCAGGTTGCTTCCTTGTGGTGTCATCTATTCCCAAGGGCCTCTGGACACTGGACATTGAGTGCCAAGGCTGCGTTCAAATCCAGTCATATGGCTTTGGTAGGATACCTTCCTACTGCATCCTGGCAGCAGGACTGTCCCACCCTATGTCCCACTGCTAGGTTAGATTACTCTCTTGCAGCCCTCAAATAATCACAGGATGGCATTTTGATATGTGATACCCCTTTCTCTCTCAAGTCTTTAACCTAATGGTTTAGCATCCATTCCACCTTCAGGGATTCAGAACATCAGCTTATGTATCTTGGACCAATGTTGGCTGGCAGGTCATCATGGATGATAAGGGACTTTGGAGCAATTTAAATGCCAGGCAAATACTGTGGCTGTCCTTCTCTATGCTCCTGGGATCCTGTGCCCTCTCCCTCTCTCCTGTGGCGTTGTTGGCACAAACAAACTGTAGTCACCCATTGGAACATCAATAAAAGCTTGGAGACCAACAAAATGGAAATCCCAGGCAGAGAAGCAGAGAAACCAGGAAGTAGCTGGTGGGGGCGTGTGCTGAGAAAGGAACAATCTTTTACCCCCCTGTCCTAGTCCTCCTGTGTTGCTGTACAGGAATACCAGAGGCTGGGTAATTTATAAAGAGAAAAGGTTGCTTTAGCTCAGGATTTTGCTGGCTGGAAAGTTCAAGACTGGGCGTCTGCATCTAGTGAGAGCCTCAAGCTGCTTCCATTCAGGGTGGGAGTCTAAGGGGAGCTGGTGGCGCACGGCATGTGCAGAGATCACGTGGCCAGAGGGGACGCAAGATGAGGGGAGGAGCCAGGCTCTTTTTAACAATCAGCTCTCACAGAGCAAGGACTCACTCACCCCTGAGGGAGGGCATTAATCTGTTCATGAGGGACTCACCCCCACGACCCAAACAACTCCCATGAGGCCCCACCTCCAACACTGGGGATCAAATTGCAACGTGACGTGTGGAGACTCAGATATCCAACCCACAGCACTGACTGCCATCTGGCATTGAGAACTGCTGTGGAGAAGTCCTGAGGCCGAGGTGAATTTTGTCCACTTTGTCAATTTCATGTTCCCTACTCTTAGCCTGAAACTCAACTTCCTGCTGTCCCTCCAGGGTCCCACGTGGTGTCATCCTCTGCGCCTGTTCCCTAATTTTCAGCACCACGAATGCCAAATGCAGGACCATCTGAGGGCCAGGGTATGTGCTGTGCTGTTGGCTGGCTACTCTCTTTGCCACTTGCAGCCTCCAGCTCTCTGCCTGAATGTCACCCCTTCAGAGAGCACCCCCACTACTGTAGGTCCCCCTTGATTCTGCACTGCCCTCACCTCTCTTCTCTTCATTTTGCAAAGGGAGGTCGTACATGTGCATTTGGAGTTTCCTTAAGAATCCCGACCTGAGGGAAGGGGATTGGCAGTGGAGCTTCCAGGAATGGCTGGAAAGTTGGGGTCAGGGGACGCTGGCCACATGGGGAGAGAGCTAAGAAAAGCAGCAAAAGAAGAAAAGAAAGGAAAGAAGGAACGGGCTCCCTCGAAAGCCTGGTCAGGCGAGCGCCAGTATGGAAGTGGGCATGGCACCTCAATTGCAGAGAGTGTCCTGGGTTTGAATGGTGCCCCCCAAAAAGACATATTGAAGTCTCAACTCCTGGTATCTGTGACTGTGACCTCATTTGGAAAGGGAGACTTTGCAGCTGTAATCAAGGTAAGATGAGGTCATACTGTAGGAGCAGGGTGGGCCCTAATCCAGTGATTGGCATTCACAACAGACCAGGGAAATTGGGACACAGACACACACAGAGAGAGGATGGCCACACGAAGACAGAGGCCAAGAAGGATTGCTGGAAACCACCAGAAGCCGAAAATGGCGAGAAAGGGGCTTCAGTGGAGCGGGGGCCTGCCAGCACCTGGATCTCGGACTTCTGGCCTCCAGAACCGGGAGAGAAAAATGTGTCTTGCTTGAAGGCCCCGATTTGTAGTACTTATTATGGCCGCCCCAGGAAGCCATACAGAAGGTCTGATGGTGAGGGGCCCTTGGTGAAGCTGCAGGAGTGAGAACACCACAGGTGGCCGCTGTGCTTATTTCACAAGAAAAACTAAGCAGGGTCTTCAAGCAGGTCGCAGATTGGCTGCTCCAGGCTGCCCTGGGCTCACAGGGGGCTCTTTGCATTTCCCTTAGCTCCTCTGCGCCCTGGTGATGGCAGCCATTCTCCTGACCACGAGACCCAAGGTGAGTGGTGGCCCCTCTCCCTGGCCTCTCCCCCTGGCAGCCCCCGTCTGCTGCCTCCTCATGCCCAGGCCTCTCCAGCTGGGCTGAGCTTAGGCTGCCCTTAGCATCGTTTTCCTTTCCTGAGGCGCACAATCTGGGCTTCCTGCCTCTGTCGGCTGTGCTGCCTGTTTTTCTGTCTTACAACTCGTGCAACCCGAGTCTTTCCACCTGCTGAGCCTTCCAGGGCTCCCCCCGCCCCCCACATTTTGTTTCTGTCAGCTCCTCCAGGGGCCCAGGGGGTTGAATTCCCCTGTGGCCACAAGAATGCCTTATTTTAGGTGCCAGTATCTTTTGAGGATGTGTCCGTGTACTTCACAAAGACAGAATGGAAGCTTCTGGACCTCAGACAAAAGGTCCTCTACAAGCGGGTGATGCTGGAGAACTATAGCCATTTGGTGTCACTGGGTAAGTGATCCCTCCACGACATACACACACCCAGTCCCACCTACTCTGTCTCTGGGCTCAGTTTATTTCCGAGATTCCTGTTTGTCGGTTGCTATGAGCCCAAGAATAAATGCATTTCTCCATCAGACCAGTAATGCCAGTAATCCATTGCAGGCCAGCCGCCATCTCAGTAGGATGGTTTTTAGCTAAGTGGTCTGGACCTGTAAATGTTTTAGGTAAATGCGTTGGCCTGTAAGTTTCAGTACCAGTCTTATCTTGTGTATAAAATCGTGGATCGACTAAAGGTCTTTCTACTCAAAAGAGAGATGCAAATTCTACTGGAATATTTATGTGCACTCTTTTAGACTTAATTCGTTTCTATGACGGCTGCATTTTGCATCCGTTCCACTTTGTAAAATTTAGCAACATCTTTTCCTTCCATTGACCAGGGAGGTCCCACATAAGGACAAAGTGTAGACTTGGATTTCAAGCCTTGAGAAGTCCCGGGAGGAGCTGGGGCAGCTTGGAGCACACTGCTCTCCCCCTTCCATGCCAGTGCACACCCACTGCCGGAAGGGGCAGCAATTTTGCCAATTAAAGGGCAAAAGCAGGAGTCACAGGCTAGACGGATGGGGGCCGGAGCACTCAGGAAGGTTTTCAGGTGGGGTAAAGAACGTCTGAGGGTGCCAGTGACTTGCCCCCACCTCACGCAGCTGATGAGAGATGCATGCGTGAAACAGAGTGGGACTGGGCCTCTGGCTTTTCCCCCAGTGTGCCCAGCAAGGCTGGCTGCTGCAGCTAAGCTCAGACACTCCACTTCCCAGTGGAAATGGAAACACTCCACTTCCCCTTGCCGCTGGAGGGGAAATCCAGAGGGTCTTCAACATTGCACTCTACTGCCTTTGGGGTTGTGGGAGTCTGACTCCACAGATTTTGCCTCTGTAATCTAGCCCCATAGAGGGAAAGCAGCTTCATCCCCTGGATTCCTTCTGACACTCACCAGGCAGACCTGGGGTTCCAGGGAGGGGTCTGGGATCCTCAGTGGAGTTGGATGATGAAACAGGGCAATTCAGCTTTCGGGGCCTATGGCTGTCGGCCTCCCAATAGTCCCTGGGGCTTGCAAGCCCTTCTTCTGTCCCTCAGGGTGCCCACACACATCCCCGATTTCTCATGAGCTTCTCAGCCTCCCTGCAGGCCAGGTGACAAACACAGTTGTCCTCATGGCCCAAATCGCCAGCTACTGAAGATCTCCGTGCCCACCTGGCCCTGGACGCGCAGGAGCCCTTGCCCTCGTAGAGGGACTTGGCCCTTTCTCTGAGCCTTCCCAGTAGTGCTTTTTAGAGAGTTCTTTATTCTCTGTTACCTGAAGATATTGAGAATTGCCTGAGTTCAGGAGCGACCCTGCCCTCAGCCATAGTGGTCTTGACCTGCTTCATATTCCACGCCCAGGATTTTCCTTCTCCAAGCCTCACCTGATCTCCCAATTGGAACGAGGGGAAGGACCCTGGGTAGCAGACATCCCCAGAACCTGGGCCACCGCAGGATTGCACATAGGTGAGTGAGAGGTGCTCAACCAGCTCCCCATCGGGGTAAAAAGAAATAGCAGTGGCAAAGGGGGCGGGGGAGGGTACCCTGCCGCTTTGGGTGGGAAATCCTCTTTGGAGGCAGATGTCAATCTCCAGGTGTCACAGCAGCCCCGCTATCTCCAGCCCATCCTCCCGCCCCTTCATCTCTCCTGTCTGCCTGTGTGATGGCTTTCTGTTCTGTGGTCACCTTGCCCCATCCCCCTATGTTCTCACCTCCTGCTCGTTCATCTCTCTGACTTGGCATGAGGGTGACACTGCCTGGTGCTCTGTCTTTCCAGGTGACAGAACACAGAGCAAGACGTCGACTTCAACGCAGAAGCATTCTGGACGACAACTCCCCGGGGCCGATCCACAAGGTGGCAAGGAGGGGCAGGCGGCGAGGTCGTCTGTGCTCCAGAGAGGTGCCCAGGGCTTGGGGCAGAGTTCGGCTGCGGGGCCGCAGGGCCCCAAAGGCGCGGAGAAGCGGTACCTGTGCCAGCAGTGTGGGAAGGCCTTCAGCCGCAGCTCCAACCTCATCAAGCACCGCATCATCCACAGTGGCGAGAAGCCTTACGCGTGCCCCGAGTGCGGCAAGCTGTTTCGCCGCAGCTTCGCGCTCCTGGAGCACCAGCGCATCCACAGCGGCGAGAAGCCCTACGCCTGCCCCGAGTGCAGCAAGACCTTCACGCGCAGCTCCAACCTCATCAAGCACCAGGTCATCCACAGCGGCGAGCGGCCCTTCGCCTGCGGCGACTGCGGCAAACTGTTCCGCCGCAGCTTCGCGCTCCTGGAGCACGCGCGCGTGCACAGCGGCGAGCGGCCCTACGCGTGCCCAGAGTGCGGCAAGGCCTTCAGCCGCAGCTCCAACCTCATCGAGCACCAGCGCACGCACCGCGGCGAGAAGCCCTACGCCTGCGGCCAGTGCGCCAAGGCCTTCAAGGGCGTCTCGCAGCTCATCCACCACCAGCGCAGCCACAGCGGCGAGCGGCCCTTCGCGTGCCGCGAGTGCGGCAAGGCCTTCCGTGGCCGTTCGGGCCTCAGCCAGCACCGGCGCGTGCACAGCGGTGAGAAGCCCTACGAGTGCAGCGACTGCGGCAAGGCCTTCGGCCGGCGCGCCAACCTATTCAAGCACCAGGCAGTGCACGGCGCCAGGCGCCCTGCGAAGGCGGAGACGGCGCGGAGGCTAGCGGGCCCTGGGAGCACCGGCCCTGGGAGCGCGGTGGCGGCCACCAGCCCCCCGCGGCCGAGCACAGCCGCCAGGCCTTCCAGGCCCAGCCGCCGCTGACTCCCCGCCAGCGCACCCAGGGCGCGGCCGGTCTGCGTGGGGGGCCTTCCTGGGGACGTCGAGGCTCAGCCCCCTTCAGGTGGGAAGACCGCCCTCCCAGGGCCTCGATTGCGGCCACAGCCCTGACCTCTTTGGCCATCAGAAGACCCCAGGCAGAGCCTCACCCTGAGGCTGAGAAACGCAGGAAGGACTCAGAACCGAGGACTGCCGCCTGCCCTGGCTCCTCCATCAACGGCAGTGCGGGCTGGGAATGGAGGCCCTCTACTCCCTCCTGAGTCCTGGGCCTTGCAACTGAGGCACATAGATGGCACCTGGGCCACTCGTCCCTGAGCCACAGGTACTATCGAGTGTGCACAGGCGTGCGTGGAGGGGATGCGTGAACCATCCCTCGGATTTGCATCAGAATCGCCTGCTGCGGGTAGGGAGGAGGCCACGTGAGGCCAGTGAGGCCAGCCAGCGCGGGGCACGCTGGCTTTGAGTTACAGAAGAGTGGTGCATTTCCTCCCTGGGGGTCGTTCCCCTCGCCCTAAGAGTTGTTAGTGTTCCCAAGTAGAAGATACTGAAAGCACTTTAATCCTTTAAGCGCTTATATTGCAGGTGGGGGAGGCGCTAAAGTTAGCACAGAGGCAAGAGGCTCCCTGAATGTTGGCATAGGATGGGGGGCTGTGCCAGAAAACTCCCGCCTTGTCTGGGTGGCCCCAGCTGCTTCTGGGAGGAGGAGCAGCGCCCAGGCCCCATCATCCCTGAGCACCAGTGGTTCTGGGAATGGCTAGCCCAGGCCCTGCAGAGAGGATAAGACCCTTCAAGTCACTCACAATTGGACATTTGTAGCTAGCCACCCTCCAGGCTTTGCTTTCCCCCCTGCCCGCCCACTGCCTTCTGCTCCCCAGACCCCACCAGCAAAGGCCACCCTGGCCTCTCTGTCCCCTGTCCCCCTGCCCCGCCCCACCACCAGTGCCTAAAGCTTCGCACTTACCTGCTCCTCCCCATCAGGCAGCCTCTCTTGCGGCTGGTGACGATTAGGAGGAAAGCCAGACGGGTTAGGAATTTGCACTTAGGCAACAGAGCAAGCCCAGGAACGAATCTTTCATCGAATGTCTTTTGCGTGACATTTTGTAGAATACTGGACGTTCCGTTGCTTTGATTGTTTTTGTATTCAGGGGTAATGTATATTGAAAATAGAGATTTTGCCATATCAGAGTATCAGGGATTCACTCCCTAAATAAGAGTCCCCCCAGCCCTCTGAGAAGACCTCAGGCAGGAGAAAGGGGGCCACCCCAGGCCTGCCCCCAGATGAGTGTGGTGGCAAGCCTGGCCCCTCTTCTCCCTACAACGATGCAGTCCACCCCTCTTCCCCTTAGCCCTGCAGAAACAGGGCAGACTCTTCAAATGGCACTTTACTGAAAGCCAAGGGGAATTCTCAAGGAAAAGTCTCAGGGCTGGCAGAGGCAGCTGCTGGCAGGCCTTATCCTAGTTCCCCAGCGCTGTCCCCAGAGCTGGGCTCAGGAGCTCTGCCCCTTGGTGCTCTCAGCCCAGCGTCCTGGTCAGCGGCCACCTCCTTCCAGCCCTGTCCCCTCCCAGGGGAGAGGGGGTTTTTCATCCACAAGGCCTGAGGGCAGGTGGGTGGTAGGCGTGGTGGAGGGGGGAGGTTCAAAGACAGCTGGCTCCTATCAGGAGAGTGTGGGAAGACCCAAACATACAGGATTCCCTCGGAGAATGCTGCTTGGAGTGCCAGTCACTAGGACAACTCCAGAAATAATGTTATACACACACACACACACACACACACACACACACACACACACGATATATATAGTTTTATGAAAACTTCTAGAGTTCTTGTAAGTTGCACTTATACCGTAGCCTCCTTCAGTGTGTCCCTATTCCCCATCCTGTGATTGCGTTCTTGTCTGCAAGCTGGTCTCATAAGCCCACAAGTGTGTGTCATGCCTGTCCCCATGTCCTTGATGCCAAGCCCGGTGCTGGTAATCAGTAAGCATGAGTGAAATAGGTCTTGCAGTCCTAGCACCTCAGACTCAGGCTTGGGACCATTGTCGGCTCCAGCCTTGCCTTGAGGCAATCCGAAGCATCTACGACTTTGGGTTTTCCAGAAAAAGAAGTATTAGGAATGGTGTATTTGAAGTCCCTGATGAGGCCATTGGGAAGTCTGGGTTTTTCTGCTGTGCAGACAGTCTTTGCAAGGGCTGGCATGGGCCCAGAAATGCAATCCTCGTGCAGAGTAGGTGCCTGTGGCAGGAGGCCATGCAATTGGGCTCTAGTCTTGCTTCATTCAACTGAACCAGGAAAGAAACAGATCCACGCACTCTGATACCCATTTCCGTTGTTCTAGGAGGTAAATGATTTCGTTCCTACAAGCCAGACAGTAGCCAGCTTTCACTAAAGAAGAATCGACTCCTTAGTATCTTGTCATGCCATTGGTTCTGATGCATAAGTGAACCCTGTTTTTAACGGAAGCTCCTTTTTTTTCACCTCAGGACCTACCCAAGACTGTCTAGATACTGGCAGGACAAGGTACAGGAGTTTTCAGCAGAAAGTGGAGTTGCCAGGAGAGATGCTGGGCACTTGCACTGTGACTTTGGAGTGCCGGGAAAAGTTCCAGGGTCCCCAGTGCTTACTTAGATAAATGGCATTTAAAATAGTGCAGCCTTTTATCATTGCTTAGTCTAATTTAGCTCCCCATAATGACATTCTCACTGCAAGGTGGTCATTGCTATCATTTTCTTTTGGGTGTGGCAGTTAGGTATGCCACGTGAGCTGAACGGGTTTCACATGGAATCAAAGTCAGAATGTTCGAAAAGGACATTTGTGTTTTTCCTTCAATGGTGCCTTGAAATTGGGCTCCCTCCCTCTTGCTGTGTGGGGAACTGGGAGGGTATAGCCCAAGCTTGCTTTGTGATGGACAGCTAGAATGTAAAAGCTTAAACTATGGGGAAAGTCTTGCCTGTTTTCCAAGGCTTCCTCCACCCTGCCACCGAAGAACTTACCTGGATGCCAACCTGGGACCCCTTTGTCTTTGGGCTTTTGCCCTTTGAAACTGTGAATGCTTCAAGAGCCACATAAATGCTCTGGCAGTGTCTCCATGTAACTAGTAAATTGTCCTGGCTGGATTCGTTGTGAAATGGAACTGTCCCATTTACTTTGGTTGCAAATAAGGAAGATGTATGAGTATTGGCCTGGAAATGAGCCCTCTAGTGTAGAGAGGTTATTCTGAGGGTTTAAACTACATGGATAGGCCTTGGGTTCAAGGTTACAGGAAAGGCTGTAAGCCTGAGATTGTGGGGAATGGCCAGAGCTGGGCTTTGGGTGTTCCTTGTGGGGGTCCCTGTGAAGGTAAGACAGAAAGGCATTCTGGGTGAGCTGCCTCGGGTCAGCCCAGGGGTGCAGGCTCCTCTGACTGGGACCACAGGCAGCCACCCGAGGCCACTCAGATGCCGTGACTCTGAGACCAGAGGGAAGGGAGGCTGGGCCTGGTCCCCTGTGTTCCTCAGCAAAGTGCCACATCAGTCTCCTGAGAACACAGCTGTGTGTTCTTTCCAGTCGCTTCTGTTCCCAGACTTCAGGCAACATGGCAGCTCCCATACTTGCCAGGGTAGTTGGAAGGGCAGCTCTGGAGACAGGAAGTGGAGGTAGAAGCAAAGGAAGGGAGTCCTTGGCTGGGAAGTGCTTGGGTTCGGACAGACAGGGAAGAAGGGAAAGTATGAGGTGTGTTCAGGGAAGCTTAGAAGGGCAGAGAGGTTTCAGTAGGACATGTATGGGCTAAAGGGTCAGTTAGAACCAGAGTATGGAGAGTCTGGGATGCCATATACAAAAGTTTGGGCTCTAACAGTCTCCTGATGAGGAGCAATTTTCCAAAACATGAAAGAATTATTCTAAGAATGACAAAGGGAAGTTAATATAAATTATGACTACCACAGGGTTTGAATTTACACACTGACCACCACAAATTTTATAACTGTAGTCGTCTCGATGGTTGTGATGCCCATGAGGTGTTGGGCTGGGGGCATGATGACGCTGAGGCAACATGAGAGGGGACGTCTTTGACACCAGGGCCCCAGCCACGTGTCTCAGGGGCTCCCACTTGCCATGGGACTCGCAGCTGGTTCCATCCGATGCCAGCCCCAGTGCATCTATCACTGTCTTCACAAAACGGGGGTCCTCCAGGAGTTCTGGACAGCTGCTCTGCAGATTCTTATATACCTTTAATCGAAGGCCTTGGACTTTTGAGAGGAGCGCAGTGCCCTCCTTTTGTGTTCAGGAAGGCCAAATTAGAGCCTTCTCCACCGCCGGGGAATATTCATGTGGGAAATGGAGGCCTGCTGCAGACCTGAAGGTCAATGATTGTTTAATCTTTCTTTGACAGCATTATGAAGGTATAATGGGCATACAAGAAACTGCACGTCTTTAAAGTGTACAGTTGGAGGGTTTTTGGCATGTGTGGACACCCATGAAACCTCCCCCATAATCAAGACAGTGAATTGATCCGCCACTCCCAAAAGTGGCCTTGCGCCTCCAGCAACCCCTCTTTCCTGCTCCTCACTGTCCCCCATCCCCACCGCCACTGCTTGGCTTGCTGTCACTATAGATTAATTCCCATTTTCTAGAATTCCATAGAAATGGACTCATACAGTGTATGTCTGGCCTCTTTCACTCAGCACAATTCTTTTTTCATCAGGTGTTTTTGTGCATATCAGTACTCCATTTTTTTTTATTGTTGGTAGGATCCCATTGTATGGGTGGACCACAATACCTGTTGAATACCTGTTGATGGACATTTGGGTTGTTACCAGGTTTTGGCCATGACAAATAAAGCTGCTGTGAACATTTGTGTACCAGTTTCTGCGTGGACATATGTTTTCATTTCTCTTGGATATACGGCTAGGAGTGGAATTGTTGGGTCATGTGGTAACTCTGTGTTCAACTGTGCGAGGAACTACCAAGCTTTTCCATAGCAGCTGCACCATCTTATGTTCCCACCAGCAGTGTACAAGCGTTTTAGTTTCTCCATATGCTCACCAACCAATATAGTTTGGATCTGTGATCCCACCCAAATCTCATGTTGAATTGTAATCTCCAATGTTGGAGGTGGGGCCTGGTGGGAGGTTACTGGATCATGGGGGCAGGGTTCTCACGAATGGTTTAGTACCATCCTCTTGGTGTTGTCCTCATGATAGTGATTGAGTTCTCCCAAGAGATGGTCCTTTAAAGGCGTGTGGCACCTCCCCTTTCTCTCTCTTGCTCCTGCTCTGGCAGCGTGATGTGCCTGCTCCTGCTTTGCGTTCCACCATGAGTAAAAACCCCTGAGGCTTCCCCAGAAGCAGATGCTGCCATGCTTCCTGTACAGCCTGAAAAACCGTGAGCCAATTAAACCTCTTTTCTTCATAAATTACCCAATCTCAGGTATTTCTTCATAGTAATGCAAGAACAGACTAATACACTAACACTTGTTATTGTCTGTCTTTTCATTATAGCCATCCCAGTGGGTGTGGGGTGGTATTTCATTGTGGTTTTGATTTGCATTTCCCTGATAACTAATGATGTTGAGCATCTTTTCATGTGTCCTTTGGCCATTCATATGTCTTCTTTGAGGAAGTATCTGTTCAAGTCTTTTGCCCGTTTTTAAATGAGGTTGTTTGTCTTCTTCTTAAGTTCTAAGAGTTCTAGACACAAGTCCTTTGTCAGATATGTATTTTGCAATATTTTTCTTCCAAACTCTGGCTTGCCTTTCCATTTGCATAACACTGCATTTTAAAGAGCAGAAGTTGTGTTATGTTGATGGAGTCTAAGGTATGGACTTTTAAATTTTATAGTTTGTGCTTTTTGTGTCATAGTTAAGAAATCTTTGCAAAACTCAAGTCACTAAGCCTTTATCCAGTGTTTTCTTATAAAAACATAGACCTGTTTCCTTATAGAAGTTGTATAATCTTAGCTCTTATATTTAGGTCTATGATCCATTTTGTGTGTGGTGTGAGGCAAATTCACAATTCATTTTTTTATATATGGATATCCAGTTTTTCTAGCACCATTTGTTGAAAAGAGTATCTTTTCTCCAGTTGAGTTACCTTAGCCCCTTTGTGGAAAATCAGTTGGCCATATGTGTGTGAGTCTACTTCTGGACTCTTCATGGTACCTCATCAGTCAGCACTATGAACTGAATATTTGTGCCCCCTGAAAATTCATATGTGGAAGCCCTGATCCCAGTGGGATGGTGTATTAATCCATTTTCACGCTGCTAATAAAGGCATATCGAGACTGGGTAACTTATAAAGAAAAAGAAGTTTAATTGACTCACAGGGCCACGTGGTGAGGGAGGCCTCACAATCATGGTGGGAGGCAAGGAGGAGCAAAGTCACATCTTACATGGTGGCAAGGAAGAGAGAACTTGTGCAGGGGAACTGCCCATTATAAAACCATCAGATCTTGTGAGACTTACTATCAGGAGAACAGCACAGGAAAGACCCGCCCCCATGATTCAATTACCTCCCACTGGGTCTCTCATAGGACACATGGAAATTTTGGGAGCCACAATTCAAGATGAGATTTGGGTGGGAACACAGCCAAACCATATCACATGGCATTAGGAGTTGGGGCCTCTGGGAGCGCATTAGGTTTAGATGAGGTCATGACGGTGGGACCCTCATGATGGGATTGGTTCCCAACAACAAGAGGAAGAGACACTAGAGCTTCCTTCCTCCACTGTGTGTGAGGATACAGCAAGAAGGCAGCTGTGTCCAAGCCAAAGAGAACTATTACCAAGAACCAAATCTGCTGGCACCTTGACTTTAGACTTTTAGCCTCCAGAACTGTGAGAAATAAATGTCTGTTGTTTAAGCCACCCAGTCTGTGGTATTTTGTTATAGCACCCCAAGCAAACTGAGACAATGTCTATCTCGATGCCAATGCCACACTCTCTTGACTACTGTAGCTTTGTAACACGTCTTGAAATCAGGTAATGTGAGTTCTCCAATGCTGTTCTTCATTTTCAAAATTGTTTTGTCTTTTCAAAGTTTGTCACACTTTCACATGAGTTTTAGAATACCTTGCCAATTTATATGGGGGGAAAAAGCCTACTGGGGTTTTGATTGGATTGCATTGAATCTATAAACCATTTGAGGGAGGATTGATATCTTTAACAATATTAAGCCTTTCAATCTATGAACATGATGTATCTCTCCATGTTGGGAGCCTTCTTTAATTTCTCTCAACAATGGGTTGTAGTTTCAATGTTTAGACCTTGGATGTGGGTTGCTAGAGAACCTGCTAGAGTGGATTAAATAATTAGTAGATCCCTACATGTGGTTATTGAGTTTATGGGTATTGTTTCAACCATTCCTAGTAACCCTGCATTCTCATTTAGTTCTTCATTTATCTAACAGATATAGACTGAACATTTAACTGTGTGCTGCGATATGAGGATGAGTATGACAGAATTAGGTGTATTTTTTTGTTCCTATGATGTTTTTGTTTAGCCCAGTCCATATTTGACAGCAGCCTTGACCATAATATAACACAGAGCTATTTTCCGTTTCTTTGTCCGTTTGTTTGTTTCTTTGTGTTTGTTTGTTTTGGAAACAGAGTCTCGCTCTATCCCTCAGGCTGGAGTGCAGTGGTGTGATCTTGGCTCACTGCAACCTCCACCTCCTGGGTTCAAGCGATTCTCATGCCTCAGCCTCCTGAGTAGCTGGGATTACAGGTGCCTGCCACCACATCCAGCTAATTTTTGTATTTTTAGTAGAGACAGTGATTTGCCATGTTGGCCAGGCTGGTCTCGAACTCCTGGCCTCAGGTGATCTGCCCACCTTAGCTTCCCAGAGTGCTGGGATTAAAGAAGTGAGCCACCACGCCTGGCCAGAGGTTTTTTTGTTTGTTTGTTTGTCTGTCTTGTTTTGTTTTGTTTTTGTTTTTGACAGAGTCTAGCTTTGTCACCAGGCTGGAGTACAGTGATGCAATCTCGGCTCACTGCAACCTCCACCTCCCAGGTTCAAGCAATTCTCCTGCCTCAGCCTCCCAAGTAGCTGGGATTACAGGCACGCACTGCCATGCCCAGCTAATTTTTGTATTTTTTTTTTTTTAGTAGAGATGGCGTTTCACCATGTTAGCCAGGATGGTCTCGATCTCCTGACCTTGTGATCTGCCCACCTCAGCCTCCCAAAGTGCTGGGATTACAGGCGTGAGCCACCATGCCCAGCCCAGAGTTGTGTTTTATATTATGTGTGTCCGTGTGTCCAAGATTTTTTAGCTGTGTCCAATTTTTTTTTTTTTTTTTTTTTTTTTTTTTGTGAGATAGAGTCTTGCTCTGTTGCCTAGACTGGAGTGCAGTGGTTTAGTCATGGCTCACTGCAGTCTTGCCCTCTTGGCCTCAAGCGATCCTCCTGCCTCCACCTTCACCTCCTAAGTAGCTGGGACTACAGGCATGTGCCACCACATCTGGCTAATTTTTTTTTTTTAGATGAGTCTCGCTCTGTCACCCAGGCTGGAGTGCAGTGGCGTGATCTTGGCTCATTGCAACCTCCACCTCTTGGGTTCAAGCAATTCTCCTGCCTCAGCCTCCCGTGTAGCTGGGACTACAGGTGCCTGCCACCACACCCGGCTAATTTTGTATTTTTAGTAGAGACGGGATTTCACCATATTGATCAGGCTGGTCTCAAACTCCCAACCTGATGTGATCCACCTGCCTCAGCCTCCCAAAGTTCTGGGATTACAGGCGTGAGCCACCTCGTCCAGCCACCTGGCTGATTTTTTAATTTTTTTTTTATAGAGATGAGGTCTCATTATGTTGCCCAGGCTCCAAGATTTTTTAAGTACCATTTTCTGAAAAGGGCTTCTGACAGAACCTCACCAAGAACCAGATCTGCTGGCACCCTGACGTTAGACTTTTAGCCTCCAGAACTGTGAGAGCTCAAATCAAATCAAATCAAAATAAGAAAGTAAGAATTAAATTTTTTTCATTTTTTTCAATGAAAATATTCCTCGCCTACTATATAATGTATTCTAGCTGGTTACATGAGAACAAGGTGAGAGGAGGTAGAGAAGGACAAAGGAGGAAAGAGGAAAGCACAGGTGAGAAGGAGAGCAGCTTGACTGCAGTGACTGAACACTCAGATCACAGGGTCTCCTCTGGTTATGGGAATGGGATGCAGGAAGAAACAAACACAGTATATCAGTTAGGAAAGTGGCCACAAAAGTAGTAGAAAACCTAACTATGGTGGATTAAAGAATTAGATGCTTTGTTTTCTCACCTAAGGACTCTGGGGTAGCTTTCTGGCATCGGTTCAGCAGCAGAGCTTTTGGCAGTACGCAGCATCTTTCTGATTTGCTTCGCTTTGCTGCGTGATCACAAAATGGCTGCTGAAGCTCCAGCCATCACATATGCATTAGACAGAAGGAGGAAGGGGCAGAGACAGACACTCTGTCCTCTTTTATCAAGGAAGCAACAGTTTTCCCAGAAACTTGCCTGGCAGACTTCCACTTAGATCTCAGGAGCCAGAACTGGATCATGCGGCCACCCCTAACCTCAAGAGAGGCTGAGAACGTTGGGAATGGGATGGATTTTCATGACCTATCACCTGGGGCTGAGCCCACTGATGCCTTGAACAAAGTTGGGGTCTTATCCCCAGAGAAAAAGGTTAGGATGCAGATTGGGTGGTGTTATGAGTCAAATTGTATCCCCCAAAAAGGTAGGTTGAAGTCCTAACCCCCAGTACCTCAGAATGTGATCATGTTTGGAAGTAGGGTCGTTGCCGATGTAAATATTTAAAATAAGGTCATACCGGAGTAGGGCGCACCCTTAATCCAATATGGCTGCTGTCCTTACAAAGAGAGGAGAATGCCATGCAAAGGAACAGACACACAGGGAGAAGGCCATGTGAAGACAGAGACAGGGATAGAAGTGATGAGGCCACAAGCCAAGGAACACCCGGGGCCACCAGAAGCTGGAAGAGGCAGAAGGACCCTCCCCTAGAGCCTCTGGAGGGAGCGCAGCCCTGCCCACACCTAGATATCAACCCGAGGGCCCTCAGCTCTTTATGCCTGAACTCTGGGAGGCTGGGGGTGAGGGAGAGAAGGCCAGCCTTGCTCAAGCCCCTCCCACTGGCCGGCATCCTGACTACCATTTACAGATGTGAAAACTGAGGCTTAGAGATGGGAAGGAATTGTCTGGAGACTCAACACTAGGAAGCGGCGACAGATTCATGCCCAAGTTCCAGGACTCCAGCATTGCTGCTCACTCCAGCCAATCAGGGAGAGCAGCTGTGTGAACTCTGCCCCCAAACTAAAGGGAATCCAGTCGCCTTTACCATTTTCCTAACTTCGCCCATTTGGGGGGATGATTCCATAAGTTGGCCATAACCAAACATAAAAATCATTTGATTTTCTGGAAAAGATTGTACAAAAGGAAAGAAGCCAAAGGTTAAATCCTGCCTTGGAATTGGGAAAGCGTTTGGTCATCCCCCTCCCCGCCCTTGCACCATATAGGTTCTCAGCTGGTGAGACCCTCAGGAGCGCTGGGGCTGTGGGCCCTGGAGCCCTGCCACCTGCACTTTCTTCCATCCCTTACCCACAATTGCTCACTCCGGATGCCATGCACCTTCGTTTCCTTTCTGTAAGACTGAGGGGGCCAGGTGTGGTGGCTCACATCTGTAATCCCAGCACTTTGGGAGGCTGAGGCGGGTGAATTGCCTGAGGTCAGGAGTTCGAGACCAGCCTGGCCAACATGGTGAAACCCCATCTCTACTAAAAATGCAAAAATTAGCCAGGTGTGGTGGCGCATGCCTGTAGTCCCAGCTACTTGGGAAGCTGAGGCAGGAGAATCGCTTGAACCCAGGAGACGGAGGTTTCAGTGAGCCAAGATCACGCCACTGCACTCCAGCCTGGGCGACACAGCAAGACTCCATCAAAAAAAAGAAAAAAAGGAGAGAGGGAGAGAAAAAGAGAGGAAGGAAGGGAGAGAGGGAGGGAGAGAGGGAGGGAGGGAGGGAGGGAGGGAAGGAAGGAAGGAAGGAAGGAAGGAAGGAAGGAAGGAAGGAAGGAAGGAAGGAAGGAAGGAAAAAGCACCACAAACCAGGTGGCTTAAAACACCAGAAATTTACTCTCTTATTGTTGAAGAGCCAGAAGACCCCTCCCTTGCCTTTTCCAGCCGCTGGTGGCCCCGGACTTCCCTGGGTTGTGGCTGCATCGCTGCAATCCCGGCCTCAGTCTTCAAGTGGCCTCGTCCTCCCACTGTGTGCCTCCACTCTGCGTCTCTCCTAAGGACACTTGTCAATGGATTTAGGGCACACTCCAGTAATCCAGGATGACCCTGTCTCAAGATCTTTAATGTAATTACATCTGCAAAGACCCTTTCTCCAAATAAGGTCACACTAAAAGGGGGCAGAGATTAGGACATGAACACATCTTTTGGGGGCTGCCTTCAACCCAGCACAGGCAGGAACAGGCTTGGTGTGTTTGAGGCCTGTGTGGCTGGAGGCCAGTGGGCCTCCCAGGGGCAGTGGGGAGGGATGAGGGTGGCAGGGCCAGGGACAGCCATATAGGGCTCGGAGGGCATGACAAGAAGTGCAAGGGCTCAGACATAACAGGAGCTGTCACCGTAGCTGACATGCACTGCACATGTGCTATGTGCCAGGCCCCAGGCATGACCCACCCTCCCAGGATCATTGTATTGTTTCCATTTTACAGATGAGGAAACTGAGGCCAGGCTGTGAGGTCATTTCTGCCAGCCACAGGGTTGGGCAGCTGGGGGGTGAGGCCTGGCACCCAGGCTGTCACCACTAGCTGAGGCCCCCTCCCAACGGCTTGGGTGCCTTTCAGCCCTGGACCTCGAGGGAGGGAACCACAAACGCCAAGTCCTCCTCTCCGCCCCAGGGGACCTGGGAAATGCCAAGGGTTCTTTTGCCGGGCTTCCGGGTTCCCTGGCAGGAGGGGGAATGCTGTACGTGCTGGATTTCCAGGTTGGAAGGAGACTTTGTAAACCTTTTCAATACAGCCCCGCCAGGCTTACGGCCCAGGGAGGTGTGTCTGCAGGACCCGGACACATCTCTTTGAAATGCAAACATAAAGCTAGCGCCCCTAGCTCCCTGCCTTCCTGAGACCACCAAGAGAAAGCTTTCATTTTCCTTTGGATACAGGCAACTCACTAGCGCAGAATGGCCAGCTGCTGACCAGGTGCACTCACGATGGATGAGGACATGCAGCAGGGCATCTTGAGATGGCATCTGCCTGACTAGATCAAAGGGTAGCTGACATGCACTGCGCAAAGGATGAGGTTTCCTTCTCGGCCTGTGATGCCCATTGCAGCTGAGCTCACCTTTGTCTTCTTTCCCGCATTGTGGAGAGGGCTCCCCGGGCTGGCAGGACCTCCAGTCTTCCCAGTACATGCAGGGGTGGAGCGCCCAGGGTGGGGAGCAGGGTCCAGAGGTGGGAGGGGCTGAGCGGAGGCCATGGATCCGGGGCCCGGGGCGAGGATCAGCCTCCAGCTACCCGGAATGCGCTGGGCCCCTGGAGGTACCTGGGTGACTGACAACCCAGGAGCCTGGGGCTTCCGCTGGGACTGTGGCGACTATCACACCTCACGCCACTTAAGGGGTTGTCGCTGCTTCTACAAATCCAGCTAGAAACAAGAAGATGGAAATTGGGAGGATGCTGGCCAGAAGACAAGAAGTGAGGAGCAGGGGCAGAGGACAGACGGGTCAGCCCTTGACTGAAGAAGGCCTCCCAGAGGAGGCAAAGGCCCGTCTCCACCTCAGGAGGGCTAGCTGAGCTCCACTCCAAACCGGATTGTCATGGACCTGGGCTTTGCCTGACAAACATTCCCAAGCTCCCAAGACAGCAGGAGCATCTCAGAAGCTTCCAAACAGAAAGAACCAGCAATAGCAGAAATGGATCAGAGTGGGCCAGCTTCCCTGTGCGACTCTGGCAGCCTGTGGATCCTCATCCTCACCCAGCAGGGAAGGAAAGCAAGAATCCTTGTGACCAAGCAGGTTAGCTTCAAAATGCATTTTGATACTCGGGAGGCTGAGGCAGGAGAATGGCGTGAACCCGGGAGGCGGAGCTTGCAGTGAGCAGAAATCGCACCACTGCACTCCAGCCTGGGCGACTGAGCGAGACTCTGTCTCAAAAAAACAAAAAACAAATGCATTTTGAAACTTCGTCTTTCCTTTCTTGCTTTCAGCCTTAATGTACTTTGAAACTCCTTGTTTCCCTCCCTTCCCACCAGACACTCCCTTGCACTGCTCACTCACCTAATTTTGTGCTTACTTAGTAGTTCCAGGGCGCTAATCTTGAGACAAACCAAGCATGGAAATCTAGCTGTGAAATTCCAGGCGGTCAGTCTACAACCCAGCCATCGTAGAGATGATGCCAGCCCGTGCTCCCAGTGGACCATGACTCAAGATAGCCAAGGGAACAAGGCACACAGACCTTGTGCCCAGTGCCCCGCCTGCATGTCTCCCATTCCAAGCTCCCTTTTACTCCTCTCGCCCACATAAAGCTTGAGATGGTTCCTCTGAGGCTTGAGCCTGGCCAGCCCGGCCATTCTCCCACCTGCTAGCACTCGAGTAAAAGCTGCTTTCGGCCAGGAGTGGTGGCTCACGCCTGTAATCACAGCACTTTGGGAGGCCAAGTTGGGTGGATCATTTGAGGTCAGGAGTTTGAGGCCAGCCTATCCAACATGGCGAAACCCTGTCTCTACAAAAAATACAAAAATTAGCCAGGCATGGTAGTGCGAGCCTATGATCCCAGCTACTCAGGAGGCTGAGGAAGGAGAATCACCTGAACCCAGGAGGCGGAGGTTGCAGTGAGCCGAGATTGTGCTACTGCACTCCAGCCTGAGTGACAGAACAAGATTCTGCCAAAAAAAAACAAAAAACAAAAACGGCTTTCCTTTCACCACACCTCGCTTCTTGTATTCTGGCCTCCAAACAGCAAGCAGCCAGACTTGAGTCGGTTACATTCTGCAAACATCTGCTCACTGCAAAGCTGCAAGACCAAACAACCCCTGCAACAGAACAGAGGCCTCAGAGAGGAAGGGGCGGTGGGCAGCCACCTCACAAAGTATGCGCTCAATTGAAATAAGTGATGACAGAGGGGCTGGCTGGGCTGGCTGTAAGGATCAAGTACAGATTCGTGGGTGTTACGCACGAAGAAAATTCCAGAGAACAAAGACCAGACCGTGCTATAGTGACTGGGAAGGTAAAGTTTATGCATCAACCTGGCCAGTCTACAGTACCCAGTTTTGGTCAAACACCAGTCTAGATGTGGCTGTGAGGGTGTTTTTAAATAAAATTAGTATTTAAATGAGAAGACTAAGTACAGCAGATTGTTCTCCATGCTGTGGGTGGGCCTCATCCAATCAGTTGAAGGGATTAAGAGAAAATGACTGAGGTCACCCAAAGAGGAAGGAATTCTGCCTCCAACTCGAGCCTTTGGACTCAAACAACTCTTCCCTGAGTGTCCAGTGACTTGCCAACCTCCATGTCACGTGAGCTGATTCCTTAAAATCTCTCTCTCTCTACACACACACAAACACACACACACGATATGATATATATCATATACATGGTGTGGATATAATGTGTATTTTTGGTGTGGTTTTTTGGGATTTTTTTTTTCTTTTTTGAGACCGAGCCTTGCTCTGTTGGCCAGGCTCACCACCACACCCGGCTAATTTTTGTTGCATTTAGTAGAGACAGGGTTTCACCATGTTGACCAGGCTGGTCTCGAACTCCTAGCCTCAAATGTTCTGCCTGCCTCAGCCTCCCAAAGTGCTGGGATTACAGGCATGAACCACAGTGCCTGGCTATAATATGTATCAAGTATTTGTCAGTATATATGTGTCATGAGTATATGTGTGTTAGAGCGTGTGTATATATATATGTGTGTGTATTAATACAGTTGTAATGCAGTAAGCACAAACACACAGCAACTAAATGCATAAAGAAAAATGACTAGACATGAAGGAAGACTTCAAGAAAATGCAATTACAATGGAATGTTCTAATATATTGTCATTAAATCAGACAGATATAGTCAACAAAAAAAAAAACAAGTAAAAATGTAAAGGAAATTGAATAGTACAATTGTCAACTAGATTTTAGAGATATATAGAAAAGCCTGCATCTCTGAAGCAGGTGCATTTTTCAGAGTCTATAACATATTTTACAGTTATTTATGTATTCGGCCTCTGTTATCCATTGAATTGTGTCTGCCTCCCTCCTCCCCCTAAAAAAAGATATATTACAGCCCAAACCCCCAGTACCTCAGAATGGAGCCTTATTTGGGGATCTTCACAGAGGTAATCAAGTTAAAATGAGGTCATTAGGGTGGGCTGTAATCCAATATGACTGTGTCATTATAAAAAGAAGAAATGTGGACACAGCGCCTTGTATGCAGGGAGAAAGAGGGCTGTGTGAAGATGAAGGCAGAGATTGGGGAGAGGCTGCCACAAATCAAGGAACACCAAAGATGGCCAGCAAAGTCCCGGAAGCTGGGGGAGAGCCTGGAATAGATTCTCCCTCACGGCCCCCAGGGGGAACCTTGCCCTGCCAACACCTCGATCTCTGACTTCTGGCCTCCAGATCCGAGAAACAGTCCATTTCTGCTGTCGAAGCCCCCTAGTTTATGGAACTTTGCTATGGCATCCCTAGAGAACTCAAGCAGCCCCCAAACTACCTTAATTCGAAAAGGTGATATTTTAAGCAACACATCCTCAGATTATTATCCAATACAACTAAAATACACAACAAAACATGACTGGCTGGGTGTGGTAGCTCATGCCTGTAATCCCAGCCCTTTGGGAGGCCGAGGAGGGTTGATCACTTGAGCTCAGGAGTTCGAGACCAGAGGGAAACATGGCAAAACCCCATCTATACAATAAATACAAAAATTGGCAGGCTGTGGTGGCGCATGCCTGTAGTCCCAGCTATTTGGGAGAATGAGGTGGAAAGATAGTTTGAGCCCGGGAGGCGGAAGTTGCAGTGAGCCAAGATTGCGACAGTGCATTCCAACCTGGGTGACAATGAGACCCTGTCTCAAAAAAAAAAAAAAAAAAAAAAGATCATGAAATCATAATTACTCAGAAATTAAGATAAACTGCAGTATATAAGCATGAGATCAAGAAGGGAATGGAAAGCAAAATTACAAGCTATTCCTAAAGCAAAGCAAAGAAGAATGTTTAATAGCAAACCTATAGGACACAGTAAAATCTGCATTTAGCGATAATAAAGTGTCAAGCTTATTGATAGATACAATTTCAACACCAAACGCATCACTGGCCATAATGTTTAGGGTACAGATTGAATACACACTTTAATTTAAAATACCCGAATCACTCAAAAGATACTAATAAATCAAAGTTTTAAAAGATTCAGCTGGGCATGGTGGCTCACACCTGTAATCCCAGCATTTTGGGAGGCCAAAGCGGGCAGATCACCTGAGGTCAGGAGTTCGAGACCGGCCTGGCTAACATGGCAAAACCCTGTCTCTACTAAATATACAAAAATTAGCTGGGCATGGTGGCATGCGCCTGTAATCCCAGTTACTCGGGAGGCTGAGGCAAGAGAATCGCTTGAACCCAGGAGGCGGAGGTTGTGGTGAGCCAAGATCGTGCCATTGCATTCCAGCCTGGGTGACCAGAGCGAAACTTCATCTCAAAAAAAAAAAAAAAAAGATTGGACACTTCCCTTTAAACATATAATTACCTCTAAAAACTATCTGTAGCTTTGGAATATGAAAGTATGAAATTGTATTCACCCAGCCAATACTATGCCCACATATACTGCTGCTCCCTATTGAAATAGGAACGTAGTCAGTGGGTGATATTTGTAATTTTAAAAGTTCGACACATGGAAAACAATTTGGCTCTTCTAATGGGCATAGAGAGCAGCTCTCTTCGTCACCACGCAGAGATCTGCCAGGCTGATGGACAACTGGATACCCCCAGAGGATATATTTTGAATGACCTTATCCAGTGACCCATGGGTGTCATTTAACGCATGAGGCTCCCTGGAGCAGGAACTGACATACCTGCTTCCAGAGCTTTTCAGCCCTGAACGTGCACTGCAAACGCGTAAGAGTGGTACTAGCACCATTGTGAGAGCTCCCTCAAGTGTCAGCCAATGCAAATTCAGACCACCAGGAGAACATCAGATCCTTTTAGAAAAACCATGGAGAAACTGCGTTTCTCTTACAAGTTAGTTCCCATATCAAGAAGAATGCCACAGGGTGTGTCTGTAAAGTAAAAAACCCACACTCACTGCCAGCTGCCGTCACCTCAGGTTCTTGTTCTTCCTCGGCATCTTCATCGTCTTCCTCTTCAGCCTCCAGATACCCCTCTTCCCAGCCTCCCTCAGCCTGGTCTTCCATTTCTGCCTCTTCAGTGATGGGCCAGGTAAATGAAGCTCCTGAGGATCAACATCTGTACACTCTTGACTTTCTGAAATCTTAAAGAAATTATCAGAAACTGTATTAAATTTATTTTTCAAAAGTTTTCAAAACTTCATAAAACCTTAACTTATCTATCATGGAAGATATTGCTGATATCAATAATAACACACCAATTTTACTCCAAAAACCCAAAAGATATACTGGATAAATTTTAAAGATTAGAAAAAATGTCCATGCACAAAATAAATACACAGACACACATATGCTGTCTTCCTCAGTATTTTGATTGAAATGCCGTGCTGTAAATGGATTCATGTCTATGCTGCAACTTAAAATAATTTATGTTCAGCATGATACCAAGTATAAAAGGCAATTAAAGAACATGATTTTGATTCCAAAAAAATCTACATTTAGAGGGAAATTGCAGCCTTCGAGTGCCTTATGCCAAATCACAAGTGAGTGTGTGGGAGTGGCATGTGTGTGTCAGGGGAGTGTGTGTGGCACAAGTGTAAATGTGTGTGTGTGCATGTATAGGTTGTGGGGGTGGGGGTATGTGATGTATGAGTGGGGGGTGCATGTGTATGTGGTGGGGGAGTGGGGACTTGCATGTGTACCCCCAAAATTCATGTTAAAACTGAATCAACAAGGTGACAGTAGTAGGAGGTGGGGCATTTAGAAGGTGAGTAGGTCATGAGGGCTGCACCACCATGAATGAGATTAGTGCCCTTACAGGAGACCCTGTGAGGCAGCTAGTCCTTTCCACAATTCGAGGAACCAGCCCTCGCCAGACTCTGAACCTGCTGGTGCCTTGATCGTGGCCTTCCCAGACTAGAGAACTGTGAGCAATAACTGTTTGCTGTTTATAAGCCACCCAGTCTAAAGTATTTTTGTTATAGCAGCCCATAGGGACTAAGACAAAATGCAAGTAATACTCCCCAGGTTCTTGTCCCAGCTGAATCCCTTAGAAGAGGTTGATGCTCAAGAGACATTAAATGGCAAATACAAGTCTAGAATGGATTGGCACAGTGTGTACAAGTGTGTGCGAGAGTGAGTGTATGTGCAAGTGTTTGTGCATGTGTGTGGTTGTGTGTGCAACTGTGTACAGGTGTGTGTGAGTGCTAGTGTGTGCGAGCGTGTGTGGGTGTACTGTGTGTAAATATGTGTGCAGGTGTGTGCATGTGTGTGTGCAAGTGTGGGGGTGTGCTCGGGTGTGTGAGTGCTTGAGTATATGTGAGGGTGTGTGCACAAGTGTGTCTGTGTGCATGCAAGTGTGTGAGTGTACACATCTGTGAGTGGGAGGTGTGTGTTCACAAGCTGAGCTATAGGAAGCAGTGTCCCCACAATGCTGATACTGTTCCTGGAGGTCCCCTACATGAAACCTCCGCAGCTGACACTCATCAATGCTGCTTAACTTCTTTGCAACAGGCAGGGGGCAGATATCATTTACAAGAAATGCAGACGTCCCGCTGTGGTCCCGTGGCACTCCCCAACCTTCTGCTGCGGCTTTCAGCGTGCTCCCCACATTGTCTTCCGCACAAAGACAAACTGGAAATGTTATGGCCTTTGATTTTAGTATTCATCCCTCTCCATAGTGAATTCCATTTTCAATAGGCTTATGTCACATGTCCCCCAGGTACACTCCCGTGATCACCGCTGTCTCCCCACTGGCAGACACCCCTGGTGGCCTGACGGGGCTCATCAGTCAGTGATGCAGCTTGATGAGGGGCAGGCAGCTGGCCAGGGGCGAGCTGGAGCAGTGGAGTCGGTTCGCTGTTGGCTCCACAGCATCACCTTGAGTCCCATGCAAATGAGCTTGCACATTGGGAGCTCACTTCTTCCTGCTGAGTAGTATTCCGTGGTGTGGACGCACTGCGGCGTGTCCAACCACTCACCTGATGATGAACATTTGGGCTGTTTCCTGTTTGGGGCTATTATGAAAAAGCTGCTGTGAACGTTGGAGTATGAGTGTTTGTATGGTTACATCAATCCCTTTGTCTTGGGTAAGTATCTAGGAGGGGAATTGTTGGCTGATGTGGTAGGTGCATGTTTAACATTTTCGGACACTGCCGAAGTGTTTTCCCAAGTGGCTGCCCCATTTTCCCTTCCCACCAGAAAGGCACGGGCACCCCCGGTGCTCCACATCTCCTCCCTGGTAAACCAACACTTGGTGTGGTCAGTGGTTTTTGTTTTACCCATTCTAATAGATGTTAAACGTCCAGGAATTTTGAGAGCTAAACAAACACTATCATTATTAAAAAGTTAAATTATGTAAACTGACAAATTATATGAAAAATAAAGGAGATACTCAAAACTCACGTCTTCATTATTCGAGCATGCTTTACTGTTGCTGTGTGTTGACACCTGTCAGATGTGTGTGGTGGAAATCCTGGAATCTCTTCCCAAGGTCACCTTCAGTGACTTCCTGTTGGTAGCTTAAGACTGGCCAAGTGGAAGTATTATACCGCAGAGCTCGGCATGCCACGGCATGCCAGGGCTTGATGTATTACTGCTTTGTTGATTGCCTAGACTTTAGAAAGAGGTGAAGAAAATGCTAATATTGCAGATTAAACTGAAGAATGCTGGGTCTGCGGCCATTACATTATAAATAGCAAAAAAATAAATAAAAATAAACATTTTCGGTATTTGAAAACTATCATCCAATTAAGCAAAGAAGTTGCTCATCTTTGCTGCTTCATGTTTATCTTACTCATTAAAATAAATGAAAACATCAGCCAACATGTATGTGGGAAGCACAGCTGTCCATCCATCGCACTCAAGTACAGGGTACAGATAACAAGAACTCAGTAAAAGTCAATGAAGGTATTTTGTGAGTATTCATTGGCCATGTGGAATTTACGGCGAAGAGTATATTGTGTATTTTGTTGCATATTTTATATATATTGTGGATTTTATTATTTGTAAATTGTGTGTTCATGTATATGTATGCATGTGCCTGTGTGTATAGCCTGTGTGTATATAGAGAAAGAGACAGGGGAGGAAGGGAGAGAGATCCATGCCTACATACATACGTGTACATTTCCTTTCCTGGAAAGCTGGTTGTTAACCATTTATAAGCACATTGCTGCTTTGAGGCAGCAGAGAGGCAGGTCACAGCCTGTCTGGGCAGCATGGTACGCAAGACGCCTGGCCTGGCCAGTCTCGACATGGACTCGGGGAGGGCGCCCGAGGCCAGGCCACCGTGAGGCCAGGGGAGCCCAGAGTGATGAGAGAGAGGCACCTCAGCCCAAGACAGGTGAGAGGGCCCAAAACCAGAGACCCCTCCACAGAGGCGGCAGCAGCCAAAATCAGGCTGTCACCTGCCTGTCTGTCCCATCCTGGGGTTGAGACCCTTCTAGCATGCCCAATGAGAAGGGCCCCACTTGGTGTCACCTACCCAGCAGGTCAGTGGCAAGACCAGGTTTTTTTTCTTGTTTTTGGATTTGGAAGGGGGGTCTCACTGTCGCCCAGGCTGGAGTACAGTGGTGCCATCATGGCTCACTGCAGCCTCACTTTCCCAGGCTCAAGTGATCCTCTGGCCCTCAGCCTCCTGAGTAGCTGGGACTACAGATGTGTGCCTCCACTCCTAATTTTTCTTTTTAATTTTTGTAGAGATAGGGTCTTGCTATGTTGCCCCGGTCAGTCTCAAACTCCTGGGCTCCAGCAATCCGCCTGCCTTGGCCTCCCAAAGTGCTGGGATTATAGGCGTAAGCCACCATGCCCAACCAAGGCCAGGGTTTTAAGGGTAACACCTGCTGGATTCGGCTGCCCAGCTGGAGCCTGGCCAGTAAGATAAACAGAAGCAGGCCCTGTCTGGGCACCAGGGGATCTGGGGGCTCAGTGTCCCCTACTCCAGCTTCTGTAGGGCCAGCCCAGGGCTTGTGACACTCTCCCAGGTGATGCTCTCCTCGGGAAGCTTGGCTGTGACAAGATCTTCTGGTTACTAACCACATTCCCAAACTAGGTCCTGTGGGGCTTCCCCAGACCGTGCCCCCTCCCCTCCCCTGCTGCCACTGTCCTTGGCCAGGCCCATAGCTCTCCCTCCCTCCACCAAAGCCCTCCATGCTCTGCTTCTGCCCGCCTTGCCGTCGCTGTCCTCTCCAGCCCATTCTCCATGCAGCAGCCTGATGTGGTTTGGACGTTCGTCCCCTCCAAATCTCAGTTTGAGATGTAACCCCCAATGTTGGAGGTGGGGCCTTGGTGGGAGGCGTTTGGGTCATGGGGTTGGATCCCTCATGAATGGCTTGGTGCCGTCCTCACCTCCGCAAGGAGTTGAATTCTCGCTGTGAGTTCACCTCCCCGCCTCTCTCTTGCTCCCCCTTTGCCTTCTGCCATAAGTGGAAGCTTCCTGAGGCCCCACCAGTTAACAGATGCCAGCACTGCTGAGCCAAAATAAACCCGCTGTCTTTGTAAATGACCCAGCCTCAAGTATTTCTTCACAGCAACTCGAGAACAGCTCGGCACGCAGCCCAAGCAGCATATGGCAGAAGCCTACACCAGACTTTTCCCCTCTCCTGCTCATGACCCTCCGCGGCTCCCCGCTGCCATCAGGGTCAGGCCTGGCCCGGGCCACAAGGAAGGTCTGAGGTGGTCACTGCCTGTGCTCTGGCCTCACCATCCTACCACCGTGCACGCTGCAGTGGCTCCAGTCATTCTGACCTACTTAGGGCTTCCCAGATTGTCCAGCTGGCTGGAGGCTCAGGCTTTGCTCATGTGAGTCACTCTCAGGCGTGGCCACCCCATCCCTTCTTACCTGACCCAGCGTTGGTGACAGGTCTCTCCCCACCCATGAGGCCTCCCAAGACTGGAAGTGCCTCAGGGTGGGGCCCCTGAGGCAGGTTAGCAGGGAACCCAAAGCACAGTGCGGTGGCCAGAAGCTGCCCTCCCACCGAGCGGCCTCCTGGCCCTACGGGGACACGGGCTGCAGGATAGGCTCCCTTCCAGGGTCACCCTCACAGCACCAGCCACCCCACCTCTGCTCCGTGCACCGTCAGGGCCCTTAGCATGTACATGTACATGTGCATGCCCACATGTGGGGGCACCTCCCTTTTCCCCAGCACCCCGTTTCTTAACATTTCACCCTGTTACCACTTCACAGAGCAGGGACAGAGACTCCAGGTCCCACGGCGGGCAAGCGCTGCAGCTGAGCTTTGTGCCCAGGCAGGCGGCCGGCTCTGTGGGCTTAAGGCCCTACTCATGGCTTCTTTGGGCCTCTGGGGTGACAATGCAGATGGGCGGCAATCAGCCCACAGCCACAACCCATCAGCCCTCAGACCAACCCAAGAGCTTGACGTCTCCCTACCCAGCCACCCACGGTCCTCACCGCGAGGAGAGGCCATAGGGGGGCGGCCCTGGAGGTCTTGTGCTGGCCCCTGGCATGGCTCACCGCCTGGCCCTGCTCAGCAGGGGGTCGAGGGAGTCCAGCCCCTAGTATCTGGCCAGCTAGTCGGAGGGTGAGTAGTTGGCAATGTTTATTGGGAAACAGCAAACTCTGCTGGGCACCCAGGCCAGCCGGGAGAGCACGGCCCTGGAAGCGGGGCCTGGAGAGGAATCCAGGGCCGTATGGCTGGTCAGGCAGCCAGGGAAGGCCTGGCAGGTGCACGGACCTGAGGCTGCCCAGATAGGAGGAGCCGGGGGTGGTAGAGGCCAGCTGAACGGTGGAGGCTGGCACTGTCCATGGCACAGGAGGTGGCCCTGGTGCTCAGGCCTCCAGGCTGGGGTCATCAGGCGGCAAGTACATGGGCTCGATGTGGGCCCACCCACGGGCCTGCTCATCGGCCCAGGCGAGCAGCTCTGCGGCGCGGTGCAGGAAGATCAGGAGCAGGGTGTGCACGTCGCCCTCGGCTGAGTGGGCTGCGCTTGGCTCTGCCCGGAAGTAGCGGTGGAAGAGGCTGCCGAGGCTGTAACCCTGGCGGCCCCGGGCCCGGGTGCCGTGGCTGTGGGCGCGGTCCAGGCCCCGCAGGGCCGGCAGCGTGTCCAGGCAGACAGTGTCCCGGGGCAGGCGGGCACCCAGGCGCCGCAGCTCGGCACACAGCAGGGGGAAATCATAATCAAAGCCATTGTGGGCCACAAGGCAGATGGGCCCTGCCTGGCGGCTCAGGAAGGCCTGCAGCGTCCGCACCACGGCGCCATCAAAGCCAGCCTTCCGGCATCGCGCCAGGCCCTCACTGCTCAGGCCGGTGATCTCGCTGGCCTTGGCAGTGAAGGGGCGCTCCGGGCACATGCACAGCGTGAGCTTGTCCAGGACCCGGGGCAATACTAGGGCACCAGACTCGTCGTGCTCCGGGTTCTCCAGGGAGGAGCGGTGGACAGCAAAGAGGGACAGCTCGGCAATCTCGGGCTCCACACTGGGGAGCCCAGTGGCTTCCAGGTCCAGGAAGACAAAGGTCTCGGCCCGGGGTGCCTCGGACATGGTGATGTTCCCACGGGGATAGCAAGTCCTCAAACTGTCCGAGCGAGAGGCACAAACCCTGAGGACTGGAGAGAGGGGTTCGCCCGGGCCCTGCTGTGTACCATCCTCCCCCTAGCCAAAGCTCTGACCCTTCTGGGGCTCACTTCCTGCCACCCCCGACCACAGCACCTGTGACCTTTGGCTCTGGGAGCGTCAGCCCCACTCCTGTCACCTACTGAACAGAAAAGGCAGGCCTCAGAGCGCTCTACTGCCTGCCTCCAGCCACAGTCCCCAGCAGGGATTGGGAGAGGCAGAGGCAGCTCAGGGACCGCACCTTGGCGGGGTCCAGCCCCTTCACCGGAATGCCTTGGCTGGGAACCTGGGGCATAGCACACTGGGTCTCCAGCCCTGGAACCAGCTGCCGGGAAGCAGGCAAGCAGCCACCCGAAAGAGCCCATGCAGTGCACCCAGCTCCCGCTGGGCTCGACCTCCCCACCCTTGTCCCTGGCACACAGGTGCTGGTCCCGAGCTGGCCTCTGCCTGCTTGCCCCCAGGCTCCCGGGGAGACTGTCCTTGCCAACCCCACCACACCAGCTTACCTGGGGCGGGCACTGACCGGCTTCCTGGGCTTCTGGGCACCTGTCGCCACACAGGCTGCTCTAGGCGGCCTTTAATCAGCGGCCGCAGCCCGCCCCCAGCTGCCTGTTGGCCAACAATGAGGCCTGGGGCCTCAGGACCTGCGCAGCCGGCTCGCTCGCCACCCCCTCGCTAGCTCACAGCCACTGAGACACACGCCCCGTGTTTACAAATTAGGAAGCAGGCCCCGAGCTCTTCACAGGCACGGGGAGGAAGCCAGAGTGGTGCGGAAGGCAGTAACCTCCACCTAGCCAGGCTGTGGCTGCCAGGCCTGGCAGGCCTGGGGTCAATGCCTCCCCCATGCTGGGGCCAATGCCTCCCCCATGCTGGGGCCAGTTACACAAAGGCAACAGGTCCTCTTTGCCAGGCCTCAGTCTCCCCGTCACTGGAGATCAGGTGCCGCTCGTGGGGATGAAGCGAGCTCTGGAGTGTGACCAAGGTGCCCACACATGCCGTGCTCAGCCTCCAAAGGGGAAGGGGTGCTCCCCCAAAACCTAGGGATGGGGCAGCCTCGGGAGATGCTATCTGCTTTAAGGACGTCGCTTCATCATGTCTACCGTGCACCTAACAGTGGCTGCTGGGGAAGGAAGGGAGGTGGGCCTGGCCCGGGAGCTGTGCAGGCCGCAGCTGAGCTAATGCTTCCTCCACCACAGATAAGCAACGTTAGGGGGTGGGCCAGGAGCGCCGGGACTACAGGAGGAGTGAAGCCCAGCCCCTCGGACCCCAGGCTCAGGGACCTGCCCTGTCTATCCCGCTCCAGGCAAAGGGCACCAGGTCCTTCCCGGTCCTGCGAGCAGTGGCGCCCTGAAGACCTCATTCTGGAGCAAGAGACAACAGCCCTTGATGGTGGGTGCACTGCAGGGCCAGCCCCATGCTGGGGGCACAGAGAGGTGACCAAGAGGAGTCCCTTGGCCTATAAATCAGGTGGTGCACCTGCACCATGGTGACCACAGGCCTGCCCGGCCTCCCACCTCTCACAGTGGTGGCTGGGGGATGCCTCAGGCGACTGGGATGGAGGGGGGTCTGGCACCTGGCTCCTCCTGGCCTCCTTGCCTTGTGTGCCCACAGGGACCTTGGGGAAGCAAAGGAGATGGTGCCAGGAGGGAGCAGGGTGGGGCGGGCAGCAGCAGGTACAATGGCCCCAAGGAGGCAGAGGCCCTACCAGTCACGCCTGTTCCGGTACTCACAGGGAGGGAGGCAGCTGTGACAGGCACACTGCTCAGGGAGATACTGGGTCACCCTGGGAAGCCCAGACAGCATCTTCCTGGACAACCAGTCAGGCTGAATTCCCCAGCCCAGAGCTGAGCGCCCAGCCAGGGAGGAGCAGGAAACTGGTACCCCGCGGGGGATCCAGGGGCACTCAAGGAGGGCGGCTGAGGGGTGCGTCTCGCACAGGACCCTAAGGCCAGCCGGGGGAGGCGACAGTGGGTTCTCTGCTTTCAAGTGGCTGGCAGCAGCAGGGAGGAGTGGAGCCACAGGAAGAGGACGCAGCCCAGGCCCGCCAAGATGACAGGAGGGCCGCCGCCAGCCTGCCCAGACCTGGGCCACCTGAGCAGCTCAGGACAAGGGGAAGGAGAGAGACATAGAGCTGAGGAAGCAGAAAGCAGGCTGGAGGCAACTGCTTAGAAACCAAGGCTTTCTTTGTGTCCAAGTCAAACCGCCCGTCTGTCTCTCCCTCCCCAAAGGGGCCAAAGGTCCCTGCCTAGAGCACAACGTGGGGCTGCAACGGCTTCTGCTGCCACAATCATCCATCCTCGGCCAACTCGATCTTGGGAGAGGGCTTCCTGCCCGCCCCATCCTGTGCTTTGGCGTAGGCCATCACTGAAGACTTTCTATTTCTCCATTAGTTCATTCATCTTGGTAGCTGCAGAGGAAAGAAAAGAAACCAAAAGGATGGTGGGAGTGTAAACTAGTTCCACCATTGTGGAAGTCAGTGTGGCGATTCCTCAGGGATCTAGAACTAGAAATACCATTTGACCCAGCCATCCCATTACTGGGTATATACCCAAAGGACTATAAATCATGCTGCTATACAGACACATGCACACGTATGTTTATTGCAGCACTATTCACAATAGCAAAGACTTGGAACCAACCCAAATGTCCAACACTGATAGACTGGATTAAGAAAATATGGCACATATACACCATGGAATACTACGCGGCCCATAAAAAAAGATGAGTTCATGTCCTTTGTAGGGACATGGATGAAGCTGGAAACCATCATTCTCAGCAAACTATCGCAAGGACAAAAAACCAAACACCGCATGTTCTCACTCATAGGTGGGAACTGAACAATGAGAACACTTGGACACAGGAAGGGGAACATCACACACTGGGGCCTGTTGTGGGGTGGGGGGAGGGAGGAGGGATAGCATTAGGAGATATACCTAATGTAAATGACGAGTTAATGGGTGCAGCACACCAACGTGGCACATGTATACATATGTAACTAACCTGCACGTTGTGCACATGTACCCTAGAACTTAAAGTATAATAAAAATATATATATATAAAATAAATAAATAAAATAAACAAATAAATAAATAGAAAAGAAACCAACAGGAAAGCGAGCCTGGCGCAAGAGGCGAGGTGCCTCCTGCCCACCACTCAAGGCACATGTCCTCAGCTGATCCTCCTTGAGCCCCAGGCACCACCAGGATGGCAGGGAAGGGACAGGCACTGCCGAGCTGGGAGCTGCTCAGGCTCTGTGGGGACCAGGCCAGCAGCTTGGGAGCCCTGGGCTGGGTCACACCGACCGCAGCACAGTTCCGAGACCCAGGCCAGGGTCTGTTGACCCGGCTGTGCCCCCGCCCACCTGCCCCCTGCCCCCCAAGCCCCAGGGGCAGCACATGGCACACAGTGAGGAGGCAGGGGCTGTCCTGACTTCAGTGGCACGTTCAGTATTAACCAGATGGAGAACACTGCACACACAATAAACCCAATCACACAGACAGCCCTAAGCCTTGGCTGCCCGGCCCAGTGGCGACCGTGGTGGCTGCGCTGACCTTATCTGCCATGACCACATCTGCCTCTCAGTTGCCAACCCTAGACCATGGCCATCATCCCCCTCCCCCAGCAGACAGAGGAGGACACAGCCCCTCACCTGCCCTGCCTGTCCGCTCCCCATCCGTGGCCCCACTGTCAGCTAGACTTTGCCTTTTACATGTTGAAGTCATTAGCATTGACATTAAGTGCTGTGAACCCTGAATCTGTCATCCTCTGCCCATCCCGAGGGTGACTCTGAAGCTCAGGAATCCTGGGGTGTGCCTCGGGGTGACACCGAGCTGGGGAATGTGCTCAGCCCGCCTGGAATTGCGCCCCAGGACCCTCTCCACTCGCCATCAGCTTCCAGTGGCATCCCAGCAGAGGGGCTTCCTGCCGCAATGCGCACTGCTCTAGACTGTCTTCCTAGGCTCCGGACTGTGTCCCTCGTGTGGCATCTGCCCTTATCAAATCGTCTAGACCTCCATCCCGGCCTTCCTGCTCTGCCCTCACTCTTGGTGCAGGGCTTGGCAGGGTCCAGAGCCCAAGGCCGGGTGTGCAGGGCCCTCAGTGCTTGTAAGGCATCCTGGCTGCTCCTCTGAGGCCACAGGCTGTCTCTCTTGAAGCTTTGGCCCCAGCCCTTGGCCCCTGTACTCCAGATGGCAGGAGGTGGGTTCCATCTACCCTGTGCTCGGCGCCTGCACTCACCTGGCTTGTACTGTGTGCCCACCTCCTCCGGAGCCCTGCCCTTCATCTCCCCTGTCCCCTGCCCTGGAGACCCTGTGCCTGGCTGGGGCCTGTGTGATGCTGATCTTTGTGCTGGTTTTTCTCTCTGTTTTCTCTCTTCTTAGAGATCCCAGCCTCACTTCGTTTCTAGTCTCTTTGTGGCTGGGTTTTCACAGCTGTCCAAGCATGTCTGGATGTCGCACTGAGTGTATTCAGTGGTGTCGGAAAGTCCTTCAGGTCAGATTTCCTGCTCATCCAGGGCTTCCTTCTCTCCTGCATGGGGCTGCTTTTCGAGCCACAGGGGCTGGGAAGAGGATCTGGGTAGCTGCCACTGCCCCTGGTCTGCTGTGGTGGAGCCGTTGCCTGTGGGGTCTCTCTCTGGAGGACAGTTTGGAGGAGTTCCATGGAGGCGAGGCAGGGATCAGCTCTTGCCCCATGGACCCTCAGAGGCTGCAAAAAGGTAGGTTTCACCCGGGCTGCCGCCAGCCACATCAGCCACATCAAGAGACGAGCTGGGAGCCGCTCAGGCTCTGTGTGAGCCGGGCCACCAGCTTGGGAGCTGGTTTGCTTATTCATTTCCATCACTTTCTTCACAGAAGAACAGGCTAGGGTCTCGCCGGGGAGGTGGGCCTCTCCAGACCTGCTTCACCTGTGCCCTCTGCTTCCATCTGCTCACCACTGCCCTGTCCCTGGCACCCCGCTGCCCCTTGGGCTGTCCTCTAGGCTGCCACCTTCCCCGCCCGCTGAGCCCGTCACCACTGCCGGGGTTGGTGGCATCTCTCCACTGTTGGTACCCTCAACTCTCCTGTCCCATTCTTGCACTGACAGCATTGCTTCGGTTTCTAAATACATTGATGTTTTCATGGCAGTGAGGTTTCAGGAAGCCTGGGGGGCGACTCCTGGTGTGTGGTGCTGATCCACAGTGCCAAGGCCCTCCCAACTCACATGAGGCCATGCCCCCAGCAAGAGCCCAGAAGGCACACTGGCTGCTCCTCACTTCATAGGTGGTGCCGCACCTCCAACAGAGCCTGGCTGCGGGCATGCAGATCGCTGGGAGGTGAAACAGCACAGAAACACGGCCTTCCACAGCGGGAGGAGGGCCATCGAGACCACGGCCCTCAAGGGGTCAGATGGGAAACGGGACAAATAAAGAACTGTCCCGAGTGGCCTTTGGCGTGGATTTGATGCTGACCCTTTCTCTGGTGTGTCCAGACACTAAGAATTCATCTCAAGCCACATCAGGATGCTGAACTGATGGGAGCTGAGTTGAGAGCCCCTAGAGAGGCCGATGCCCGCCGTAGGCCTGCTCCCCTGGCGTCTCTCCAGACCCCCAAAGTGGCCGGGGCTCAAGGGTGAAGAGACACTTCCCTGTACACAACGCACTGCCCAGTTCACACGGCCTGGATGTAAAGGGTGCCTTTCTGGTAAGAACAGATACTACACTTGATCTTAGCCAAGAAGCGATAAGGGGCCTTTCTGAAAGGCAAGACCTGCCACCAGTCCTATGGTGCCACAGTCACAGGTGAGATGGCACACTGTTGCGAATACCAATGATCATTATAAGAATGATGGCATAGATTATAAGCAGTTTACTAACAGCAATTATAAAAACTGGGAAGAGAGTCATAGTGACTGGTGATTAGGATAAACGCTATAATACATTTTAAAGTGGAGGGTTCTGCTGCAGTTCAATTGGCAAGAAGAGGCTCCTCAGTGCCTGGTATACATGGGGTAGTTATGTGCCGAGGCCAAGAGCAGTGAGAAGCCTGGCTCTCCGAGGAGACGGCTGGCTGGAGGGTTCATCCAAAGACAGTCTCCAAAACTAGGGCTCAGAGGCTATGGACCTGAAACCACTACTTGGGGGTGCAACAGTGGAAAACATTTACAGCAAATGCTTTAGCTGCTGCTGCCTGAGGCAGTGCATAATAGCCGGGGCAAACAAGAGACTAAACAAGAAGCTCAGGAGAGGCTGGAAAATCAGATGTCCACAAAGGCTCTGGAAAGCTCTGGCACAGTCCTGGGAATCTGGAAGACCATGGGTGTGTGCCGGGCTGTGAAAATCCCAGAGAGAGAGACCTGAGAAGGCCCTGATCTCTCACCTCTGGCTGACCTTGAGGCTCTGAGCAAGCAAGATGTGAAGGAGAAAGAGCTGTCAACTACCTGGCTGAGTGTTGATGAAAAACATGAATGACGACACATTTACAAAGCTCAAAAAGCTCCCAATGGAATAAATTCACAGTGATTCACACGAAGACAGATTATAATCAAACTGTCCAAAGCCAGGGACCAACAGAATTTTGAAAAGAAAGTGAAGAGACTCATCATATACCAGCTGGCTTCGCATCAGAAGCTTTGGCAGCCAGAGGACACTGAAATGACACATTCAAAGTACAAAAGAATTCTATATTCAGCAAAACTATCCTTCAAAGATGAAGGAGAAATGAAGACATTCCCACATAAAAAATGAGGGAGTTCATCACTAGTGAGCCTTCCCTACAGGAAATACTAAGGGTAGGCCTCCGGGATGGCATGGAAGGACACTAGACAGTAACACAAATCCACATGAAGAAATAAAGAACTCCAACAAAGGTAACAACATCGATAAATATAAAAATGTGTACCAATGTACACATTTAATACAGCTTCATTCTAATGGGCAAAGTTTTTGTATACAACTGAAATTAGTTTGGTAATACACTGTTTTCAGTTAGGATGCTAAATGCAATTCTAAGGACAACCACTTAAAAATAACTTTTAAAAGAAGTGTTAAAGAACCAACAAGGGAATTAAAATGGTGTACCCACAAATACATTTTGCTTTAATAGGAGGCAGTTTCTGTATACTATTGAAATTCATTTGGTACTAGACTGTTTTCAGTTAGGATGCTAACTGTAATTCTAAAGCCAACCACTTAAAAAATAACTTTAAAAAACAGAGTTAAAGAGGCTGGGCGCGGTGGCTCATACCTATAATCCCAGTACTTTGGGAGGCCGAGACAGGTGGATCACCTGAGGTCAGCAGTTCGAGACCAGCCCGGCCAACATGGCAAAACCCCATCTGTACTTAAAAATACAAAAATTAGTCAGGCGTGGTGGTGAGTGCCTGTAACCCCAGCTACCCGGGAGGCTGAGGCAGAATTGCTTCAACCCAGGAGGTGGAGGTTGCAGTGAGCTGAGACTGCACTCCAGCCTGGGTGACAGAGCGAGACTCCATCTCAAAAAGAAAAAGAAAAATACGTTCACACAAAAGACTTACGATGTACATAGCCAAAAAGTAGAAACCCACATCTACCAACTACAACAAAATGTGGGATATCCACACAATCAAATATTATTCAACCATGAAAAGGAATGAACTACATGGATAACCCTTACAAAACTTTATGCTCAGTGAAAGACACCAGTCACAAAAGGCCACACATTGTTATTCCATTTATAGGAAATGTCCAGCACAGGCAAATCCATAGAGACAGACAGCGTCTCTATGACAGTGGTTGCCAGGAGTTGAGGCTAGGGAGGGATGGGGAATGGCTGCTAATCATATGGGGTTTCTTCTGGGGGTGATAAAAATGTTCTGGACTCAGATAGTGATAAGAGGATGGTTACACAACTCTGTGAATATCCTAAAGACCATGAAATTGTACACTTTTAAAAGGGTAAATTTTATGTTATATGAACTTGAATTCAGTAGAGCTGTTATTTAAAAAATAAATTAGAAGAGGTAGAAAACTGGCTTTACCTTCTTTCTTTGGGTTTATTTTGCTGTTTATTTTCTAGCCCCCTGAAACGTGGTATTAGTGCAGGGATAGCAAAAAAAAAAAGGAATAGAATGGAACAGAGGAGAACCCAGAAACCCACACATAACATATGGATACTTAATAATTACCAAGAGTGATGGTATTGCAGATCAATGAGAGAAAGAGTGATTTCCAGTCAATGGTGCTGCGACAAATGTGTATCCATATAGGATACGAGGAAACTGGATCCCCACCTCACTCCATATGCAAAAATCAACTCTGAGAAGATGGCCCTCATTATAAGCCTTTTCCCATTTTCCTTAAGTAACTTTTTTTTTTTTTTTTTTAAGACAGGGTCTGGCTGTCACCCAGGCTGGAGTACTGTGGCGTGACCTCAGCTCACTGCAACTTCCCTCTCATGGGCTCAAGTGATCCTCCCACCTCAGCCTCCCAAGTAGCTGAGACTGCAGGTGCACGCCACCATGCCCAGCTAGTTTCTGTATTTTAGTAGAAACGTGGTTTTGCCATGTTGCCCAGGCTGATCTCTATGCTCAAAGTGGTTCATCCTCCTCTGCTTCCCAAAGTGCTGGGATTACAGGCATGAGCCACCGCGCCTGGCCCAAGTTACATTTTTAATTGTCAAATACTATTCCATTCAGGCATTTGTTATCATTTGCTTCACATTTTCTATTACTGAGTTATCTCAATTTTCTACGATGAGCGTTTTCATTTGATAATCCGCTGAAAGCATTTTTTCAAGTGAAGGAAAACATGCATTAGAAAATGAAAAACAAAAGAAGGGGCCGGTCCCCAAATGCTCCTCCAGGGCTAGTGGAGCACAGAAAAGGAAGCCTGTGCGTGGGGCAGCCCCAGGCAGAGGGCCAGGTGGGCAGCCACGTACCTAGACTCATGACGGAGCTGCTGCCACCCCAGCAGATCTGCTCGCCTTGCTGCTTCTTCACGGTCTCCACGGCCTTCGCAGAGGTGTCAGCAACTGCCATGACCACTTGCAGCAGCTGGGGAGGGAGGGAGGGAGGGAGGGAGGGAGGGAGGGAGCGAGCAGGCACTAAATGCCGCTGGTCTCACGTAGCGACGGCATCTCCTGCTTCCCACCCCCACTCACACTGATCAGGTGGCATTCACCTGAAAGACAGCCAAGGGTGAGGGACAGAACTCCCAGCGGGGAAGTCACCAATCAGAGTTCTCGGACCTAAGTCCCCTCTTCCTGGCCCAGTGGGGATGCCACACTCTCATGTCGCTCTGGCAACCCTCGATGCCTAGGGACATGCCAGCCAGCACTGCGTGTCCTCCCAGCCCCAGCAATTGGCAAGGGGGGAAAATAAATGTCCCAAGAAAAATGGACAGGAGAGGGCTGTGGCCTCACCATCCCTGATCGAGGGGTCTCACAGGACCAGCCAGTCAGAGGTTGGAAGGCTCGGAGCCTCTCGCTTAGAAAACCAAAATGAACATCACGGAATCCTTGAGCCAAGGGCAGAGTTGCGCACGTGGGAACTGTAGTCATCGTAACTAAAGCCGGCTTTTTAGGTTGGCCTCTGGGGATCTCACATGTGGAACAACGAAACAAGCAAACATTGACGAGCCCACTTCCTCTCATCCTGTCTGAGCAGGCTCATGGGCAGACAGGCAGGCATTTGTCTGCCTGTCTGGCACAGTTCTTGGTCATCCACAAGAATGAATGGACCTTGCTATTTTGGAGCGTAACGTGACAACAGTGCGGCCAACACAGGAACAGCACCTGGAGGCTGGGACACGCAGGACCCCACACCGGATCTGGGCCTAGCTAGTGCCTGCTAAGGTGGGCAGGTCCAAGGACCAGAAGCAGCACCTCCCCAGCCCACTGAGGGGCCCAGAGCCCTGCCACGCCACTGGCCAGCAGGGAGCCCAGCCCAGCCCCTCCCAGCCCCTGGTCCTGCCCTGTGGTCCCTTGTCAGGGGCTGCTGAGGCCCCTGAGCCCAAGCAGGATATAAGCTCTCAGTCTGAGTGAACAGGGGAGGGGGCGGTTAGAGGGGAGGGGAAGGGCACCCTTACTTGGCTGTAGGAAGTCAGATTCTGGTGCGTGGCCTGGATGATGGGGCCGCACGGGTGGAGGTCAGGGCCTGGGCGCTGGCAGCACTCGCCCAGCTCGTCGTCGTAGACTTGGAGAAAAGCCAAGATTAGCTGGTGGAAGTCGGAAGTGACCAGACGCAGCTTCTGGTCTAGGGTGCTGATGTCGGCTGCGCCCGCAGCAGCCCCTTGCTCATGCTGTGCAAAGTACTGCAAAGCCAGAGGCAGAGTCCCTTGAGGCTGCCCTGCCCACCAGCCAGGCTGCCACCGGCCCTCACCTCAGACACTGCACACCCAGGGCGAGGAAGAAAGCTTTCAGAAACAGGGACACAGGGGAGCTGTACCGAGCGACTCAGGCCAGAGCAAGACCTTCTGGCTCCCAGCCTCAGCCCCCTCACTCACTCTCCTGTGGGCCCCGGTCTCCTCCGCAATCAAACAGAGGCCAGGCCAAGGGCTGCCAGGAGGACCACGTGCGGCAAGGCACATGGCAATGTGCTCAGGCGTGGGCACCACCCAATACCTGAGGCTGATCCCTTCCCCCAGCCACGGGACCCACCTCTCACCTCCCCGCGGACTGAGCACCACAGTATTCTAGAACATGTCAGGCCCGGTGCACAGGCAACCTCGCCTAAGCCTCACGTGCTGAGGGAGGTGACAAAGCAGGGCCTTGCCTCCAAGCAACCCCCTCCCAGGAGCTAGCACCCTCACCTCCGTTCTAAGCGCGTGCAACTTGGCAGCACTCTCCTGCAGCTGCCTGGCAAGCTCCGCCAGCTTCTCCTCCTCCTCGGACTTGGCAGAGGCACTGGCCCTGCAGGGAGAGAAAGGGAACACTTGCAACTCACCGCTGCCAGGGGTGTCTGCAGTAACAGAACCAAGCAGCCTGGGGCTGGGACAGGAGGCCAGGGTGCTGCCACTGAGGCCTCCAGGAGCACGTACCACTGCCAGTCATCACTCTGCTTGTTGAGGAGGGGCTGCATGTCCAGGGGCCACGGGTCGCACTCTGGATTCAGGAGCATCTGCAGGTGGGGGCTAGAGAAGAGCTCCCCCAGCAAGGCCTCGTTCTTCTCCCTGGTGTCCTCGAAGTGCTCCATCAGGCTGCAAAGGCAGCCCCCAGGGCCACACCGTCACAGGCCAGAGCACTCGCCCAGCAGGCCCTCAGCCCCACAGGGAAGGCCCCAGAAGCACATCGGGGCCAGGCACAGAGGCCAGGACAAGCCCCACCGCGCAGAATCCTGCCCCACCTGTCTGCCCTGGCTCCTCCATTTTTGCCCGCCTACCTACCCACCCATGGAGCACCCTAGGTGCTCACCCTCCTCTGTGCCTGGCCCGTCTGCTCTGAGGCCCACATCCCACCTTCATACTCACCCCCGGGGCCTTGGGCAACAGCCAGCACCCTTGGGACACAGCTGCCCCTTGCCCGTATGCTGCCCGGCCCCTGATTGGCCAGCCAGATCCCCAAGTGGGGTGTCACACCCCAGCCAGCATCAGAGGGGGAGTGACACCCCAGCCCCTACCAGCTCCAGAACTAGGACCAAGAGAAGCCCGTCAATACTGCCCACCTGGGCCATCCACACCTTTACCTCGAGCAACTGGAGCACCCAATGGTCAGGCTCCGGATGGTATCGAGCAACTGGTCCATGAAGTGTAGCTGCTTCTGGGCGCAGGCACAGCCCTGGGCAAGGAAGACCACAGACATTCACTGGCTCCATCTAAGCCAGGCCAAGGCCAGCTGTCCCCAGTGCCCCTGCCCCCACATGCCACCCATGCCAGGAGCCAGGGGAAAGGAGGGGCCTGGCCCATCAACGACCCTGTGCCTGCCCAGCAATGTCTTGGACTAGCAAGTGCTCCCTGCCTGGTCCCTGCCTTGGGCTGTAATGATGCTGGGACCACACGCCAGAACGGGCTGAGCACTGCAGAAACATACAGGAGCATATGTGTCTGTCGTGCAGCCGACAGCATGGCTTGCTGGGTGGGCAGGCAGCACACAGCAGGGCCTGCTATGACAGAACACAGCCCACAGGGACACCTCCAGGACAAGGCCTGTTCTCCTCCAAGGATCGCCGTCCCAGCTGGGAACAGATGAAGCCGACAGGATGGGGCTGAGAGGTGGCCTGCTTTCCAGCCAGGGGACTGGCGTTCCAGCCCGGAAGGCCCAGGCTCCAGGAGCAGCAGCTCCTGCGGGGCTGAATTAGTCCCCCACTCGCCGGAAAGGTGAGTGAGATACCCATGGGAGCCACCCAGCCAGAAGCTCAAGGCTTCCGGAAGCACAGCTCTTTCCTCCTTCCAGAAAAGGGAAGAGGATCGCTGAGGAGCCCCAGGACCTGAGAGGCTACGCCTGCTCCAGAAAGCCCCCAGCCAGGCCTACTTCTTGAGCTCTGAACATCCTAACCACGTCAAAAGGGTCAACTCCATGGCATGAAATGCCACCGGGAGTGCCTTGGCCCTTTCACTGTGGCCTGTGCCTTCAGCGCCAACTTGTCACACAAATGCTCCTTGGCGGGCTTGGGGAAGCTGCCAGAGCAGCTGGCTGAGCCAGTCCGTTCTGGTGCATTCCTCAGAAAAGTGTGTGGCAGGCGGGGGCAATGATAAGGTAAAATTGGCAACACTGCCAATAGCATAGAGCCTGGGCATCACCATGACATCCAACTGAGGCAGATTCAGGAGCACAGGTGCGAGAAGCTCAGGGCACCCAGGACAGGGGCGATGGCACTGGGAGGGCTCACTGCCTGCACGGTGGTGCTGACCACAGTCATGTGCTCCAAGGTGATCTGGGGGCAGCGGGCTGCCACGTCCCCACAGCACTGACCTGGCCTATCTACATGCTGCACAGCAATGGAATCATACACTACCAAGCATGAGGCTGGCGAGGATCACGCGTGTCCCAGCGCAGATGAGTAGTTGATTTCCTTTTTATTGCTAGTTAGTTTATACATTCACCAGCTGATGGACATTTGGGCTCTTTCCACTTTCAGGCCATTAAGAATAACACTTCTATGGACGCTCAGGTACAGGATTTTGTGTGCATGTATATTTTCACTTCTCCTGGGTGGACAGCTGGGAGTGGAACTGCTGGGTCACGGGGTAACTGTGTTGACATCTTTCAGGAACTGCCAGACTTTTCCATAACAGCTGCACCATTTTATATTCCTACAGCAATGCAGAAGGGTTCCAATCTCTCCTCATCCTGGCCAACACTGGGATTTTCCTTTTTTTTCTTAAACAACAGGGTCTTGCTCTGTCGCTCAGGCTGGAGTGCAATGGTACCATCATAGCTCACTGAAGCCTTGAACTCCTGGGCTCTATGTGATCCTCCCGCCTCAGCTTCCCAAGTGGCTGGGACTACAGCAGTGTGCCATCATGTCTGGCTAATTTTTTACTTTTTGTAGAGACGGGGTCTTACGATGTTGTCTGGGCTGGTCTTAAACTCCTGAGCTCAAGCGATCCTCCTGCCTCGGCCTCCCAAAGTGCTGGGATTACAGGCATGAGCCACCAGGCCCGGCCTCCTTTTCTTTTTTGATTCTAGCCATCCTAGTGTGTGTGAAGTGGCATCTCATGATGATTTTGCTTTGTGTTCCTCTAATGGCCCGTGATGCTGGCCATCTTTGCTTGTGCTTCTTGGCCATTTGTTCATCTTCTTCGGAGAAACGTCTATTCGGACACTTTGTCCATTTTTGAACTGGGTTTTCTGTCTTTCTTATTGAGTTGTAAGGGTTGTTAATAGATTCGGGATACAAGTCCCTCATCAGTCATGTGATTTACAACTATTTACCGCCTTTCTGTAGGTTTTTCTGTTTCTTCACTTTCTTCATGGTGTCCTTTGGTGGACCAAAGTGTTTCATTTTAATGAAGTCCAATTGATCTGTTTTTTCTTTTGTCGCTTATGTTTTTAGTGTCAAATTGATGACTTTATAAAACATCACTATGAACACCTGGATTTGGGCATACGTGAAGGGTGCCTGTCTACTGCAGCCCCTATGCTTACGAGGCTCCCACTGGCCCCTCTCTGACTATTGCTAGTTGGCTCCTGAGTCCCTCGGACGTGACCCAAGTCTTGGGTGACTGCTGCTCTCTGTGTTTCCGCCTGCATTACAGCCGGGGTGTCATATTGTTCTAGGCATTTTCAGGGCACAAGATAAGGAAATACATATATATCCCTTAATGTAAAAATATATGCGGAGGACGGGCACAATGGCTCATGCCCGTCATCCCAGCACTTTGGGAGGCTAAAGTGGGAGGATTGCCTGAGCCCAGGAGTTCGAGACCAGCTTGGGCAACATGGCAAGACCTCCTCTCTACAAAAATTTTAAAAATTAGCTGAGTGTGGTGGCGCATGCCTGTGACCCCAGCTACTCAGAGGGCTGAGGTGGGAGGATCGCTTGAAGCCCGGGGGCTCATGCTGATATTCCCAATTAAAACTCAGGACTACAAGGGTTGACCCTACCTAATGATCTTAAATCTGTATCTCCTTCCTCCCTCCTCCAACTCCCAGGTCTCAATAATACCAATGGAATTCTCCAATTCCTTTGATTGTTTATCCATAACAAGGAATGCAGTCCTGCTAAGTGCTGCCGCAACATGGACAAACCTTGAAAACCTTGTGCTCAGTGAGGAAGCCAGGCACCAAAGGCCACACATTCCAGCATTCCACTCCAATGACATACAGACAGATGGTAACTCAGTGGCTGCCAAGGCCTGAGGGGAATGGGGAGTGGCTACTCAGTGGTTCAGGGTCTTTTGGGGGTGATGAAAATGTTGTGGAACTGGATAGAGGTGGTGGTCATACAACACTGTGAATGTACTGAAGACCACTAAATCGTACGCTTTAACGCGGCTTAAAAATTGAGGACGAAGTATCAGTTTGGGAAGATGAACAAGTTCTGCGGCTGGATGGTGGTGATGGCTGCACAGAACCGTGAATGTGCTTATGCCCCTGGACCGCACACTTAAAAATGGTGAACATGATACAATTTAGGTGATGTGTATTTTACCATAATTTTTTAAATTAAAAAAAAAAAAAAGCAGCAGCGAGCTCCCACAGGGCCTGTTAGGAAATTGTTTTTCATGACTGACATGGCAGATTTTACGTAAAGTGCACTTTGCCACAATGCCAATGTGGAAATATAAAGCAAGCGCAGTGCTCCCACGGCTGGGCAGAATGTATGGGGCAGGTGCTCGCAGGCTCTGAGAAGCGAATGTCAGCAGGTGGGTCAGGGAGGAACACCAGGATTCCGAGTTCTCCTGCAGACTGGCAGGGAGCTGGCCGTGCCACCACCATCACGGAAGTGGGTGGTTTATGTCTGGAGGACAGGAAAAGGGAGCCCCAGGGAACTAGAAAGTATCCAAAAGACAGTGGAGAGGAAACGGCTCAAGAAAGTGACCCCACAAATCTGTTTACAATGCCTGGGCTCAGGCCCACCTGTGCACAAGTGGATCTGATCTTGGTGAGCCCAGCAAAGTCTCCCAGGCTGACCACTGGGTGGCGCACACACAGGGGGGACCCGAAGAGCCATGCAAAGGCTGCAGAAACAGAGCTGATGCTGGAAGGAACGGCAGGCAAGAGGCGGGAGGCGGCTGAACTTGCTCCTTAAACCTAAGCAGGTCAAGTGCCTGCTAAAGCACAAATATGTATACAAATATAAATTGTGTGGAGAATACATTTTCCCAGAGCCAAAGTAATAGGCAAAATGTCGAGAGAACTACTTGGCACACGGAGAACCACGGACTCTCAACCACAGGAGAGAAGACTCACTGGATATGGACTTTGGGTGACAATGTGTCCATGCTGGTTCATGGACTGTGACAAAGGAGCCCCCGTGTGCAGGGTGTCGTGTCCATGGCGGGAGAGGCTGTGTATGTGTGGGGCAGGGGGCCTGTGGAGACTCTCTGTACTTTCTGCTCAATTTTGCTGTGAACCTAAAACTACCCTAAATTATTAAGTCTACTAATTAAGAAAAAAAACAAAACAAAACAAAAAAAAAACCTCACTGGACAAGTGACCCAATTAAAAAGTGGGCAAAGGACATGAATATGGAAATTTTTCCAAAGCATATACAGAAATGGCCAACAAGCTCACAAAAAGACGCTCCGTATCACTGGTCATGGGGAAATGCAAATCAAAACCATAATGAGATGCCACCCCACACCGAGCAGGGTGGCTAGAATCAACAAGACGGATGCCAGCAAGTGCCAGCGAGGACGAGGAGAAACTGGAGCTCTCCCGCGCTGCTGCTGGAAAAGGAAGATGGTGCCGCCGCACTGGAAAACAGTTTGGGGGCTCCTCGAAAAGTTAAGCACAGAGTGACCCTGTGACCCAGCAATTCCACTCCCAGCTATACACCCAAGAGGATGGAAAACACGTGTTCAACCAGCCAGTGTACATCTCACATGGATTCACTGACGTCTTATGTCTCCCTAAATCGTAGAAAACCAGCTGTAGCCCAACCACCTTGTGCACATGTTCTCAGGACCTCCTGGGGCTGTGTCATAGGCCATTGGTCACGTGAATAAATCTCTTCAGATATAAAAAAAAGAAAACGTGTTCAGTCAAAAATCATATGCAAGAATGTTTATAGTAGCATTACTCATAATCATCGAGTGAAAACAATTATTTCAAAATTTAGAAACGAGAAGGTGGGTGCTGGAGTTTCTTTGACCTACCGCAGGGTAGATGAGGGACCTCGGGAGAAACTCTCGGGCCACAAGGGCTTGGGAGCCAGGCGCCGGGATGAATGAAGAATGAAGTCATCAACCAAGGACAGGACACTTTCCATCCCACTGGTCATCAGAAGCCAGAGATCTGCCCCTCCCTGCACGGCTGCCCTCTCCCCTGCGCCCCAGGGACAACCAGGTTCTACCCAAGAGAATCCCAGCAGTTCTGGCCCCAGGGATGCCTAGAGAAGCAGCCTGCCCGGGCACCCAGCCGGCCCCAGGGCCTGAGGAACCTCAAAGGCACTAGGGGAGGAAAATCCTCCCACCTCAGCCAGCACCATGAGGTTCCCTGCCCAGGGCAGAAAGCGTGCGTGCCGTCTGCAGAGCAGACAGAGGCCCTCTTACCTTGAGGAGCTCCTGGTCATCTGGCGCACACAGCATCAGCTCGTGGCCCAGCTTCGTCATTTCTGTTGAAACACAAAGAGCCCATCATGGCAGGCACCTGCCCAGACAGCAGGGGACAGCAGACACCCAGGAAGCCCAGCACCCACAGACTAGACTGGGTATAGGAGACCAGGGTGGGCCAGGAGGCAGGCACCCAGGTGCCAGCGCTGCCTCTTGCTGAGTGGCCCCACCCCTCTCTGGGCATCAGCTTCCTCGTCTGAAAATTAGGAATTGTACCCAATGCTCTCCCAGGTTTGGGGTCACTCACTCTGGCTTTGAGCAGAAGCCAGCAGCTGCCTGAGGAGTGGACAGGGGTCAGTGAACCTCTACAGTGCACTGTCTGCCACTCTCTCCAAGACCTCACAAGGCCAAAGCAAATGGACTCACCGCTCCCATCTGGCCATGTCCTAAAGGACCTTCGTGCCATCATCTGCTATCACCCTGCCAGCAGCCCTGGGGGTGGAAGACCTTGTTCCATTTCATGCATGGGGAACCTGGCGCCGTGCACACTGCAGACTATCCAGCCACATCTGCCAGGGTGCCCAGGGCATTTTCTGAGTAACTTGGAGCCAGAAAGCCTGGGGCCGATGCCAGACCTGCCCCTCCACCTAACCCTGGAGGGTTTGTTGCAAGAAGTAAGCAGAGAGTCTGTGGGGAAGCACTCAGTAACCCCAGAACCACCATATAAATGCCAACTGCATGCCTAGGCAAGCCTGTTCCACCACTGCCCTTAACCCCACATCCTCAAGTCCTCCCTGACCCCTCTCTTCCTCTCAGCGAGTCCAGCCAACTCTATAAATCCAGATCTGGCCAGCGCTGCCTCCTGCACTGCCTCTCCAAACTTTCACCTGGACCACTCACTGCAAGAGCCCCACACCGCTCTCCCTGCCTCTTCCCCGGGCACCCTGTTCCCAGCACAGTGGGCCAGGGGTGTCGTTACAGCCAAGAGCAGAACTCGGCCTTCCTCGGAGTCAAAGCCCACGTCCTTCTGGGGCCCACATGGCCTGGCCTGATCTGGCCCGTCCCCTCCCAACCTCACTCCTTGCCCTGCCCTGCTCTCCAGCCACACCAGCCTCCTTCTTGTGCCTCCAAGCTGCCAGGCACAGCCCACCTGGGGCCCTGTGCGCATGCTCTTCCTCTCCGCACATGCCGCGCTGGCTTCCGCCCCTCCTGCCATCTTATGTCAAGACAGCACCACCCTTTCCCCAAGCCCTGCAGGACCCTCAGCCCTCAGCTGGCTGTTCCCAGTGCTTCTCGCTGGCAGGTGCATGAACAATTCTCCCACCCTCTGGCCCTGTCTCTCCCCGCTAGCACGCAAGCGCCACGAGGGCAGTGGAACTCACTGCTGCACCCCAGCACCAGGAACAGCGCCTCGCATGTGGTGGCTGCTCCTTAACCATTCGTCGGATGAATTCCTGAACTATCCTCACACCCTACTGGTCCTGGTCTCTCCCACCTGCCCTCTGACAAGCCTGACACTCAGTATATTCCCATGAGGTAGGCAAGGCTGGGTTTCATCCCCACTTGACAGGAGAGGAAACAGGCTGGGAATGGCGGTGTCAGGGCTAAGGCTGGGCTGGGTCGGGTCACACATGTGTTGGTGTGGGTCAGAGAATCTGGAATGTACCAGACACGGCAGCTCCAGGGAGAAGGGCAGTGCCTCTGTGTGGCCCAGGCCAGCCCACCGGCTGCTCTAAAACAACACCTCCTTCTTCTGGCCCACTTCAGCACAGGAAGAACTGGCCCCAGATAACTCATGTGGCAATGCCAGCTGGGGCACGGATCAGGACTCCAGGGTCCAGCTTATCTACCCTGGAGTGGCCAGAACAGACACAGGCCCATGAAAAATTTGACCTTTGACATTCCACCAACTTCTAGAGAGATCACCATGAAGATGAAAAGTTAGCCACCAACTTGGGGACTGCAGTTTTGCTCACCTTTATCCAACATTCATTACCAGGTTAAGCACGGTTTCTACCAAGAAATGATAGAAAGGAGGTTATAAGGCAAGCTCCGCTGGAGAGCAGCAGGTGCCCCTAGAAATGCCACCTGTAGAGAGCGTGTCACACACCACTGACACAGGGAGACGGAACCACTGCTGGCATCGGCAAAAATCTCTGTCTCTGGCCACCAGCGCTGCAGGGACTGATGTGCTCTAGGTCCCTGCGAGAGGAGTTCTCCCACCTGCCATGCCTAGGGAAGGGTGGGGTTCAAGAAGGCTCTAGCAACATCCACACAACATGCACCACCTAAAAGAAAACGTTGGTCCAATGGAACATGCACCACCACTCCATAAGGAGGCTGTGGACAAGCTCAGAATGGACCAAGATTCCACCTACCTTGGATCTTCACCTCTGTTGGGACCCCTTTCAGTGAGCTGAACCTGTCCTGCAGTGAGGGCCAGACCCTGCAGGGAAACAGCAGAGCTGGTCAGGCCGGAGACAGCCAGAGAATCCCCCTGGGCCCTCTATACGCGCTGGAAGAAGTGAATTCCTGTGCACGTGCTCAACGGCACGGAGCGGCTCACTTTAAAGTGGTTACTTCTGTGTCACGTGGATTTCATTTCCATTAATTATTAGGGAAAGAATATTCCAGGAAGTTTACCTCGGAAATCTGGATACAGAAATGAATCTGGATACTGAAATGAAAATTCTTCTCAAGACCAAAAAAAAAAAAAAAAAAAAAAAAGATGGCTGCAGCAGAGGCAGAGAGGGAAGCTGCCAGCACTCAGGGCTCTTTCTCGAAATGGCGCAGCGGGTGGGTTTTGAGGGCTGGCCCCGGGCTCCTGGCACCCTCCCCGGCCTCGCCTGGGTCGGCATCAACTGCTCCAGGGTGGAAAACTTTCTTCCCACCCGGCCCTCTGCAGAAAAGGCTTGTGAGGCCTGCATTCAGTCATGTGGGGGCTCCTGCCGCAACAGAGTCTGTGGTCACAGTCGAGGCTCATCACCTTGGGCACGGTGAAGGCTTGCCCTTGACTGCAGCACACAGGGGCCGCTCAGAAGCATGTCACCTTAAAAGCCATCTGGTGGGCAAAACCAGATCCACATGCACAGCGCATGGAAGGCAGGAAGTCCCACGACACCCAGACATGCACCACAGGTGACACACGGCTCAGCCCTCCACTGGGTCTCCTCCTTCAGGGGAGCACAGCCCAAGCACTGCATCCCCAGTCCCAAGCCCCATGCCTCAAGCCCGGTATGACACTGAGGCCCAGAAACATCACTCCGGCCGCTGGGGCCACAGGCTCTTACCCGGGAGCCCCAGGCACCTGCCACCACAGCAGCCTTTCATAAACAAGAAGGAGTCGCTTTCCACCAGGCTGCCAGAGCCTGGCTACACCTCACCATTGCCATCACTCTAGGAGCCTGCTGACTCGTGTGGTGGGAAAGGGCTGGTGGCTGTTCCCTGGAGAGGCCACACTTGCCCCAGAACTGCAACAGAGATCGGGCTGGGCTTGGCTGCCTCCACAGCACCACCCACCTCTGTGACTTATTAAGACAACCGTGGGTTCTGCGCAAGCGGGGTTGGGGAAGGAAGGGGGAGGCCAGCAGGCTGGGCTCTGCCAGCGGGGTTGCCGAGAACATCTCTGAGCACAAGGCTCGGAGGAGCAGAGGGCACTCACCCAGCACTGTGCAAGGGCGGGCACAGTAAACCCTGAACACACTCAAAACCCACGCTGCAGAAGCCCCAGTAGCCAGACTCAGTAAGGGCTGTCACTCAAGTCACCGCACCGTCACAGCAGAGGGCAGAGCAGGAACAGAAAATGCTGGAGGCCTTGGAGGCCCCAAGGAAAGCCACAGGGCCTTGACCTCCACAATCCAGGGGGCTCCATGAGCTCTGCCCCAACCCACACCAAGGACCAACACTAGGTGCAGCTTCCAGGTTCTACTGGGAGGAGATGAAAAGGCGGCCCTAAATGGGGCTGACAGGGTGCGGTCACGTACAAAGAAAGGCAATGGGAAATTCACAGGAAAACTCCCATCCATCTGATTCTCCTGTAGGACCCTCAAAAGGCCTAAGGAATTCTCGCCAACCTGAAATCAGACAACGTCATCGTATGCTCCCTGGCAGCTTTTTCAAAGGATTCGGTTTCTGGTATTTACAGAAGTACTACAGGTTGAATATCCCTAATCTGAAAACCTGAAATGCTCCAAAATCCTAAACTTTCTGATCGCCGATATGACGCTCAAAGGAGATGCTCACTGGAGCATTTGAGATTTCGGATTTTCAGATTAGGGACACTCGACCAGTATAATGCATATATTCCAAAATCCGAAGAAATCGAAATCTGAAACACTTCTGGCCCCCAGACATTTTGGATATGGGACACTCAACCTGTAGAAGCATCTGAGGGGCGTGGCTTTGGCCTCCTACCCGTCCCTCTCTGGCCAGATGACCCCAGTTCCCCAAGTGCCCCCAGCTTCCACCTGAGTCAGGCAAATCTGCGCCCCCTCCCACAAGAGCCTCCTCCTGGGAGCTCGCTCAAGACCCTCACACTCCACCCAGCCATCTCCAGTCCTGCCTCACCTCCCAGCCTCCCAGGTTCCCAGGCCAGGGGCTGGTCCCTCCAGGGCCAGTAGTGGCTGCCAGACAAGCCATCTGCCACTCAGCGCAGGGCTCCTTCTGTCTTTCCCTGGGGTATTGGTCTCCCTGCCTGCAGCCATTGCCCTCCAAATCCATCTGCCACAGAGCACCCTGAGTCACCTTACCAAAATGCCAATCTCAGCACGTCGCTCCCCAGGTTCCACGCCTGCCCTGCCCAGAACATAAAGCTCAAAGGCCTTGGCACAGCATGCAAGGCCCTGAGGGAGCTGCCCTGAGCTGCCATTCCAGCTGCTGCTGCCCAGCTCTCTCTCCCACACCTCAACTCCCTGCTCCTGTCCAAACGAGCACCCCGCTGTTACCGTCCCCATCCCAGATCAAATGCCACCTCCTCCCTGCCAACATCCACAGCACCCAACTCAGACTGCAGTGCTGTGCATCATTTCTGCTGAACCCCAGGACTTGTACCCACTAAATACCCAGCTCCTGAGGACACCCAGTCACGTCTGCAGCGCGTGGAATGGCACACAGGTGCAGCCTGGAGAACCCCCCGACTGCACGGCCACACCATGCTGCGGCTCCCATACTAAAGAGCCGGAAATGACAGCAGGCCAAGAGTGCACCCACAGGTTGAGGGCTCCAGCAGGGGCAGGGTGTGCTCAAAGGCTGTGGGCATCCAGAGGGAAGCGGAATACATTCTGCCCTGGGAACAGGAAACATTTTAAAAGGAGACAGGACGTGTGAGTTGGGTCTTTGCGGGCTGTACAGGAGGACGTACGACATGCAGAGACTAGAAGGCCATTTCCAGGAGGGGGAACAATGTGAGCAAGAGCAAAAGGTTATGAAGCGAGGAGCTGCTGTGCTGAGCCCTGGGGAGAGGCCTGAGGAAGGGCCTAGAAGGCAGAGGCAGGAGACGCCTCTGGAACAGCAAGGGCTCAAACACAAAAACGCCTCCTCCTTCCTCTGGGGGCCTGTATCCAGCTGGGCGTCCTGCTGATGTCTCTGGTCCTGGCGGGCCAGACCGGCTGGATGCAGGTTGGCTCCCCACTGCTCTACTGCCAGGCTCCCGCCCAGGCCCCTTCCTCAAGCAGCAAGGGTAGGCAGGCCGCAGGCTGAGGAGGGGGAGGCCCGGGCCTGGACTCACGAGAGGCTCCTGTACCAACAGACTACAGCTGTTCCTGAGCATGGCCTGGGCACACACCCAATCCCACAGGAGCCTGTGCTCTGTGGGAGGCGGGGAAAGCCTTCTCCACTCACAGCTGTGAGGCAGTGAGACAGACCCTCAGCTCAGGGACTACGTCACCAGGGGAAGGATGTCTGCCCTGGGAATGGGACACTCTGGATCATTTCCTCCACCATCACTCAGGAAGTCACCCTGTCACCATGGGCTTCATAGGGTGCCAGGCACACACCATGCTACACCCTGGCCCAAAGGCACCAGAGGACTGGGAAACGGGTCACGGCACAGAAGCTGACAAGAGGTGACACTGCATGAGGACCACTTGGCCAGCTGAGACCCAGCCAGGAGCCCACGCCCTGGCCCTGCCTGTCACTCCTCCACTGGGAGACCAGAGACTGTTCATGCCTCCAGCCTGACCCTTGGCTTCCGGGTCTGAGAAGGAAAGGACTGGAATGGAGCATTTCTCAGGTGCCTGCCAGTCCTGAACCTCCAAACTCATAAGGCAAGGCAAACGCTGAGGGCAAGTTCAGCACTGCAGCAAAGGGGTGGCTGGACTAGCCCAGCACCGCCAGGGGCCACTTTGCCCCAAGTTTGATCATGCCTGTCACCAGTACTCCTTACCTACACAGCTGTTCTCACGAGGGTCCAGGCTAGGGGGTGGAGCCCTCTGGGAAGACAGCTACTCACAGTAACCACAAACCCCATCTTCCCCAGGTGGGGCTGGCTGGCGCCCATGCACACCCCAGGTGGGAAGAGGAAGAAACTGATGCATTACCGGGTACACATCCACTCTAGGATCTCCAAGCGGTACTCTGAGGGGCTGCACAGCAGTTCCTGAATTGTCTTTGGCTCTGTGATATACAGACCCTCGAGGAAGGGGCAGTTTAGGTCCTAAGCAAGGAAAAGGAAAGCAACATTCACTGAAAGTCCCAGTGTACATCATTTCATTTTATTTATTTATTTATTTTTGAGACGGAGTCTCACTCTGTCGCCCAGCCTGGATGGAGTGCAGTGGCATGATCTCGGCTCACTGCAGCCTCCACCTCCTGGGTTCCAGCAATTCTCCTGCCTCAGCTCCCAGGGTAGCTGGGGGATTACAGGCATGCGCCACCACGCCCGGACAATTTTTGTATTTTTAATAGAGACGGAGTTTCACCATGTTGGCCAGGCTGGTGTCAAACTCCTGACCTCAGGTATCTGCCCACCTCAGCCTCCCAAAGTGGTGGGATTACAGGCGTGGGCCGCCGCGCCCAGTCCTCAGTGTACATCTGCAAGCTCCCAGGACCCTTTCCTTTACCCGCGTCCTGCCATCTTGCCAAGAGTTCAAGTCCCCCCATTCTTAACCCCACATCTCCCGCGGCATGCAGACCCCACCTCTTTCAAGTACTCCCACTCTGGGCTCTTGTGGCAGCAGGACCTAGGAGCAACGCCTGAGACTAAGACTTAAGAGAGAGTCCTAGGTTTCGGGACTGAGGGAAAGGGGAGAGGGAAAGGGAGAGGGACCACTGAGCCAGTCGCGGACAGGATGGGGGAGTGTCTGGGGGGAGGAGCGAGCGGGCCGAGGGGACCTGGGACAGCTCCCTAACCTCGTGGGCCAGCTTTCCTCACTGCTGCAGTGAGGGCTCTGTCCTGTGGGGCTGTAGAGGGCTTCTGGAGGCTATCACCCCTGGCATCTGACACCAACTGACACCAAGCCCTAGTCTCGCTGACTTGACAGAGTGGCACGAGGCTCTGCCCATCTGTCCCCCCAGACCCCGCAAGATCCCTAAGGCCAGGCCTGGGTCCTCTGTGTCTGCACTTGCTCCGAGCGCCCAGCGCGGGTACTGCAGTTCCACAGGCGGTGCTGGCCCCAACTACCAGGCACGGGCCGTGGAGACAGCAAGAACGAAGGCCTGGGGCACACCAAAGGGCAAAGATGAATGATCCACAAGCACCCCCTGCTGCAAGGGAACAGGGCGCAGCCGGAACCGGCGACGGTGGCCGCGTGGCGCCGCGGACTTCCGCAGCAAGCCCTCCCGGGCCTCGGGCGGGGCCCTCCCCGGTCCCCCGCCCTGGAGTGGCTTTCTGGGCCAACAGCACCTTCAGCTTCCCGAACACCTCCACAGCCGCCCTGGACACGCTGCTGTCGCCCTCGTCCTCTGAGTAGTCGTCGCCGCCACGGCCGCAGCCAGCGTCCTGCCCCGCCATGTTTCGCGCTCCGAGCCGCGCCCCGCCCATGCCCTGGCTTCACTGGCCGGCAAGACCGCCAATCAACCTCCAGCGTTCTTCCCGCCCACCCGCCTGCGCCCACCCCCTTCCCGACCGACCCTTCCCATTGGGCGACATCTCCGCCTGCGCGGGCCCCGGGCTCCCACCCCCCGCCCCGGCACCACCCAGAGGCAGGACCACAGTGAAGCGGGCAGGGCGGACACAGGGAAGGGGGCGGGGCGGACACAGGGAAGGGGGCGGGGCGGACACCGGGAAGGAGGCGGGGCGGACACCGGGAAAGGGGCGGGGCGGACACCGGGAAGGGGCGGGGCGAACGGGCCAAGCTGGCTCTGAGTCGCAGGCCTTGCTGGCGTCGCCCCTGCTGCCGGCCGGGAATGATGATGCGTTGAAGCGAGGCTCTTCCAGGAGGGGGCGCTCCTGCCTTGGTCGGGTTCTCCTGGGCCACCACCACTAAGGGGCACCCTGGTTCCCAGGAGGACCAAGGGGAGCCTTGGGTGCAGAATGGAACTCGGACTGAAGCGTTCCTCTCCCAGCGCGGGGCTCCGTCTTCTCTTCACCATGCTCACGCTGTAGTTAGAAGGAAATTTCTTGTCACTCACCAGCTGTGTGCCTTTGAACCAGTTACCTAACCTCTCTGTGCCTCTTTGCCCTCACCTAATGGAGCTAATGAGAGCACCTTACCCACTGGGTTGCTAATGAGGATGGCAGGCGGTAATAATTCCTGTGGAATCCCTAGAACAGTGCCCGGCGCATGCGAAGAACCACGTAAATGCTCACTATTGTAATACATGCTGGGCCCTGCTCCCCTCACGGCTCCTGGGGCTACCTGTGGCTCCTTCCTATCCTGTCTACTTAACAAATTTTTCTACATCCCTCAGGACCCTCAAACTCAATGCGTCTGCAATGAAATATGTCAGTCGCTCCTCCCCCAGACCTGCAAAGCCCCCAGTTCACTGAATGCCCCTTACCCAGGGACCTGCTGATTGGGCAAGGCAGGAAGGAGTTGGAGGGTGGCTTGTGCCCAGTAGCCAGGAGACAGCAGCAGGCAGCTGCCACTGTGCCCTCCTCTGTGCCCTACCCTGCCATCTCCTGGAGGGTGGGATCAGGGGGCAAGTCTATAGTCAGGGAGACCCAGGGACCTGCTGGGAGGCAACTGCAGTCATCCAAGTGACAGGAGGGGACTTCACTCCGTCCTGGGAGGAGGGAGCGGGCAGGAGTCCGGGGGTCACAGGAAGGGACCTCAGCCTGGGAGGCCCCGACACAGGCCCAGCGAAGTGCCTCAAGGTTGCTCTCTACCCTTCCACGTGGCTGCTGCCTCAGGCCCTTCTGGTAGCTGAGGGCTGTCAAAGGCTTTGGGATTTTTTTTTAAGCGTTTTTTTCCCTCTTTTTTGTTTTTGTTTTTCTTTCTTTCTTTTTAGAAAATTTCATCTCAATCACAGCCCCAGCTCAGACATTCAAATTCTTGTGGGTTTTTCTGTGGATCTTTCCTAGGACTGGGGAATTTGGCGGAAGAAACCACGGCAGTGTGGCAGCCTCCCCCAACCCTCCCCATATTCTCTGCTCCTGAGGACCGGGAAGAAACCAGCTCCTGTGTACTCTGGAAGAAAATCTCCCTCCTCCACCCAGCTCCACGGAGCCAGTGTGCTCAACAGGCCTCCCCAACCTCAGCAGTTCAGTCTATGGGACCCTGAGGAACTGGCAGGGCCTTGAGAGGCGAAGATCATCTTGAGAGGTTATGGAGGCCATCCCCCTCATGGAGAACCTGTTGGCCAGCCCTCAGCCCCTGGAGATGGTCGCTGAAGACCCAGCAGCAGGCTGCAGCTTCCCTGCCCACGCCACCCCACCACCCACCACCCACCACCCACCACCTGCCACCCACCACCCGCCCCCAGAATCATAGCACCTCCCAGGCATCTTCCTCCGGAAAAGCTGGAGGCTGGGGAGGGAACAGAGAGGCTGCTGGGCCTCTCAGGAAGGGGGAAAGAAGGGGCCCAGAGGTAGAAGCTTCTGGAAATGTGGACTCAAGCTCAGTCCAAGAAAGCACTCCTCCCAGAAATCACTGTCTGAACACCAGCTGGCTGCCAGGAGAGGAAGGGAGCTCCCGGTCCTAGAAGGTCTACAAGCCCAGGGAGGTGGGTGGGCGGGGATGTGGAGGGTTGAGTCCTACCATGGGGGAGGGAGGGGGCACATCTCTAAGGGACATTCCAACCCAGAGACCCCAGGTTCTCTGAGGGAGGCCTGGGTGGGTCAGGAGCCAAAAATGTGGCTGAAGGACCCATTGACCTGGAGGAGGGATGTTGGGGGGAAGCTGTGGATGTGGCGGGGAAGCTGGGGGGTCCTGGTCATGGAGGAAAGTTGGCCATGCGTCCCAGCAGGGCCTCAGCCGTGTCAGTGCTTGGAAAACACGTTGGAAAATGAGACTGGTTCACGGCACTGGCCCCGCTGTGCCAGAGATGGGCTGGCGGGTGCTGGTGGCATTCGAGACCTCTCAGTTTGTGTGGTGGGCCCAGAGATATATGGCCAAACAGTTGAGCTCACCAAGTGGGCAGCCTCCCTGACCTGTGGAGGGTATTGAAAAAGTCCTCAGAGCATCCGGGCCCTGCTCTTCATATGACCTTAAGGGCAGACCCCACGGTGCAGCGGGAATCAACCAGGGACCCCCCAATCCCCCAAAGACACCGCGAATCAAAGGAAGCTGAAGTCCAAGGGCTTTCCTCTCTGCAGAGGCGGGTCTGCTTCTGGCAGGGGCTGGAGTTAGACCTGAGGGGGAGCCACCCCACCTGGGGGCGCCTAGGCCCTAGAATGCTGTCAGAGCTAAAGCCCTAGAAGGCCTTGCTCCACGGGGCCACTTCGACTCCCGGCCCTGAACCAGGGAACCTGGGGAGGAGCCTTTGAGGGACTGAAGTGTCCTCCATCACCCCCCACCCCTGGCCACTAAAGTTCCTCAGTAAGGGTGGAGAGTACCAAATGCAAGCTGTTGAAGACAAGGCAAGTGTGTGCGTGTGTGTGCGTGTGTGTGTTTTGGGGAGAGTTCAGGTCTAAGATGAGAAGCTGATCACACCCATGCGAGAAGCAAGTGGTGAGCCCTGGCATTGGGTTTGAGGGAGAAATGTGACAGAGTAATGAGGTCAGGCTCAGGACGGTCTGAGTGTGAGGCTCTCCGCAGGCAAGGCAAAGCCAGGGGGCTGCCTCTGCCTCCCCTCCCCTCCCTCCCCGTCCTGTCCTCCTCTCCCTCTTCCTTCTCCTCATCTCCTCCCTGTCTTCCTGGGACCTCTCTGCTGCTAAGCTGCCAGGCTGAGCTGTTGGTCACCCATCCACCCTGCATCCTGGCATGCAGGCTCAGTACCCAGGTCTTGCGGGCAGCCCACGCCATCTGCACCAGCCAGGAGCCCACCCGAAACCCAGCCCTATCCTTGCAGATGGGGGAAGGGATGGAGAACACGAAAGCAGGGGTGGGGGCCTTGCAAATGAGACAAGGAAGTGGCTGTAAGCTTGGGGGAGCCCTGCGGCCTGTGGCCCTAACTCTGGAGGGACCACACTGTCAACCTGGGAGCTGCCTGAAGACTCAACTCTACAACGTTCTCCTCCTAGGCCTCCGTGTTCATCTTTGGAGTCTACTGGCATATGAGAATGGAGAGGCTGCCTTGGGACCTTGGCTTCCTCTTCCTGTCACTTCTAGTCCCTATGCTGGGCCTCCTGCTTTAGGGCCCCACCCTCACCTCCTGCAGTTGAGGGGCCCTCACCTGCCCCATCCTGCCCCCAGGCCACCAGCTCCTGCAAGAGCACATTCCGCAGCGCAGTCAGCATGGTACCACCATCGCCATCACCATCGCCTCCAGTGGGCCTGGAGGTGCTACCATCACCTACCCCGCCCTGTCCCCCAGGCCACAGGCTCCTGCAAGAGGGCAGGGCCTGCGACCTAGGGCGACCCTTGCTCTGAGGCCAGAGGCAGTTGTAGGGGGTGTGGACAGAGTCTGGCTGGCAGGGAGGCAGTGGCTCAGCGGTCCATCTTTGTCCTCCTGCCCCGGGCCCCAAAAATGGGAGGGATGGTCTGGGGCCCTGGGGACCTTTGGGTTTCCCGCTTCTGCCCTCGAACTGCCTGTTTGCAGTGGACGCAACGGGAGAGGCGGGGGCGGGGGCGGGGGCGGGGGCGGGGGCGCGGGCGCTGGCGCGGGATGGGCGAGTGGCTGCGCGTGCACGCGGCTCGCGGGAGGTGGCGGGCGGGGGCGAGCGCTGCTGCACGTGCGCGGGGCGCAGCCGCGCAGGCGGCGGCAAAGGAAACGGCGGCGGGCGGGATCGCCCCCTCCGCGGGGAGACGCTCGGGTCTAGACGGCTTGGCAAGGCCGGCGGGGCTGAGTCACATGCGTCTGGAGCGGGAAGCGAGGGCGCCAGGACGGGAACACGAACGTGCCCGCTCGGAGGGCCGGCCGGGGGAGGGGGCGCCCGCCTCGCCTTCTTGCTTTGCCCGAGCTCCCCGGCCGGGCCTGAGCTCCAGCTTCTGCCCAACCTCCGTTCCCTGCCGAGGTCCTCGAAGCCCACCGGAGGGGATGGGGCGGGGCCGCTTTCACACGGAGTCCAGCGAAGCCACGCTATGGGCGGGAATGAACTCGAATTTCACACGGGCAAAGAGGGTGGGAAACTGGCCCCTATTCTGCCCCCATCCCGACCACGGCCCTGCTCCCTATGGGCTGGTCCCTGCTGCGTGCCACCCTCTGCAGTCCCCCTCCACTGGCACCCTCCACCCCATCCGCAGCCACCCTTGTCCCATTTGGGGTCCTGTGTTCCCCTTCCCTCCTTTTTCTTCTCCACCCCCACCCCGCAGCAGGCTCTCTCGCTCAGGATCACCAGGTCTCAAGCATTTAGTGCTCACCAAAGCGTCTGCAAGAAAAGTCATTTAATTGGGACCAGATCCTCTGAGGTTTCAGTAGCATTAAAATAAGATGGGTTTCCTCTAGGGAAGAGTTGCGGGCAACAGGAAGAGGGCATGGAAAATGGGGCTTTTTTCTTCTCCAAGCTTTAAGGGGGAAAGGCCCCATATTGTTACTGACATATAAGATAGCTGCAGGCGCATGTCCCCAGAGAATGCCACCCATGTGCCACACACTGCTGTCGTTTTCACTCAGACAACATGTGGAAAGCTCAAGAATGGGCCTGTTCCTTTTCTCTGGGGGTCACCCCAAGGCTGTGTCTCTGGCTGCCCTGGGCCCTGGGAAAAGGACAGGCACGTAGTAGGTGCTCCTGCAGAGAGCAGGAGAGCAGGAGAGCAGGAACAGCCCCCAGACCTTGACCCTGAGGCCCAAATGCTCCTGACCCCACCCGCTCCTCCTCGCAACCCCGCCTCCACCCTTGGCCAGCCACTATCACCTGGCCCCTGGCGGGCTCAGCTGCCACACGGTGGCTCCCACCTCCTACCCTTATGCCCCCAGTACATCTGCTCGTGCTCCACCCCACAGCCTGAGGGGGGCCGGATCCTGTGACTCCTCTGCTTAGCAGTCCAAGGTGGCTCCCTGATTCTTTCAAGGACAAAGGCAAGCCAGCCCACCGCCACAGACACCTTCCCACGGCTCACTCAGCCTGCTCCACCACATTGCTGTCATTGCCAATGCTCAAATTGGGCCCAACCCTTTCTCACCTGGGGCCTCTGCACTGGCCATCCCTCTTTTTCGGAGGGCTCTTTCTGTGGCTTTTTGCATGGCCATGGCCTCTTCACTCATGCCTCTGCCCAAATGTCACTTTCTCACGGTCCTCACCTGATCCCCTGTCAGTGAGCAAAGAATCCACTGTCCAGTCCTCGTTGATGACAGCCTTGAGGGACAAACAGCATTGCTTTGGCATCCTCCAGGCTACCAATCTGAGTCCCAGCTTGTAGAGGGTATGTGTGTGCATGAGTGTGTGAAGAGTGGGCTACATGGAAGGGAAGGGGGAGGAGGACAAGGGACAGGAGTCCCTTCCTTGACCTTAGAATCCTGGGATTGTACAACTAGAAGCGACCTTGATCATGTAATCCAGCTTCTCTAGGCGCCTTCTGGCTCTCAGATTCTAGAACTTTCTAAGGAGCCTGTTTCCACCATACTGAAATGAGAAGACTGGGGCACTGAGGAGGGAGGGAAGCTTGTTCCTGATGTCACATGGCCAGTCCGTCCATGGCAGAACTGGGAGCCCAAAGCTCTTTCCAGCAACCCTCGGGCTGCATCCCTGGTTCCTGGAAAATCCCAACAGCCCTCCCACCCTCTGCTCCAGACACCGGGCTCGGGATTACTGTTGGCTTGGGGCCTGCCTGTCTCAGCACAAGTCCGTCAGTGAGCTCTTGGGCGGGGGGGAGGGCAAGGCAGAAACTTGCCGGGAGCCTCTGGCTCTGCTGAGCCCCTGAAGGCTGGCTCTGCTCCATGGGGGTTCCTTCAAGGTCCCCACAATGGCCGGGTGCCCTGGGACTGGACAGAGTGGGCAGCAGGAGTACCACTCCCCAGGGGCCCACCCAGGTCAGCCACCAGGCTCCCGACCAGGGGAAGGGCAGCGAGGCCAGGCCTCCATGGGAGCTGGGAACTGAGAGCACCCCAGGCCTCACCCCTTCCTGCCTAGGTGGGTAGGAGCGGAGTCCCTCCCTCCTCCAGGCTGGCTGTGCCAGAGAAACCTGGGAGCAGGCTTCCCCCACCCCCAGCCCAGCTAATGGGAACCAGATGGCAGGATGTTTAGTCAGCGCCTGGGGAGCGGCGCAAACAGGGGAAATGGGTAGGGGGCCAGGATTCCAGAATCCATCCCCAGGCAGGGGGAGGGGCGGAGCCGGGGTTCCCATCACCGTCCAGTCTCCCGACCCCAGGTGCTAGGCTCAGCTCAGGCAGGGACCTACCCCGTTTCTCAGGCGATGCCTGGACCAGGAGGCAGGAGGACTGGCCTCTGGTATCGAGACTTGGGTGAGCCCCACTCCTTCTCTGTTCCTTCTCTGTAAAATGGGGGGTCGACTGTGCTCTGTCTTGCAGGATCCTGGGGCAAGCTTCACTTAGTCTTGGCAGCATACTTCAAGTCTGCCGTGCCCCAGTGCTACCCTGTCCCAGCTTCGGCAGCTGCCCCCAGGCAGGACACTGGCCCACAGCCATCCTGTGTCACCCACAGGACGCACAAGGAGATGGTGGCCTCATCCCTGACTCCAGAGGCATTTGCTGACTCCCTAGATGGTCCCTGTTTCTGGTCTGTACGTGGCAGGGTCCAAATTCAGGTCAGAAACCAGAGCCCTGGATGGCGAGGGTACCCTGGATATAGCAGAGGACCCCATGTGGCTCCTACGGGACTGTTAGCTGGAGCGGCAGCTCCTCAAGGAGCCCAGTGAAGACCCAGTTGCCAGGCCTCCTCCCCACCTTGACCAGCCCTGCACCCCTCTGGATCTCACACATTGCCTCATTGCCCCAGGATGGAGACTCCTGCCTGATGGCCCTTGCCGGCCCCTGCCCCTCCTCCACTGCTTCCCTTCTCCCCTCCACCCAAGCCTTGCCCACAATTAACTCATTTCTTAAGATCGCTTCCAAACCTAAGTCAACGCTGGACAGGGCTGTAGGAAAAGCTTCCTCAATACTGGCCCTGAAGAGCCGAGCCAGCGGTGAGATCAGTCCTCTCTGCCAGCCCCCGCCTGCCTGCTCCCACAAACCCTGGCTCCCACAGCAGAACGCGGGGTTGGGGCTGCAGGGACACCCCAGTTGGAGCAGGGACTTCCGGCAGCCCTCTGAGGGTGGCGGGCTCTAGGAACTGGAGCCAGACACCCCCTTATTTGCCCCTCACTCCACCACACGCCCCTCTGGCCCCACCCAGCAGTCCCCTCATCGAGCCCAGCCTATTTTCCACCTCATGTCATCCTGACCCACAGGTGCCCCTCTGACCAAAAGGATGCGTGCAGCCTAGGCACATCAGAGATCCCAGACTGTTGGCCAAGAAGTCTGGGGGGGACCTGTGACATGGCTTCACCCAGGCAGTGCCTGGAACACCCATGCTCCTATGTAGGGGGTCGGGACAGCCACAGAACGTCAACTCTGCCCCCTACCCCATTTTACAGAGGAGAAGGTAGAGACCTGGAGGGCAAGCAGAGGAACCAGGAGCCAGCCCAGCCCGAGGCACACCCATGCCCAAGCAGCACTGGGGTCTCAGGCACGGGAGGCATACCCTCGCCGCCTGCACTGTGCCCACAGATTCTATTTCCTCTGGAACCCGGAGGCCTCCACAGTGCTGCCCACGGCAGAAGCCCACGGCCTTGGCACCCACCCCCTCTCCTTTCGCAGCCATGGATGCAGGGCCCAGCAGCCTGCGGTGGCCGACCCGCTCTGTGGTGGGCCTCTCAGGCCTGCCACGTGTGAGACAGAAGCCCCATTCATGGAGGCCACTGGGCCAGAGCCAGCGGAGAATCAATGCGGGCCTCACAGCAAAAGGGCAGGACCGTCCGGTCTGAGGAAAGGGCAATCTGTCTTTCTCTTCAGGTGGGAGCAGTGCACGTTGTGGGGAGTTGGGGGCAAGGTCGGGGGAGGCGTTTGCTCGACAGAAGGGGGGCCTTCCCAGGGAAGGGCTGGGGTGGGCAGGGAAGACTCCAAGTGCCGCAGCCAGGGCCAGGAGCTCAGGGAGCAAGACCAACTTGTGCCGTCCGCCATCGTCCTGCCGTGGCCACCACCGTGCCTCTCCCAGCTCTCCTTCCCTCCATGGCAGCCAAGAGGAGTGTGCTGCTCCCCATCCTGGCACTGTGGGCGGGGAGCTGCTCAGGAGGGGCCCCACCAACCCCCATGGGCTTGGCTACCCTGCAGCTGCTGCCCAGCCCACCAGGGGCCCCCGACGGTGAGTAGCTGGCACCAGCAGGAAGAAGACTGCCGCAGGCTGTCCACCTCAGGCCCACTTTGGGTACTCAGGCAGGGCTGCAAAGGGCCCATGGCCCTGAGAGAGCCCTCCCTGGAGGGCGAGGGGTGTGCGCAGACTCTAGGGGCGAGGGAGGGAAGAGGCCTTCCTAGGAGCGGGCGCTACAGTGAGGCTGAGAGCGGGCTGGGGTGTGCTGGGGAGGAGTTGCTCTGGCTGCCCCAGTGCCTCCTGAGACAGGAAGAATCTCAGGTGGCTGGGAGTATAGGGCTTGGGGGTGAAGTGGGGTTGCTGGCAGAGAGGGGCTTGAGGGGCCCGAGGACATGGGCTATGAGTGTGGCCTTTGTCTTATAGGCCAGTGGTTGTAGCCACACTTGGTGGCCCTGCCCCAGGCTTGGGGGTAGGGCGGGAGGGGCCAGGTGGGTGGGTCTGCCCCTCACCCCTGCAGACAGAGCGGTGCCCCCCATGGTTGGCCCTGGTTAAGGAGGAGCTGCTCCATAGAGGACAGGAGGCATTGGGGTTATCAACATTCCTCCAAAGTGGCTCACAGACCCCTTGAGGTGGCCCCTGGGCTTGCCTAATCCCCAACAAACCCCCTGTAGCAGACACTGGGGCTTTCACTTCTAAAAGCAAATTGTGCCAGGTCGCAGCGACCCCTTCATCTCCCCAGAAGCTGTCCCTAGGAAGCACGTGTGAAGTCCTTGCTCACTAATGGGTATGGGGCAAAGGGGATGCTGGGGAAACGCCCTACCCCCCACCCTTGGGACACACTGGGGAAGTGAGGGGAGGTGGGACCCAAGGTCCCTTGAGCAGCCCAAGGCTTTCTACCCAGGGCTGCTGAAGCTCCCTGGGCCCAACCACCGGTCCAACCCCTGGGCCTAACCTATAGGCCCAGCCCCTTAGCCCTAATGGGCCTAGAGCGCCACCCACCCCCCTCCCCAGCAGTGAGGAGCTGTGTAAGTTCTGAGAGGTACTCTGGGTTACTGGCCCCAGGGGCTGGTGGCCTGCTGCTGACGGTGGGGACACTCTGTTCTCTCGCCAGTGCTCCTCAGGAGGTAAGGGAAAGGCGGGGCGGGGGGAGGCCTGGGTAAAGAGGAAGGGCGATGGGCTTTCTAGCAGCTGACAGCCCCTTGGGGAAAGGAGGCAAGGCCCCCAGCCCACACTGGCTCCTTCCGCAGGTCAGCTGCAGCCCATCCCTGGCATCGGCCACCCAGACAAGCCTGAGGCTGGGAAGCTGGACCAGTTGCGGGATCAGCCCACCCCGAAGCAGGGAGCTCAAGGAACCCCCACCCAGTCCCCCTCCACTGGCTGGAAAGCGCTTCCCAGGCCAGGGCTGGCCCTGAGGAAGGAGTCACCCCCAGTGACCTTGGAGCAGGAGCAGGGTCACAACAAGGGCCTGGTCGCTGAGTGGGCTCAGCCCCAGGCCACAGCTGCCATGAGGGCTGGGGCAGGGAAGCCCGAGGCCTTGAAGCTGAGGCCCTGGCAGGCCGGCAGGGACCCTCAAGCTCAAGAGGGGGCAGCAGTCACCGAGGAGGACCAGGGCCAGAGGACAGGAGGCCGGGAAGACAAGGGAAGGGGCCTGAAACCCAGGAGGCCCCCCAAAGGTGAGAACTGGCCAGGACAGGCGGCCTTCAGGTGGGGCCTGGGGCCTGCTGGGGCTGACAGGACCACGCATGAGTTTGGCCACCCAGGCACTGCCCCGTTCCCGGTGTTTCCAAGCCAAGTGCCCTCGTGTGTGGGGTGGGAGGGAAGCCCTCCAAAGTCACGTCCCCTCCCCAGCCTCAGAGCCCCCATTTGGGCCTTTGCCCTTGGTGCCAAGGGGAGGGGTCCCAGTAACCTGTCGCTCCAACCCAGGCTGGCTGAGTCACTGGCAGGCCCTGGGAGCCTCGGGCAAGCCCCTGTTCCTCAGTAGGGCCCCTGTTGCTTGTGACCCAGCAGGGGCTGTCTCTCTTCCTCCAGGGACCTCCCATCAACCTGGGCTGAGGATCCGGCGCCCACAGAAGGACCGCAGCCGAGGCCAGGGTGGCGGCGGCAGCACCTCCAAGACCCCAGGCCATGGGTGGAAAAGACCAGGAAGCACACATGGGCACAGGCACAGGCACGCAGACCTGGGCACCACCCAGCAGGCCATGCCCTCTCTGCCGGCCTCGTGCCTCCTGGCCCAGGCAGTCATCGCCTGTGGCAATGTCAAGATGAAGCATGTCCCTGCCCTGACCCACCCTGGTCTGACCACACTCTACCTGGCAGGTGGGTGGCCTCCTCGCCCCACACCCACCCCTGCAGCAGGGGTGAGAAGGCTGAGACCTGGGCTCCCACCCTGGCTCCCCTGAGCAGCCCTGTCTGGTGTGGGAGGTACAGAGTGGCAGCGGGCAGGGGGCAGAGAATATGGCTGCCCCATGTGCGCACAGAGAATGAAATTGCCAAGATCCCAGCCCACACGTTCCTGGGGCTGCCCAACCTGGAGTGGCTGGATCTCAGCAAGAACAAGCTGGATCCCCGAGGCCTGCACCCCCATGCCTTCAAGGTATGCTGTGGCCCATTCACCTCTTCTCGGGGGCCGGGGCTGGGGCTGGGGCTGGCAGGTCCCAGGTGACCTGAGGCATCCACTCACTGCAGGGTGGAGCTGCTTAGGGGGTAAGGCCTGGAGGAGGCACTGCAGAGAGCAGCCAGCATGGTGGGCTTCCACAATTTGGTGTGACGTGTTCCATCGCTGGGAGTAGGGGGAGCAGCACAGGCTTGCAGGCCCTGTATAGGAGCAAACAGAAACCTTCCCAGACAGGCCTGGATTCAGTGGGAACTAGGAAGCCATGATGCCACCAACAGAGTGCCCTTGGTCAGGATGGGCCCAAAGCCATGCCCAGGAAGGCCTGTGCCCCGACCAGCAGGCCCCCAACCCCAGCCCACCTATTCCCCATGACCTCCCAGAATCTGATGCGGCTGAAGCGGCTGAACCTGGTTGGGAACTCGCTGACCACAGTCCCGGCCCTACCTGCCTCCCTGCAGGAGCTCAAACTCAACGACAACCTCCTGCAGGGCTTGCAAGGCAGCAGCTTCCGTGGTGCGGGCGAGTTCCGGGGGCAGGGACCGAGGGGGCAGGCCTGGGCAGGTGCCCCACCCCCAGGACAGGGGCTGGCAAGGGGTGGGTCTGCCCTCTAGGAGGCACACTCGGGAGAGTGCCCAGGGCAGCCTGGCTGGAACGCAGAGGAGACTGCCAGCCTGGGTAAGGGGCCCTGGCCTCTAGGGGCAGGCAGGGGTTCTAGAGCTACTGCGAGCAGCTCTGCAATGGCTCACCGCACCCCTCTGCCCGCCTGCAGGGCTCAGCCAGCTGTTGACGCTGGAGGTGGAAGGGAACCAGCTGCGTGACAGGGACATCTCCCCCTGGCCTTCCAGCCCCTCTGCAGCCTGCTCTATCTGAGGCTGGACCGGAACCGGCTGCGGGCCATCCCACGCGGCCTGCCGTCCTCCCTGCAGTTGAGCTGGAGCCCCCAGGATGGGGAGGCAACATTGTTACCATCAAACAACCCTGCCTCTGCTTCTGCTGAGGGGGCGTGGAGCAGCCCATAGGGGGATCTGTGCGCTGAAACTCACGAGGCTTCAGGCCTCTCCTCAGCTTGACCTAACCTTCCAGAAGCCCACAGTGGGACCTCCTGGATGGCTCTGCACCCTCTGGGTTCTCTGAGTAAGGCCCATACCCTCTCTCTGGACCATACAGTCCCCTGAAAATCCACCCCTGCCATGGGCCTGACTGCTCAGGGCAGAGACTGGCACCTGAGTTGCACAGACATGGCTGGGTGGAAGGAGGCAGTGCCGGCAGAGAATGGGCACAGCCAGAGTTGGAGCCTGACCAGGTGGCCAACAACTGGCAGGTGGGCCCCTCACCCCAACCCCTGACCCCGACCCTAGGAGCTGCACCTGGGCACCAACCTCATCGAGGAGGTGGCGGAGGGCGCACTGAGCCACATCCACAGCCTCAGCGTGCTGGTGCTCAGCCACAACTGGCTTCAGGAGCACTGGCTGGCACCCCGAGCCTGGATTCATCTCCCGTGAGTGGCAGTCCCAGAGCTTCGCCCCAATGGGCATTCGGAGGCAGAGAGCAAGGATGGCCCAGAGCAGCCCCGAGAGGCAGGTGGGGAAGGCGGAGAGGGCAATGCTGAGCCACGGAGCCCCAGAGAGGGCCAGGAGGCAGGGGGCTCCAGGGGAGGACTTGTTCCTTGGGCCTGGTCTTCGGTGGGTCACTGGGGTCACCTCCCTCCCTGCTTAGGTTAGCCTGGGCCCTCAGTCACCACAGACTCTTCCAAGATATTGCTTGCAAGCTTGCAAGGCCTTCCCTCTGTCCCTCCCACCCAGCAGAATCCCCTTTGCCCTCCCGTGCCTAGGCCTGCCCTGCCGGCCCCCAGGAAGCTCACCTGGGAGGTGCCACGGGCCTGGATGGAGGGCAGCAGTGGTGGGGAGAGCTGGCCCGACGATGGGTGCAGTTAGGAGGTGACAGGGGCAGGAAGCAGCGCGGAAGGGCTGGGGGCACAGGAAAGTGGGGAAGAGAAGTGCATGCATGTCCTGGGGCTGCCATCACTGAGTGCCACAAGCTGGGTGGCTTCAAACAACAGAAATAACCTCTCTCAGTTGCAGACGCCAGAAGTCTGCAATCTAGATGTTAGGGGGCCGTGCTCCCTCCGGAGGCCTAGGATGGGATCCTTCCTGCCTCTCCCAGCTTCAGGGGGCTCCAGGTGTTCCTGGGCTTGTGGCTGCACGTGGCCGTCTCCCCTGCGTGTCTCCCTCTGTCTCGTCTTCTCTCTTCTGTCCCTCAAAAGCACACCTGTCATGGGAGCGGGGCCCAGCCGGGGAACCCAGATGAGCTCAGCTCGACATCCTCCCCTGCAATCCTTACATCTGCAAATAAGGCCACGTTCACAGGTTCTGGTGGACATAGGTTCTGGGGGCCACTCTTCACCTCATTCCAAGAAAAGTCAAGGGCAATTCCCTGGATCTGGTTGGGACAGCTAGGTAGAGATGCTGGCACACAGGCCACTCACGGCAACCAGATGCTGTAGGGCTGTAGGAGTCGGGCTAGGGAGTCAGGACACGGTCCTGGGAACAGCGGGGAGGGCTGGGGGAGGCTGGGTGCCAGGCGGGAGGCTGAGGAGGGCCTGATGACCACCAAGGCAGGGTGGGGCCGCAGTGGGGAGGGAGGCGGGGGTCGACAGACAGTCTGACCCGCCATTCCAGGGACCAGAGCCTCCCGCCCTGCATCCTTGCGTTCCAGGAAAAAGTTACCAGGACGTTTGGGTTTAATTATTCCTCTTTCCTCTCCCCCACTTGCCAAGGGGGCAAAGGAAAGCAGACAGCAGCCTGGGAGGGGCTGCCCGGCCGCTATTCCACTCCCGCCACGAGGCCTGGGCAGGGGGCTGGCGGCCAGTCAAGCCCCAGCTGCCTCAGCCGCGGCCTCTCCTGGACTCTGGCGCCACCCATCTCTTTTCGGGCTGGTGGAAAAGGAGGGGACCGAGAGGCACAGGAGCAGCCCAAAAGGCTGACCCTAGCCACGGGGGCTGAGGGTGTTGCCAAGAGAAGCCTTCCCTGCTCCCTCTCTCCATGTTCTTACCCATTCCAGAAGCCTCACCACCCTCTGCCCTTGCACACCTGCATGGCCACAGGGACCAGGGCTTCCTGCTGCTGGGGTCAGGGCCTCAAGGAGTCAGGTGTCCACCATGGAGCGACCGGGGGCTCCCAGCTGAAGGTGGCAGCCTGAACTCCACTATCGGACAGCGAGGGCTGGGTGACCTCCCAGGGTCCCCCAGCCCTAACCCTCATGGAGCCTGATCTTTTTCTCCCCACACATCTAGCTTCCACACATCTGAGGATAAGACTGGGAGAGGCAGGATGAGGGCAGGAGAGTGGAAGGGACAGAGGAGAGGGCTTCGAGGCCGAGGACCGGCAGGGGCAGAGAGCTCCCCTGCCCCACTTTTCCCCTAGATTTTAGGCGTCACCCTCTGAGCTCTGTCAGGTGTCAGGATTAGGAGACAGGAGACCCTGAGGCAACACCTGGAGGGAAGGAAGTGAGTGGGAGGACAGTTCCTCAGTCTCCACAATGACAGCAGGTATCGCTAGCCCTGCAGGGAGCAAGGAAGGCCCCCACCCAGATCCTCTAATCCCTAAGCCTTGGGGGACAGAGGAGGACATAAACCCACACAGGGCCTGGCCTGACTCACACAGGAGTTGCCAGAGTCCCAGCTGTTGAGAGTTCGGGTTGCGGCTGCCATCTCGGAGTGAATCCCCACGCTCGTCTTGGGAGTGTGGGGCTGCAGCCCCTGGAACTCCCCTCTAGGAGTTGCCAACCGTCAGCTCCCTCTGCCCCTGTGTGCCCCGCCCCACAGGAAGCTGGAGACCCTTGACCTGTCCTACAACCGGCTGGTGCACGTGCCCCGCTTCCTGCCGCGGGGCCTGAGGCGCCTGACGCTGCACCACGACCACATCGAGCGCATCCCTGGCTACGCGTTCGCGCACATGAAGCCAGGCCTAGAGTTCCTGCACCTGTCCCACAACAGGCTGCAGGCTGACGGCATCCACAGCGTGTCCTTCCTGGGCCTGCGCGCCTCGCTGGCGGAGCTGCTCCTGGATCATAACCAGGTGCAGGCCATCCCACGCGGCCTCCTGGGCCTCAAGGGACTGCAGGTGCTGGGCCTGAGCCACAACAGGATCAGGTAGGGCCCCCCTCCTCGACCCCACACCTGTGGCCGTCTCCACCCCCGCACCCTGCCAGCACACAGAGGAAGAGGTACCCTGAGGCCAGGAGGCCCTGCCTTCTGGCTGGGCTAGGACAGGCTGGCCTTTGGGCTCCTTACCCACAGGCCGCAGAGGCCGAGGGCAGGAGTCGGGGCTCATCCATCCTCCCCCAATCCAGCCATCCACCCATCTTGGTTGCCATGATGGAGGCTGTGCCCAGTGGCTGGCAGGCCTGGAAAGCCAAGGGCAGGCAGTGGCCGGATGCTGGCAGGGCTCCAGCCTGGAGCGACAAGGGCTGGGGCTGGAGGCCTGGCACTGAGCCTCGAGTTGGGAGGGGGCCAGGAGGCCGCAGTGGTCTCTGAAGCCCGCCATCACTCCTCCACAGTTCCGATTCTGTGGCTCGGTCTTACTGCTTCTCTCAGGGCAGGGGTCTCTGTCTCTTCTTGAATGATGCCTACCCCGTCTTTCCGGGGTCTTCTCTCCCCTGCTCTGCCCCACCCCTCCCTTGCAGACAAGTGCCCTTGAATTCCATCTGTGACATGCGCGTGGCTCAGGACTCCAACCTTACCTCCACACACCTGGAGAACAACCTCATTGACCGGCGCCGCATCCCGCCCACTGCCTTCTCCTGCACCCGAGCCTATCACAGCGTGGTCCTCCAGCCCCAGCGGCGGGGGGAGGAGGGCTCCTAGTCCTGCCTGCCGCCTTCCTCCAGCACACACTCTGCTTCTCGAGGGGGTGGAGGGGCAGGCTGAGGTGTGCTTGGCCTTTGCACCACTGGGAGAAAGGTCTAGAAGACCCCACTGCTTCCAGTGCACCCACTTCCCATTGACTGGTGAGGCCGCTTCACTTAGCAAATGGCCCAGGGGCGAAAGGTGGCACTGGTTTGTACTTGAACATAATAAATGCAGCTTGGGCAGGCTCACCAGCCAGCCTCCCTCCCTCCAGGAGCTACGCTGCATGTCCTGGCTCTCCCATGTCCGTGCGGTTCCTGGGCTGCACCTGAGACTGTCAGCAAAGAGATTCAGAGGGCTTGGGTCCCACAGCTTCTCTGAGAGCCTCCCCACCCCCACCCTGCCTCACCAGGGTCCTGAAGTCCTTGCTCGGTCCCAAGCCATCAAGAGGCCAGGCTCCCCACCCTTGCTTGGGGCAGCATCTGCACCTGATCCGTCTCATCCCTATCCTGGGCCTGGACCCAAAGAGGTGGGCTTGGCTGGCAGAGCAGGAGGGTGTGGAGGTTCAGGGCACCTGCCATTGGTCCTAGAGCCACCCACACCTGCACTGAGGCCTGGGGCAGGGGCTGGTGACCACCGCACAGTGGCACCTCTCGGGAAGCCCCTTTGCCTCTCCCTTGACACCTCCCCCCCATTCCTGGCCCCAGAACCCTCATCCCAGCCCCCAACATGCACACCCACCTGCAAGAGAGGTCCCCAGGGCCCCACCCTCAGCTCACAGATGAGTAACTTGCCCAGAGATGTATGGCTGGCTTGCTGTGAGACCAGGCTGTGCCCCTATCTGACCTGGTGCCAGGGAAGGGTGGGGAGTGAGCACGTGGTCTGTGCAAAGCCAAGCCCCGCCCTGAGCACTGGGCAAGGACCACCCCTGGCCAGAGTTTCTGACTGTCTGCCTGAGCGAGGCCGGCCCTCCATGTTGACCTCCCCATGTGCCAGGAGTCCCTGGGAAGTGACAACTCAGCCCTGCCGAGCCCTGAAGACAGACTGGCCAGATATGCTGGTGGAGACACTGGGTCTGCGGAGCCCTCGAAGGCCACTGAGGCCATTGCCCCGTTGGCCTGCCTGAGTGAGGGGGCCCCTGGGAACCGGATGGGTTTCCTGGGACAGCCTCCACAGCTCTCTAGGCCACCAGGCCCTGTGCCAGGAAGGGATAGGGACAAAGGGTCACAACCGCAGGGAACACGACAGCCACTGCCCTGGGATGGGGCTCACAGAGACAGCCAGGTGACAGGCATGAAGGATGCCGCAGGAGAGGGCCCAGCAGAGACACAGCCCAGCCCCAAGGAGCGCATGGCTCCGTCCCTGTCCTCTGTCCCTCTAACTTGTGAGCCTCCAGCATGCCCCTCTGGCCCTCGCTATCCCACCCCATCACCTCAGCACCCCCATCTCGATCTGGGCACGGCCTTCCCATTCCCCGGCCTTTCTCTACCCTGGCGGGGCCGCCCCTCTCCTTCCCCTCTGCCTCCGGGCTGCTGGATGTGGGTGGAGCAGAGGAGGAAGGGCACAGGGTGTCCGCTGCAAGGACCTCGCCCCGCCATCAGCTCTGCCTAGGACCGGGGCCTGGGAACTGAGTCTCGCCTTGCTCCCATTCCATGGCCGATTCCCCCTACCCCTGCCCCCACCCCTGAGTTCTCAGTGGAGAAAGCGCCAGACTGTGGCGGGGGCGGGAGAGGCCTGGGAAGCTGTGGGCTGTTTGCTTTGGACTCGTCCCGGCATTCCTTCTCCTCCAGCTGGCCCCTCAGATATGGCACTTCCTGTTTGGGCTGGGTCAGAGGTCAGCAGCCCACGAGGCGCTGGCCCCACTCTCCCAGCTCTCACGACCCCTCCTCCCTGCCTGGCCGCCCCGGTCCCTGCGCCTCTTGCTCAGGTCACCCTGCAGCCCCCACCTTCTCGCAGTCCCAGAGGTCAGGCCCGGGAGGCACAGGAAGTGCAGGCTGGGTGAGTCCCCGACATCTCCTGCCCACTTCTTACCACTGCCCGACAGATGAGGCAGGTGGGGAGGAGAAGGGGAGGGGCCCCTCAGCTGCAGGAGGGCAGGGGCCAGGCAGGCCACCCACAGGTGGTTAATTCCACTTCTCAGAGCCTCGGCGGGGGCTAATCCTCCTGTGACCTTCCCAACTGGGGAGGCAGGGGACTCGCACTTGGGAAATGTACCTGCGGGCTCTTGGGGTCGTCACCTGGCCAAGGGAGAAGCTGGGCTGCAGCCGACCCCACAGGCCCGGCCAGGCCTCAGCCAACCTGCACTCCGAGATGGGGCAAAGGGACTGGGCCTTTATTTCCCCCTCATGACTGGGACAAGGGTGCTGTTTCCAGCCCAGGGGATTCCCCAGAGGGCCAGGAGCTCAGGGCTGGGGACTTCACTTCTTGGGGCTGTGGGAGGGCTGGTCAGAGTCTAGCTGGCACCACGAGGGAATCTCTAGACAGAGCCCCAGCCCGAGAGCAAGGGCAGCCCAGCCGTGGCCCTGCACCTGCCCCTCCTTCAGCACGGGCCACGCTCCGACACCCACTCACTCCCACCTTCTCTGTGATTACTGTGCTCCTCCTCTTCGGGGTGGCTGCTGGCTCCATCTGAGGGTACAGCAGTGGGTGCAGCCAATCGGTGACCCCAAAATGCTGGGCATCTGAGGGGACATTGCAGTGACAATTGCAATAGTGATGGCAACAGGATAGGTGTGACTAGGGTCAGAAGGGAGGCACTCATCAGTCCTCAGATGGGGATGGGGATGCTGAGGTGATGGGGTGGGACTGAGAGTAAGGACAGTGGGGACAGCTCACAATTCAGAAGGGTGGAGAATGGGGGCAAGGAGCCGTGCCCTCCCTGGGGCTGGGCCTGTGTCTCCGGCCTGAGACCTGGGTGGGACCTTGCACCTCTGCTCCGCCTCTGCCAGCTGCAGTCCCAGAAAACTGCCCATCAGCTTCCAAATTCTTCTCCAACTGCCCCTCACTGGCCCCCCACGGGCCCACCCCTCGCCTTCGCCACATTCTGTTCTGAGCCCTCCCTCCAGCCTAACACCCCCGTTCACAAGCATCTCGCCTACTGTGCCACCCTCCACCCCCTACCCCCATAATAGCTGCCACCATGGCCACACGGGGACAGTCTGGGAGATGCTAAGCTGTCTGGCCCTCAGGCCAGGTGCTATCCCACCCCATCTTCTGAGCATCTGGGCCAAAGATTGCTCCGAGCTGAAGTCAGGGCTCGGGACAGGGCCCAGCCCCTTCCCACTCCCACCAGAGCCTCCTGGTGCTGCTCCTGGGCTCTGGCCTCTGGCCTCCCTGAGGGAAGACCACAGGGGTCCTAGGGTGCCCCTGGCCTCTGGCTCCCGGACTTCGGCTTCCAAGGCAACCCATCTTCCATCCTCTGGCCACGCCCCAGACCATGCCTCTCTAAAGATAGCTAGACGCAGGCCAGGCCTCCCCGGAGCCCCCACGCAGGCCCTGAAATTACAGCCCTGGTGGCCCGGAGGGGAGAGATGCTGTGTGATTATGTCCTCAGAGGAAGGTCAAAAAAAGCTCCTGGCATGGAGAGTGCCAGCTTTCACCAGCCACACCTCGGCCATCCAGCACTGGGAAGCTTCCAGAGAGTGGAGGCTCCGCTCACTCAGCACCAGCTCAGCTGCCCCAGGGCATGTTGGCACAAGCCTCCTCCATAACCGCCCCACCCCCTGAACCCAGAGGTCCCCGCTGAGCATGAGCTTCATGCCGCTTCGAGGCCGCAGGTCATCCAGAGACCCTTGAGTGGTGATGGGGTTGCCCACTGGTGTCTGCCCCCGAGGGTGCCGACACTGGGAATGGACGAAGCCCACAGGCTCGGAGTGAGGCCCACTCAAGGCCATAAACTTGGGGCCGCTCTTGCTCAAGAGGTAACCTCGATGTGTGAGTGACAGGTCCCTGGATGGGAATTTGCCCTGGAAGCTGAGGCTCTGCAAGAGCTACTCCCCAATGACAGGCGGCCTCAGGGCACTGCCTCCTCCTCTAGAAGCTCTCCCTGCCCCCCAGTCTTGTACGGGCACATAGCACTTGTCACCTCCTTGCTTCTTGAGGGTCTTGCTGATGGTCCAGGGGGTGGGAGTGCTGCCTGTCTGCCTCGCCCACTGCAGCTCTCTGTCCCAGCTCTGTCGGCTCTCCCTCTGTCTCTCCGTCCCATCCCCAAGACAGGCATGGGCCCTTCTGTTCACACCATCAGAATGGAAGGGTGGGGAGGTTCGTGTCCAGGCAGAAGGGTTCGAGAAGCAGCCACCCACAGAGAAGAGGGCCCACTGGACACACTTGGGGAGCAGGGCAGAGGGAGCCCGGGGCCCAGTTCTTGTTTCCAGACCCTGGAGAATCATGGAACAAGCAGCCCACCTCTGTAGGGGACCCCTGCATAAGAGGCCACCTCCCAGGCTCCTAGGCTCTGCCCTCTAGGACTCACACCACCCGCCAGTATTTCATGCCCAAATGGGACCAGAGAGCTCACAGCCTGCCCTCTGGGCGCCCCCACCCTGCTTCTCTCCTGGGCCTCCCTGCTGTAGCTTTGAAGACAGGGCACAAACAGCTGCAAGCCAGCTGTGGGGGACAGGCTGCAGCTGACTCCAGGTCCTCTTCCCCACACTGGCCAAGGAGATGGCAGCTGGCTTAGATCCCTGCGCCCTGCCTCCCCTCCTCCCAGCCCCCTTCTTCCGTGGCCCTCTCCCTCCCTCAGACATGTCCTTGTCCCATCCTTCCGTCCCATGGCTGCCGCCCCACCTGCTACCTTCCAGCAGCCGTCCTGGGCGCTGTCCCAGGCAGGCTGGGGTGGCAGCTGCCTGATGAGGCCTAGACCAGAGTTAGGCTCAGAGCAGGGAGACCACAGTGTGGCCTGGGGCCCTGTGCAGGGGCAACTGCCAGGGCAGGACAGCTTTCCCTGCAGGGAAGCCTGAGCAGGCTGCCCAGGGCTGCCCTCCCCACGCAGCTGAGGGGGTTGGGCTCCTTGTCAGGTGGAGAGAGCTGAGCTCTCGGCTCCATCCGGCAGGAGAAGGGGTCTCCCGGGCTGGGATGCAAGGCAAGGCTGGTGCCAGCAGGACCTTCTGGCCCTCTACAGCCTTTTGGGGGAAGCATCCCAGCTAGGGCCTAGGGGGCCTGTGCAGTGGCATCCCAGGGTCACATACAGGCCGTGCTGGAAGGGGCCGGGTTCTGCTTCCCCCACCTCCTGCTCCCTGTCTGCCGCGGGTTCCTGGGGAGCTAAGACAGCTGTGTGTCCGCCTCCTCCCCAGGATCCCTGAGGGCCTCAGGAAATGCCTGCTCTTCCTTCCTGCCTTGCGCCCCCCGTGCCTGCCTTCCCCCTGCTTCCCCCTGCCTCCTCCCAGCCCTGAGAGGCCAGAAGGGCAGAAGGCTGCCCGCCCGCCAGCTCTGCTCGCTAGCAAGGAAGCACTGTTCCTAGAGCACTTCAGCTGGGATCAAAGTACCTTCTGCGCTGCAGAGAGAGCCCAGGCCTGAGGAGGGGGGAGTGGGAGGGGGAGCAGAAGGGGGAGGCCCTAGGACTGAGGTACTGCCTGTCTGGTCTGGGAGTGGCCCCCAAATTAGAGGGCCAGGCCGAGTGACTCAGTGGGCCCTAGCCAGGCCGAGTGACTCGGTGGGCCCCGGGCCGGGCGTGCAGTTATGGCTTATTGCAGACTGCAAACCACAGATACAAAAACCTTCCAGGTACAAGGACCGTATTTATATGAGTATTGCCCCCAGAAGCAGCCCCCAACTTCAGGTAAGAGCTGCAAGGTGCATGCATAATGTGTCTCCCCCAAGCAGGGTGTCGCCTCATCGCCACTTCCAAGCCCCCATCCAGGAACATGCCTGGCTGAGACCTGAGGGTGAGGTCGGTGCAGGGCCGGACTGCAGCGCCGCCTGGCTCCCCTGTGTCTCCCCACACCCCCCCGCACGTGTGCTCTTCCTTCCACCGGCAACTTCCCTCTTCCCTACTGGTCTGCTCCAGGTCACCTCCTCCAGGTAGCCCTCCCGAGCCTCTGGCACTGTGCATGGCCCTGCGCCCCCACGGTATTCAGAGCTGTTTCACCCCCACTGGGACTCCTGGAGGCTGAGGCCCTGAGTGACAGCTCCTGGGTTCTCAGTCCCCAAGCAGTGCAGGAAGGTACTGGGTACCAGCACCTCGGGCAGCAGGCATGCCTTGAGTGGGTTTCTCCTTTTTTCTGAAACGGCTTTACTGAGAGTGGCTGTGCTTACCACACGATTTGCGCATTGAGCACGTACAAGGCAAGGGCTTTTATATGGTCTATTCACAGAACTGTGCAACCATCACTCAGTCGATTGTAGAACATTTTCATCACCTCAAAAAGAAAACCCATACCTTTAGGTACCACCCCTCTAGCACCCACTGCCCACAAATCCGCTTTCTGTCCCCACAGATGAGCCTAGTGTGGACATTTCAAATGAATGGAACCAGAGGCTCTGCGGCCTTTTGCGACTGGCTGCTGTCACTGAGCGGAATGTTTCCAAATGCTTCTCTCTCCACCCAGACTGCTAGTCAGGCTTCGCTGCCTGTCCCGCTCTCTACCGACATATTTCTCCACGAATGAGTTGGCAGTGGGGGAGGGAAAGAGGGTGGGACAGAGATGAGACCAGGCTGCCAAGAGTCGGACGCTGAGGCTGGGCAAAAGGTAAAACACACAAACCTGCCGAAAGACAAGCCATCTCCTTTGTCTGGAAAGGGCATATGTGGTCTCCAATCTCCTCATTCCAACCATGAAATCAAGAGAGAACCAGGGTTACCAGCCTGGCCCCTGGTTTCCCACGTCTCTCTTCTCCCTGGCCCAGTCTAGAAGCTTCTTGCAGGCAGGTACCACAGTTTGGTCAAGGTGCCATGCGTCCCAGGTCCTAGCCAGGCCCTGGGCTGCCGCTGGTGAACAGGAAGGGGGTCTGTGCCCTGCCATGCCCCCAGGTAGAGCTCCCCTGGGAGCATCCTCCCTGGCCTGGGACCTCCCAGACCCCACCCCCCGGTTGAGTGATGGCACTGCCAGGGGTTGAAGACCCTCAGCCCTCGACGTTGTCCTCTCTCCATTGGATGCCGCCTCTCTCTAGCCACCCCTCTCTCCCTCTCTGCCCCTTCGAGCTTTTTCTCTCAATATGCAATTTTCTCTTTTGGTCTTCCGCACTCTTGGCCCCCAGTTCTATTGCAGATCTGTTTCTCACTCCATCTAAACTCTTACCCCTGTGTCTCAGGAGCTGCTCTTGCTGAGGGAAGAAGGGGACACTACGGGACAGGGGGGCAGTGTCGTACTAAGGACCTGGGCTCTAGCCACTGGAGGAACTGGACTCATTTGGGCCCTCAGGAAGCGGCTGAGTCTTGGTGGGGTAACCCGGTTAGCCCCCGTAAGTGACCAGCACAGGGCTGAGCCCAGAGGAAGTGGCCACCCACAGAGTGGTTCTCATGTCCGAGGGGACCTGCAGGGATTGAGCAAGAAGACTGACTCGCTGGATCCTTCGTCTCTGAATCAGTTCAGGGCAGGCAAGCTGGGGAGCCCCCTGCCCCGTCCTGCCACCACCAGCCGGATCGGGCCCTCTTTTTAAGGGAAGAAAGTCTGGAGTGGAAGGGAGGGCACAGGGCGCCAGGAGCCTACATGAAGTCCTTCCAGAAATCCACAACAGCTACCTCTCTGATCCTGGAGAAACCACCTCCTTGCTTAGGCCCAAGCAGGTTCCTGGCAGGCTCAGGACCAAATTCCAGGGGCCACTCATGGGCCTAGCAGCCCAAGGCCGCCTCCCCCTCGTCTTTCTTCCATCTCTCTTTCCTCTGCCTGGCGAGATGCCAGCCAGCACCTCAGTGTCCCCATCTGGGCAGTGGAAAGTTTGACTCTCTGGGTCCTTGTTTGAGTGAGTGCGAGTGTGTCCGTTCCTTTGCTGTCTGCCCCAGGCGGGGGAGGGGGGGGGAGGTGGTGGGGGCGAGGGGGCGGGGGCTCAGCTAGTCCAGCCGTCTACAAGAAAATTGCTCCCTTTGAAGCTGCCAGGGGGGCCGGGAAGCCTGCCCCCTCCTGCTCGCCCGCCCTCTCCGCCCCACCAGCCCCCTCCCTCCTTTCCTCCCTCCCCGCCCTCTCCCCGCTGTCCCCTCCCCGTCGGCCCGCCTGCCCAGCCTTTAGCCTCCCGCCCGCCGCCTCTGTCTCCCTCTCTCCACAAACTGCCCAGGAGTGAGTAGCTGCTTTCGGTCCGCCGGACACACCGGACAGATAGACGTGCGGACGGCCCACCACCCCAGCCCGCCAACTAGTCAGCCTGCGCCTGGCGCCTCCCCTCTCCAGGTAGGGCTGGCTTCAAGCTGCCTCCTCAGCAACCCAGAGATGCCCCTGGCTCTGCTGCCTCCGCTGTCCCAAGCCCTGGTCCTGCTGTCCCCAGTGCCGCGAGGGTGTCCACAGATTTCCCCGGTGCTCTCTGTAGGCTGCTGATCCACGCCCCTTCATCGCCACCCTGCGGCCCCCTTGGTCCCTGTCAGGCTTCTGCCTCGTCTCGCCGCCCTCCAGGCACCTTTCCCTCACCCCTTCCTCTCCCTCTCCCTTCTGACCTTGCTCTGCTTCATCCACCTCTTGTCTCTCTGCCTCCCGCTCGGGGTCCGTCTTCTTGGCTACCACCCTAGAGCGTGGCTGGGTGACTGGTACCCCAGCTTTGCCAATGGCCCTGTTTCATCATTGCAAGTCCCAGGCGCATGCTCCACTCCCTCAGCCTCGCTCTGCCCAGGCGCCTCCTTGCTCCAGGGCTTGGCGCCTGGCCCGGGTTGGGTCGGATCGGGGAGGACCGCCCAGCGCCCACCGAGCTCAGCACCCAGGAGCAGTCCTCCGCTGCACTGCCTGAGGCCAGTCCTTGGCATGGGCTGAAAGACTTAGTTTCCCAGGCACACCCCAGGCACCCTGCCCAGATGTTCCTCGCTCGCTCACCCCCAGGTTAATGCTCTGCCTCTACATCCTCTGTGAGAAGTCTGGGTCCTGGGAGCCCTGGCTGCAAGGGCCCTGACTGGGGGTGCCTGGGTGGCTCAGCCCTGTCTGTTTCCAGGACCCCCTTGGACTGGGACTCAGAATGGGTGTGGAGGGGAAGGAGAGAAAATCAGGCAACTGTGCCATGCTCCCCAGGGCGGACCTGGCTTGGGGTCCCAGAGGGGCCTGCCAAGGGACCCAGGAGAGGGAGCGAGAGAGTGCCCTGGAAGGCCCACGGAGGGGAGCGCCCCCTCACTGCTCCATGGGCGGGGCTGGGTGCCTGAGCGCCTGCTGAGCAGAGCAGGGGGCCCAGGGATCTGCAGGGCACAGGGTACATCAGTCTCCAGTGGTCTGTCTTGGTGGGCAGGCCTCTCTCCTGCTGTCCTGGCTGCCAGACTGCTCAGGTCCCATCCTCAGGGGGTCCTGTTTCTGGGCCCTCGCCCCTCCCTGGCCTGCCAGCTCTCTGCCCTATAGCAACTAATTGGAACTGAGACAAGCTGGAGATGCTCAGCCCCCCTGCCCCCGTGCCAGAAAGGCTCCCGGGGACCAGCGCCCAGGGGTGCGGGTGAGCACCTCCTGGTGACACCCAGCCGCCGGTGCCAGCCGCACCCCAGGAGAGCTGGTGTATGAGCATGGATGTCTTGGTGCGGAGCATGCCCATGTATGGCCACTGTGGGCCAGCATGGTGAGCCTTTGAGGGCAAGCCCGTGTGGGTATATTGAAAGGAAGATGCAGGGCTGCCTCCAAGCCACCAGGGCTGGGCGGTGGGAGCAGGTTGCGAGCCAGGGAGCAGAGAGGGCTCCCATGGCAAGCTGGCCAGCTGTGGGTGGCAGCCCTGGCCTCCCTGGCCCACCTTCAAGCCCCAAGGACCCGTACGGCAGTGGGCATTAACCCTACCAACGCATAGATGGGGAGTCTGGGAAAGGAAGGGGGGTGTTTCCAAGGCAAGAATGAGTTTCCTGTCTTTAGCAACATTCCAGAGTCACTCAAACAAAGCTATAGCGTGTCCCTTCCAGTGACAGCGCCAAGTCCCCAGAGGAGGGGTTTGTAATGAGTTCACACTTGACAGTTAGCACTCAGAGCCTTCAGCAAGGGCTTCTGAGTCCTTGCCACCCCGTATAGAGGTGGGATGAGGACCTCCCCACCTGCCGTCTCCTGTGCTTCCCGGGCCCACCCCCCACCCCCCACCCCCCAGCATCTCCAGCCTGCCCGGGAGTCACATGTCCTCGGCCCACAGAATCCCCAGCACACGCCCCACCCACAGGCCTAGCCCCAGCCCTGGGGTCCCTGGCACCCCACCTGCCAGGGCCCCTCCCCTGCCTTGCTCACCCCCCAACACCCCTGCTTGTCGGAAATGTCTTCCCATGCCCACCACGACCCCCTCCCACTCATCTGTGGGCCGGAGAGCTTGGTCCCTGCCGCACGTTGCCCCCCTAGCATCCAGGCCCACCACCGAGCCCCCGACAGGCCTGGGAGCCCCACTGGTGGGTGGGGACCCACCAGCTGGGGGTCTTGCTCACACCGAGGGGCTGGGGGTGGCGGTGGCTTTCCCAGGGCACCCTGCCTTGGGCTGCAGGCCGCTGGGTGGGCACCGGCTCCCTCGGAAGGCAGCGCAACCCGGGATCCTGCCGGCCCTGGCCCCCACCCTGCCGACCGGGCCTGGGGCGATCAGTGCCCCAGCTCCTGTCCTCTTCTGCTCAGATGCTGGGTTGGGAGATCAGGGGCCACAGCTCGGCCACTCAGAGCCCTTTCCGCAAGTCTTAGAGGGACCAGCTGTGGGGTGTGTGCAGAGGGGCTGCGCTGTGGGGAGGGCGCATGGCTCAGTCCTCCTGGCCTGAGGCCCGCCTAGCCTAAGTGGCCTCCAGGACCCATGGCCAGGCCCTTCTGCAGCCTTCCAGAAAGAACCAGCTTCCCAGGGTTCCCTGGGGAAGGCCTGGGGCCACCTCCTCTGGAGGGGTGGGGCCTGTGCTTCATTCCTCCTTCCCCAGGTCCCCTTCCAGGCCAGAAGATCCCCTCCACCACTTGAATCCCACAGCCAGAAGCCCCTTCTGGGACTCTAGACTCCTGGGAACCATCCCAGCTGCCCCCTTCGCTGTTTCGCTGTTTGCCTTCTTCCCCTGCCCCGTCATGGCTCTAGGTCAGAGCAGCCTCTGGGGTGGCTATGGAGGGGCCACCAGCCTTGGCTCTTCCGAGGACTGCAGAACCCTCCCACTCCCAGCTTCCCACCTGCGCAGCTCTGATCCCAGCCAGCCCAAGGGGCAGGGTCAGGTCCCGGCTCCCTGGCAGGCCTGGTGAAGGTGCTGCCCATTCCCATGAGGCTCATCTCTGAGGCTTAGGGGCCTGGGGCTCTAGCCAGCCTTCTTGCATGGAACTCTCCTGGTCCACTGCATCTTAAGCCTGAGCTCCACTTAAACACTGGCCTGAGATAAGCTGGAGGACCAGGGGCCCAACGGACTCTGTGGGCCTCTTGAACTTGCCTCTGCTGGCCATCCCAGTCCTGTTTGGTCCCTGAGGTGTTCAGATGGGCCAAGGGGAGCATGGCGGGCAGACTCCTGGGTGGCCAGAAGATTAGAAGGCAGCCCTGTCCCTGGAGGCAGGGGAAGTCTGGGAAGCCAGTGTGACTTCTATCCTCTGGAAGTCTGAGTCCCTGCTTGGCCTTGACTGCCATCCCATGGTTCTTGGAGGCTGCCCTCATGCAAAGAGACACACACCCATGGGAGCCCAGCAGTCCCAGGAGCCTGAAGCTAAGCAGGCTGTGGGCCACCCTGGCTGGCTGAAGGAGGCTAATCCCAGCCCAGCCTGAGCCCCCGGCAGAGAGCGGGTTGCGGCAGGGAGGGGCTGCAGGAAACCTTCCCCTCCCCTCCTGGCCTTGGTGGGCCTGTACCAGGGAGGGAGGGAGGCAGGGCCCCAGGCTCTGGGGGGCAGGCCGGGAACACCTTCCCTGGGGCCCTGAAGTGCTCGCCTGGGGAGACGATGGCTTTTCCAGGAGACTCCCTGCAGACAGAGGCAGAGGTGAGAGGCTGGGCGGGGGCTGCCCTGCTGGCTGTGTTGGGGCTGAGGAGGGGCTTCTGGATCTGTGGGCCATAGGGAGCTACTGATGGTCCTCAGAAGGGCCATGCTTCCAGGGGAGCCCCCTGCACAGCCCCGAGAGTGTGAAGCGTGTCAGCTTTGGGGCCTGTGGCACTGTGTGCATTGGGAGAGGGTGGGTCCAGACATGGGGGCAAGGACACAGACGGACAGACAGACAGTGTGTGCAGCCCCAGCTCTGCTGTTTCCTCACCGTGTGGCCTTGGGCAAGAGTTTGGGGCCAACTTCCTGAGCCTCAGTTTACCCCTTCATCAAGTTCTAAGAGCATTGCTTCCTTCTTATAGTCAACGGGGGACGGCAGGATGCTAAGTAAAGAAATCACATGAGTCCCCTGCTCTGCCTCTGAGAGGTGACAGCATCCTCCCTTTTCCTTGGAGACTCTAGCAGGAGGCCCCGGATCTCTTCGGAGAGTGGGAGGGGGCAGCAGTAGTCCGTGTGCAGAGGACCAGGAGCGCACAGTGGGAAGGGCTGAGTCCCGCACTCCGCCGACTGTGGGGACAGGCTGGACCTTGACATGGGCGCCACAGGCTGCAAAGGGCTGGCACAGAGAGGTGGGAGGTGGCTGGGCGCATCAAGGGAGAACTCCACCCTTGTCGCCACCCTGCCAGAAAACCTCTGGAAAGGATTTGAGCAGCAGATGAGCCGGGGTTTCCCAGCCCCTCCACACGTGGCTGCAAGGGGAGCAGACGCCCAAGCGTGGCTGCCTGAAGGGCATGCTCCGGCAACGGCAGGGGCTTGGAATGTGGCACAAGGTCCACCCCTCCCCACTCCAGCCCCCAGCCCCTCAGGCAGCCACTCCCACAGATGAACGCACACGCCGGGCTTTGGCAAGGCCAGGGAGGGTACACATCCCCTCTCTGGTTGATGCCCAAGTACAGGCTGGAGCCATCGGCGGGGAGGGACTGGTGGACTGGGGCCTGGGAGAGTGGCAGGGGGCAGGCCGGGTGTCAGCGGGGGCACAAGCACCAGGCTGCTGGTTGAAACTGGGCCCAAAAGGCTTTGGAGGCCAGAGGGGAGGGGAGGAAGGACACAGTCCCGGGGACCCCGCAGGGCTGCGTGGAAGGTGGCACATGTGTCAGAGTTCAGGTCGGGTTGCTCAGGGGGGCAGACGCCCAGGGCTGAGGCTGCGGAGACAGCATCCGGCGTCTGCCACTTGGCAGCTGTGAGCCACACCATCTGCAGGCGAGCTCCCAGGGCCCGCCAGACCTCAAGCCCTGCTCCCGCCGCCCTTGGCCTGGCCTGAATGCCTGGCACGGACCCTCCATGTTCTCAGAGGCTGCCAACGCATCTTGTTTGGCTGTGACCTCGAGCAATCCAGTGCAGAGGACTGCGCTAGCTTTCAGAGGGGCAGACAAGGAGGGCCCTATTGGGGTGGTGGCGGAGGCTCCAGGAAGCCCAGCCTCCTCCCTCACTCACACCTGCGGTCGCCAAACCTGGGGCTTATGCCATTGCCGCCCCTGTCCTTTGCTCTAAAGAGATGGTATCCAGGGAGCTCAGGGCACACTTTGGTGGGGCTTGAAACCCTCCCTGAAGTCCCTGAAGACACACCCAGAGAGGCCAATGAAGGGAAACTGAGGCCCAGAGGCCTCAGTTGTGGTGGTGGAGAGTTGAGGACTGGAGGGACTTGCTGTGGGTCTCACAGGATCTGACTATGGGGTATTCCTGCTTCCTGGGCTGGGGTCCCCGCCTGCCTTATCTATGTGTGGATATATGTGTATGTATGTGTATATGTATACATATGTATATGTGAATGTGTGTATGCATGTGTGTATAGATGTGTGCATGTATGTGTGTACATATGTGTATGCGTGTATACAGGTGTATATGTGCAGGTATGTATGTATGTATGTGTGCATGTATGCATGTGTGTGTGTGTGTACGTGTGTATAAATGTGTATGTGTGCGTGTGTGTGCATGTGTGTGCATGTGTGTATGTGTGCATGTGTGCATGTGTGTATACATGCATGCATGTGCGCATGTGGATGTACATGTGCATGTATGTGTATAGATGTGTGCATGAGTGTGTGTGCATCTGTGTATATATGTGTGTATATGTGTATCATATGTGTATGTGAATGTGTATACATGGGTATGCATGTGTGAGTGTCTAGGTGTGTGCATGTATATGTGTGTACATGTGTGTATAGGTGTGTGCACGTATATGTGTGGATGTGTGCATGTATGTGGATGCATGTGGATGTGTGTACATATGTGTTTTGTATAGGTGTGTGCATGTGTGTGTGCACGTGTGTACATATGTGTTTTGTATAGGTGTGTGCGTGTGCACGTGTGTGTATGTGAGCGTGTATGTGTGCATCTGTGTGTGTGTTTGTGTGTGTATGTGTGTACGTGTGTGTGTGTGCATGTTCTGGCAGGAGGGAGGGGCTTGGTGTGAGGTGGTGGGGAGAAGGCAGGGGCCAGGCTTTGGGAGGACAGCTGAGCCTATACTGCCAGGACCTCCCAAACTGCCACCCCCAGTCTTGGGCATTCAGGCTCTCACAGGCCCAGAGACATGGCTGGAGCCCTGTGGCTGAGGAGCACAGCTGAGAGCTCAGGCGGGGCCTGGAGGCGCCAAAGCTGAGTTCCAAGTCAGGCTGAGTGACTTGGGAGAAATCAGAGCCTCTCTCTCGGCCTTAGCTTTTGTGTCCATAAAATGGGGATACTCATCAGGCCAGCTCCAGGGGATCCTATCCTTCCCCCCAGGCTCCCCTGGCTCCCTCTGACTTCATGGGCCCCTTGCTGCCTCCTGTGGGCTCAGACACGGAGCCTGCCCCTTCCTCGGGAGAGGTCTCAGTTTTGTGCCAGTTCTTTGAGGGGAAATGAGGGATGTGCCGGGAAGCCTGCCCGGCCCCCGCCCCTCCAGCCTGCCCACTGCTTGGGCACAGCCATGAGCCATGGAAAACCAGCCAAACCTTGTCCTTCTGCCTCTGTCACGGGGCCCGGGTGTATGGGCCTTCCAGCCCTCAGCCTCCCTCCCCGCTCTGAGGGAACCTCTTCCCCTTGCCCCTTTCTCAGTCTCTTGGAGACCCCCCAGACATCCTACTGTATCAGGCAGCCTGCCTCCAGAGCCCTCGTTGCCCCACAGCTGGTCCCGGGAACCCGCCTGAGACCCCGATGGCCAGTCTTGCCGTGACTGGCCTGCCCTGTGCCTGTGCCCCCTGCCCTGGTGGAGGGCCCGATTCCCTAACAGGAGGGCCTGCAGGGAAGTCCCAGCTCCTGGGGAGACCCCTTGCCCCGGGGCAGGAGTCCCTGTAGAGTCCTCCTCCAGGCCAATGCGTGGGTCCTGGGGGGCTCCAAGCTGGCCATGGTCAGATGGTCCTCTGTCCCCTCGGCCTTCCCCAGCCCCTCCCCACAGCCTCCCGTAGGCCCAGCCGGACCACCCCAACCCTACCTGTCCAGGTGGACTGCCCACCCTGGAGCTTGCCAGGGCTCTGGCGGGGTGTCCCAGCCCTGACTCACTCTCCCTGGGAGGTAGCGGCTTTGGCAGGGGCATCGGCAAGGAGGGGCAGGGCAGTCTCCTCCCTCCCCCACTCCATCTTGCTCTCCTGCTTCCACCCTGCCCTTCCTGTTCTCTCCCACTGCTCCTCCTCCTCCTCCTCCTTCTGCCCCCGGGTGTCCACTGGCACTGGGAGAGGGTCCTACAGCGGCAGCAGGCATCGGAGGCCCTGCCCTGCCCTGGAGGAAGGGAAACACCATCCAGGTAGGTGAGTGTTGAGCCTTCTCCCTACTTGGGGGCCAAGACCCTCCGGGCGGTTCCCCTAGGTTCTGCTGGGCCGGCCTGAGGCTGGCAGGCCCTGGGCTGCAACTGTGGGATCTCAAGGCTCAAAAGAATGAGGGAGGCTCGGTGCTGCCCCAGCAGGGGCCTCCTGGTGACCCCAGGGGTCAGCATGAAGTCCAGCTCCACATGAGGGGGAAGCTGAGCTAAGCCTTGGGCTCCGACTCCCACTTTGCAGTGTGGCCCAGGGCCTGTGGGCTCAGGAGGGCTCCGGGGCTGGCTGCGGAAAGGCCACTCCACAGGCCTGGCAGCCGCTATAGCCACAGCCTCACCACAGGCCCCTCTGTCCACAGGTGTGGGAGGGCGCATGGGTGGCTTCTAGGGGGGATGCCAATGCAGGGGGGACGCGTGCCAGCAGATGCTCCCTGGAGCACCCGAGGAGCTGCATGGGGGCGACAGGACAGGCCTCCATCCCAACCCTCTCCTGGGCTTGTGCTCAGACCCAACCTGGCCCTGAAGTGGCCTCAGGCCCCCGGCCCGCTGGTAGCAAGGACTCCAAAGCGGCAGCCCCGGGCAGCCAGCCCAGCCCCCAGGGCAACTGGGGAAGCATCGGGCAGGGCGGGGCTGCTCATAGGGTGCTGGCCTGGGGGCAGAGCCCCCACCTCCCCACGGCCTCCTTAGACCCCTGCAACCAGCAGCTGGGCTTAGGGGGCTCACCTCGCTCTGCTGGAGCCCCAGACAGCCCCTCCCCAGCTAGTACTGGCCCTAAGTGAGGGTCTCCTGGGCGTGCGACTGCTTCAGGTCTGCCAGAGGCCCCTGCTGCCCAGCTGGGCTCCCCATCTCCAGATGCACCGAGGGCCACCCCAGGCTGGGTGGCAAGCAGGGCAGGCATGTTTATTCCCACTTAACAGATGGGGAAGGTGAGGCTGGGATGAGACCTGGGCCTTTGCTGGAGAGTCAGGGTGGATGAAGTGGTGAGAGAGGCAGGGCTCCAGCCTCTTCCTGTAGGGCACATTCCCGGCTGCCTCTGGACGGGAGACCGTGTCTGATGAGGAGGGAGGAGGCAAGCAGAGGTGGGTGCTGGGGGCAGGCTCGGGCAGGGCTGCTTCGCCTCCACTCCCACTCGCCGCCTCGGCCTGGGGGGCCTCAGGCAAGCCTGACCCTGCCCTGCCACCCTGGCGGCAGCCTGCTCCCCTGGGGGGCCTCTCTGGGCTGCCGAGGCTGTGGGCAGGGAGGAAGGGTGCGAGCAGATCTGGGAGCTCCAGGGCTGTTTGGGCCAAGGCGGTGTGGGCGGGGGGCTGGGGCGGGTGGTCCAGAGGAGGAAGCCAAGGCCCAGGGGCAGTGTTGGGGGCGCCACGGCCTCCACCTCGGGGGCCTCCACTCAGTGCTGCCTCAGCCAACTTTACCCACGGCCTCCAAGGATACCCCCTCTTTCTCCGCCCTGCCTCCCTACCTTGGCCTTAGAGGGTCTCTGAGAAACGTGGGCAGGGTGGAGGGAGGAAGCAACTCAGAGTCGCCGCACTCAACTAACTTCATCCACGCTGCCCTGAGCCCAGAACTCAAAGGAAGGATCGGCCCGGGTAGGAGGCCACAGTGATGTCCCCAAAAGTGAATTCTTCAAAGCCCTTGAGGGCCAATGGCTAGGATTCCTCCTCCACCTCCTCCACGCAGCCTCATGGACGCCCCCGCCCTAAAGCAGGCTTCTGGCAGACTCAGAGGCGTGGGGGCCTGCAGACTTGCTGATGAGGAGACATTTCATCGCCTGATTAAGCCAAGTCCTGTCCGGGATGGGGAGGGGGGTAGTGGAAGCAGTGAAGGGAGTGGAGTGGAGGGGGCACCCTCCTTGCCAGCAGCATCCACTCCCTTCCTGCCTGGAGCCCTCTGCCCACACTCCGCCCTCTCCGCCTCCCGCTCCAGGGTCTGGCCGTCCCTGGTGAGGGATGGGAACGCAGTGCCACCACACACGCGGAACACCAGCCCCTGGCATGGAGAAGACAGGTGGGTGCTGGTGCTGATGATCCCCTCGCCTCTTCCCCCAGGTCCATCCGCCATGTGGCCCCTGTGGCGCCTCGTGTCTCTGCTGGCCCTGAGCCAGGCCCTGCCCTTTGAGCAGAGAGGCTTCTGGGACTTCACCCTGGACGATGGGCCATTCATGATGAACGATGAGGAAGCTTCGGGCGCTGACACCTCGGGCGTCCTGGACCCGGACTCTGTCACACCCACCTACAGCGCCATGTGTCCTTTCGGCTGCCACTGCCACCTGCGGGTGGTTCAGTGCTCCGACCTGGGTTTGTCCCTGAGTGATGGGGAGCGGGGCATGCAGGGAGGCTCAGGTGCAGCCTGAGAGCCCCTTCTGAAGGGGACACATGCTGGTCCTGTGGGACGGTGGCGAGCATGATGTAAGTGTAGGAGGGGTCCAGCCGTCTGGCTGTGAGCTGTGCAGTTTGTGCCCACTTGTGGTGGCATCCCCGTGTGCCCGTCAGTGTCCCTGTGTGTGTGTCCCCGGTCCTCCCTACCAGTGGGGCTAGTCGGCTGGATGGCTCCAAGTTCATGCTGGTGATGGTGGTGGGGCCCCTAGGTCTCGAGTTCATGCTGGTGGTGGGGGTGGGGCCCCTAGGTCTCAAGTTCATGCTGGTGATGGGGGTGGGGCCCCTAGGTCTGAAGTCTGTGCCCAAAGAGATCTCCCCTGACACCACGCTGCTGGACCTGCAGAACAACGACATCTCCGAGCTCCGCAAGGATGACTTCAAGGGTCTCCAGCACCTCTACGTAAGGAGCTGGGAGGAACCAGCAGGCCTACAGCAGAGGGCAGGGGTCCGGGTGGGTGCATGTGCGTGGACGTGTGGGGTATGAGAGGGGTTCGGGGACTCGTGGGGCTTCAGGGTGAAGCCTGGAGCCAGCCGTGATGGGAGCTCCCGGGTTTGCGGCTCACTCATGTGGGTTTGAGCAACCACAGCTGCAGGACCGGATCGCTCAGTTCGGCTCCCTTCGTGGCTGAAAACGTTTCATCACGTCCACTCCTCCCAGCAACAGAGGAGAACGGATTTCATTGTAGCCAGTGTGCGTGTGAGGAAACTGAGGCTTGGAGCGGCAAGGCAGTGGTGGCACTGCTGGGGCTCAGGACCGGGCCTGGGTGCTGCCTCCTGCCCTGCACTCTGCTCACAAGCATGGACTGAACCTCCTCGAGGCCCAGTGGGCTGGGGAGGCACAGGAAGGCAGGAGAGAGGGGCGGGTGGGGTGGGGAGTCTGTGCCTTCACCTCCTCCGCCCACCCTGCTTCAGGCCCTCGTCCTGGTGAACAACAAGATCTCCAAGATCCATGAGAAGGCCTTCAGCCCACTGCGGAAGCTGCAGAAGCTCTACATCTCCAAGAACCACCTGGTGGAGATCCCGCCCAACCTACCCAGCTCCCTGGTGGAGCTCCGCATCCACGACAACCGCATCCGCAAGGTGCCCAAGGGAGTGTTCAGCGGGCTCCGGAACATGAACTGCATCGGTGAGCTGAGGGCCTCCCAGAACATTCCAGAGCCTTGTCTCGAGGCATGGGGAAGGGAGACCAAGGGATACCTTTAGAGGCTCAGTTCAAGAAAGAGTATGGTGAGAACGGTCAAAAGAAAATCCATGGATTTCTTGGCAAATCCTCCATGCAGGCGATCACCACGGCTAAAGAGAAGACTGGGCCAGAGGGGCCGGGTGGCTTCCGGGAGCCCCATCTTCATCTCTGGCACTCCTCCCTTTCCTCTTGCTGCCCCTGGAGCTAGCAGTCCTGGGGCTAGCAGTCCTGAACAGCTAGGAGTTTGCAATTAGCCCGGTAAATTAGCAGAACTGCTTTCAGGAGACGGGAGCAGCCGGCAGGTAGCAGGGCCCACCACACTGGCCCGGAAGTGACAGGACCCAGGGCTGTGCAGGGACCACCAGGCTCCCGGGCTAATGAGGTCTCTCCCCTAGAGATGGGCGGGAACCCACTGGAGAACAGTGGCTTTGAACCTGGAGCCTTCGATGGCCTGAAGCTCAACTACCTGCGCATCTCAGAGGCCAAGCTGACTGGCATCCCCAAAGGTAGGAAGCCCACTCTTCCTGCACGCCTGCCTGCCTCACCCCCAACAGCACAGATGGCCAGGGTGGGGGCTCTGGATGGGCCCGATCTACTCAGGGAAAGGCTCAACAGTCCCCTCCCGCCACCTGGGGCAGAGCTAGGGCCCCTGCCCTCAGCACCTGCATTCTCCCCTGTGCCCTCTTCTCCTGGCAGACCTCCCTGAGACCCTGAATGAACTCCACCTAGACCACAACAAAATCCAGGCCATCGAACTGGAGGACCTGCTTCGCTACTCCAAGCTGTACAGGTGAGGCCAGCAGGGCACCGCCCAAGGGTGATGCCAGAGTCCCTCAGTGCTGTGTGGCCCCTCGCGCCCAGCCCCCCATCCTTACCTCCAGCCTTTGAGTCCGTGTCATTCTCCCGCTCACAGGCTGGGCCTAGGCCACAACCAGATCAGGATGATCGAGAACGGGAGCCTGAGCTTCCTGCCCACCCTCCGGGAGCTCCACTTGGACAACAACAAGTTGGCCAGGGTGCCCTCAGGGCTCCCAGACCTCAAGCTCCTCCAGGTGAGAGCTGGGCATGCACAGCCAGGTTCCCTAAGGCTGGGCTGGGGGAGGCGTGTGTGTCCCCGGGCAGTCCCTCAGTCCCCTGGCCCTCCTTCCCGACCGGCTCTGGGCATCTGCAAGGGAGCGGTCCTGATGCTCCCAGCTGGTGCTGAGGAGGCAGGGAGCAGGGGCTCCATGGTGGATACCGAGCAAGGCAGCCTGGTAGCTCTTGGACCCGAGGGTCTCCAGGTGGGTCGGACACCAGAAAGATGTGGCAGAGTCCAGGGAGTCGAGAAACTGTGGGCGTGGGAGTGCACAGATCTGTGCCAAGACAGTGACCGCCCAGGGCAGGAAGTAGGCTGACGAGGGGGAGCAGGGTCTTGCCTGGGATTCTATCGGGAGCTTCCATCCCTGGCCTGGCCCGCAACCAGGTGGGTGATCTTGGTCTTGCCCAGCCCTGCTCCATCCACAAGTGTTTGGAGCACCCCCATCCGCACCAGCTGCGAGCCAGCACCGCGCAGGCCATGCCCATGCTGGGCCGAGTGCGCCCTCTAGTGGCCATTGTCATGTTCACCAGCACTGGGCTCCCAGCCCAACCCAGCAGGCGCCTCGCCTGCCCACCTCCGCTCCTCCCAGAGACAGCAAGACGGTGGCTCCAGAGAGTTGGAGGGGCTGCTAGAGGGCGAGCTCCTCTGCTGACTGGAAGAAAGAGGAGGGCATCCCAAGGGCTCTTTCTCCTCTCATGCCCCATGGAGTGTGAGGGTGCTCCCCCGAGGCTCAGGCCACCTTTCCTCCACCTCACACCACCAAACACACCTCTACCCCAGCCCCGCCCCCACATGTCCTCAACCTGACCCACCTGAGACCCTCATCCTTGTCCCTGGTCACATCCAGTGCCTTAATCCTGGCTGACACCCACACAAATAACACGCCCATGCCTTGGTTTGCTCCTCCCAACAACGGGGAGCCTCTGGTGTGGCCCTTGAAGTAGGGTGCAGAGGCAACAGCAAAATGCCTCCTGGAGGCAGCGGGCTTGGCGTGGAGGGAGGGAGGCCTGCCGTGACCCGGCCTCTCTGCCTTCAGGTGGTCTATCTGCACTCCAACAACATCACCAAAGTGGGTGTCAACGACTTCTGTCCCATGGGCTTCGGGGTGAAGCGGGCCTACTACAACGGCATCAGCCTCTTCAACAACCCCGTGCCCTACTGGGAGGTGCAGCCGGCCACTTTCCGCTGCGTCACTGACCGCCTGGCCATCCAGTTTGGCAACTACAAAAAGTAGAGGCAGCTGCAGCCACCGCGGGGCCTCAGTGGGGGTCTCTGGGGAACACAGCCAGACATCCTGATGGGGAGGCAGAGCCAGGAAGCTAAGCCAGGGCCCAGCTGCGTCCAACCCAGCCCCCCACCTCGGGTCCCTGACCCCAGCTCGATGCCCCATCACCGCCTCTCCCTGGCTCCCAAGGGTGCAGGTGGGCGCAAGGCCCGGCCCCCATCACATGTTCCCTTGGCCTCAGAGCTGCCCCTGCTCTCCCACCACAGCCACCCAGAGGCACCCCATGAAGCTTTTTTCTCGTTCACTCCCAAACCCAAGTGTCCAAGGCTCCAGTCCTAGGAGAACAGTCCCTGGGTCAGCAGCCAGGAGGCGGTCCATAAGAATGGGGACAGTGGGCTCTGCCAGGGCTGCCGCACCTGTCCAGACACACATGTTCTGTTCCTCCTCCTCATGCATTTCCAGCCTTTCAACCCTCCCCGACTCTGCGGCTCCCCTCAGCCCCCTTGCAAGTTCATGGCCTGTCCCTCCCAGACCCCTGCTCCACTGGCCCTTCGACCAGTCCTCCCTTCTGTTCTCTCTTTCCCCGTCCTTCCTCTCTCTCTCTCTCTCTCTCTCTCTCTCTTTCTGTGTGTGTGTGTGTGTGTGTGTGTGTGTGTGTGTGTGTGTGTGTCTTGTGCTTCCTCAGACCTTTCTCGCTTCTGAGCTTGGTGGCCTGTTCCCTCCATCTCTCCGAACCTGGCTTCGCCTGTCCCTTTCACTCCACACCCTCTGGCCTTCTGCCTTGAGCTGGGACTGCTTTCTGTCTGTCCGGCCTGCACCCAGCCCCTGCCCACAAAACCCCAGGGACAGCAGTCTCCCCAGCCTGCCCTGCTCAGGCCTTGCCCCCAAACCTGTACTGTCCCGGAGGAGGTTGGGAGGTGGAGGCCCAGCATCCCGCGCAGATGACACCATCAACCGCCAGAGTCCCAGACACCGGTTTTCCTAGAAGCCCCTCACCCCCACTGGCCCACTGGTGGCTAGGTCTCCCCTTATCCTTCTGGTCCAGCGCAAGGAGGGGCTGCTTCTGAGGTCGGTGGCTGTCTTTCCATTAAAGAAACACCGTGCAACGTGGCTCCGTGCGCTGCTCCTGTGGCGGCCTGGCCTCTCCGTGCCCCTCCTGGCCCTTGGGCTCCTTGCCCTCAGAAGAGGGGCCCCGTCACCCTCAGAAGAGGGGCCCCGTCACCCTCAGGTCTGGGCTAGCCCGGACTAGGGAGGTTTCCCCTCCCTTCTAGACACTTCCATGGCCCCAGCTGTCCTGAGACGCGGCTCCAGAATCCAACCAGGCCTGAATGGCACCTGCCCTCTCAGCGTGGAGCGTTTGCCAAGAGCACGCCGACTGCAGGGCGCCAGGCTAGAGCCTGGAAATCTAAGCGGGGCCCGGCCTGCCCAGCTCCATGGAGTCTAGGGTTCACAACGAGGCACCGCCAAAACCCAGGGGGTGACACAGGAGGGAAGGGGCCCAATGGAGCCAGGGCAGGGTGCTGTGTGCACCCACTTGCACTGGCCTGGCCTTGGCTCCCCTGCCAGCCCCCTGGCAGGTGACACTGTGTGTAGGCAGAGCCGAGCCTGGGCTGCAAGGCATTCCCACACACGCAGCATCCAGAGAGAGGATCCAGGTCAGGGCCGGGAAAGCCTGCATGCTGGGGACACAGGTCGTCCTGGAAAGGACAGCTTGGAGGGGGACAGTCCCCAGAGCAACGCTACCGCCTGTGACTTTCCTTCGGCCCTGCACGAAGAGCCTCAGAGCAGGTGGCGGGACCTGGGGCTTCCCTGGGCAGCCCAGGCTCCCAACGGAAATAGAGTGGGCAGGGCCCGCGTGAATGGCAGCCTGGCACTGCGTGTTGGCTCCTCACACATAACTGCGTCTTTATGGCTGGACTGGCACTGGCGCACTGGCATCCCCAGGTTTCTCCTTTCTGGGATAGGAGGTGCCACACAGTGTGGTGGCCCAGTGATAGAAAGTCACCATCAGCATCACAGCACTATTCTGGGCCATGTGCTCTACGGCCCGGCAATGTCTGCTGAGCTGGGCAGGCATGGTGCAAGGGAACTGGGCAGGGGCCGGGAGTCAAGGCTTCGGGCAAGTCCCCTCGCTGGCTGGGAGGAGGGGCAGCCAGCGCCACGGCCTGGCAGAGATGGAAAGATGGGGCTTCCGCCCATTCATCTGTGAGCGGGTCTTGGGGCATTGGCTCTGTGTTCAGTGGGTCCAACACAGCCCCCGTGAATCTGTCCACTCTTCCTGCCTCGCTCCCATCCTTCCTGTGCCTCCTTTCCTCTCTGTCTGCCTCTCATTTCATGCACCTTCATCACACCTGTCCTCTGCGTGTCCCAGCTCAGGGATGCAGTGTGGGTGGAGGACAAGCTAGTGGGATGAGTGTGATATGGGTGGTCAGTGCAGAGGAAGGCATCCTGCAGGCTGCGTGCTTAGCCCACACAGCAGGGGGTGCCCTGCAGGCAGCACACACTCTGCCTGGACTAGAGTGCCAAGCCCCCGAGGCAGGAGCCCAGAGCTGGACAGGGTCACAGCCTGCAAGGGCTTCTGGGTCGTGGTGGAAGGTGAGCTCCATCCTCAAAGCAGTTGGTCCTGACCACAGTGTGAAGATGAATCACATAGCCTCACTCTACCGCCAAGTGTGGGAAAAACTATTAGCTAATACTAGCCAAGGTGAGACTGATTTGGGCTTAAAAAAGAAAATGGCTAGGCGTGGTGGCTCACGGCTGTCATCTCAGCACTTTGGGAGGCCAAGGCAGGAAGATTGCTTGAGGCCAGGAGTCCAAGACCAGCCTAGGCAACATAGTGAGACCCCATCTCTAAAAAAGAAAAAACTAAAAAATTAGCTAGGCATTGTGGCACACGCCAGTGGTCCCAGCTGCTCAGGAGGCTGAGGTTGGAAGATCATTTGTGCCGGGGAGGTTCTCCCGGCAAGCTGCCAATCCCCCACATTTACTTGCAAGTGGCTTCGAAAGTAGGACTGTGCTCAGGGCCCCAGCTGTGGCATAGGAAGGCCTAGGGTGGACAACGGCTGGGCTGCAAGTTCCAGCCGATCTTTGCTTGAGTAGGGTCCCCTGAACTTGGTGACAGATTGGGTGTAGTGTGAGAACGGGGTTGGTTGTGATGCTCCGTGGCCTGGAGAGGGGAAGGGGACCCTGAGGACCACCACCTGACGGCCAGGAGCATTCCGGAGCTGCTGGAAGGCAGCAGGCGTGGGCTTACACACGTACACACACACATGCACGAACACACGTGCACACGCACACAAATGCGTACACAAACACACACGCACACATGCACACTTGAACACACAAACACAAGCACACAGAAACAAACATATGCCGCACAAACACATGTGCACACAAACACACACAGCAATGCAGGTCACAAAGCCGCTTCCTCGGGGAGTGGCTGTGGAGGGCACAGGGCCGCCGTGGGGCCGTTTCTCAGCATTTGCTGCAGGTCAGGTGCCTTCTGGGCACAGCAGGGCCCAGCGGGAGCCTAAGCCGAATCCACTGCTACGGTTTAGACGAGTCCGGGCTTGTCAAAGGGGCAGCGAGCCAGACCTTGGCAGGCTGGGCCCACGATGCGGGCAGGACCCCTGAGGGACACGACCCCTCCTTGGAGGGCTGCAGGGGCAGGTGGCAGGCCTGGGAGCCAAGTCAGAGGGGCTGCCCTGAGGACTTGGCAGTGGCCTGGTCTCCAGGCTCTGCTCCCACAGGCTCCAGCTCTAGTCTCAGGAGGCAGGGACCACAGGAAGAGGCCAAGACCCTGCCTGCCACTCTGAACAGGCAGGGCAGGGCACCATCGCCAGCAGAGAGACCTTGTCTCCCTCAGCTTCTGGGAGGGCACAGCCTCTCTGGCGCCCTGGAGAACCCTGGGCAGCCTGGGTGCTGAAAGGCCCTGATGCCTGCTGCACAGGGGCAGCCAGGGCCCAGGCAGGAGTGCCCAGGGGACTGTGCTGGAGCTGCACTGGCAGGAGTCATGCCCAAAGAGCCATCTCTGTCTCTCTCTCTCACACACACACACAGACATACTCTCACACTCACATACTCACACACAAACACACACTCGCACTCACACTCACACACACTCCCACTCACACATGCTCACACTCACACACACTCAAACTCATACTCTCACTCACACACACTCACACACTCACACAATCACACTCACACTCACTCACACACTCACACTCACATATTCACACTCACACACTCTCACACTCACTTGCTCTCATGCACACTCACACCCCACACACACCCACTCTCTCACACACACTCACTCCCACTCACACACACTCTCACACACCCACACACGTGCTCACATACACTCATGCCCACATCCACTCACTCACACCCACTCACACACTCACACTCACACCCCCACACACTCACACACACACACTCTGCATCGCCAGCCAGCTTTCCAGAACCACCAGGCGTGGATGTACTCAAGCCAAGCAGCCCAAGAAGCCTCAGTTGTGCTGTGGACAGGGCTCTGCCGAGCTGGAGCTCCTCGGTGGCCCAGCTGGGGCTTGGATGAGTGGCCCGAGGCCACTGTCATGGATAACCACAAACCGGGTGGCTCACCACAGAGGACATGGACCCTCTCCCAGTCCTGGAGGCCAGAAGTCCAAATCCAGGTGTCTCAGGGCCACACTCCCCCCAGAAGCTCTAGGGAAGGCTTCTTCCTGCCTCTCCCAGCCCCGGAAGGCTCCAGGCGTCCTGGACTTGTGGCCACCTCACTCCACTTTGCCTCTGCAATCACATGGCTTCTTGTGGGGGGGGGGGTACATGTGTGTGTATATGTGCAATGTGTGTGTATGTGTGTGTTTCTGTGAGTGTATGTGTGGGTATGCGTGTGCATATGTGTGTGGGTGTGTATGAGCATGTTCGTGTGTATGTATGTGTGGGTGACTGTGTATGTGTGGGGTGTCTGCATGTGTATGTGTGCAATGTGTGTGTATATGTTTCTGTGTGTGTATGAGTGTGTCTTGTGTGTGCATGTGTATGACTGTGTGCATATGTGAATGTGTGTCTGTGACGATGTGTGTGTATGTGGGGGTGTGCGTATGTGTGCATGTGTGTGTTTCTGTGTGTGTCTCTGTGCATGGATGTGAGTGTGGGCATGTGTGTGTGTTTCTGTGTGTGTGTCTGTGCATGGATGTGAGTGTGAGCGTGTGTGTGTTTCTGTGTGTGTGTGTCTCCGTGCATGGATGTGAGTGTGAGCATGTGTGTGTGTGCATGGATGTGTGAGCGTGTGTGTGTTTCTGTGTGTGTGTGTCTCTGTGCATGGATGTGAGTGTGAGCATGTGTGTGTCTCTGTGCATGGATGTGAGTGTGAGCGTGTGTGTGTGTTTCTGTGTGTGTGTGTCTGTGCATGGATGAGAGTGTGAGCGTGTGTGTGTGTTTCTGTGTGTGTGTGTCTCCGTGCATGGATGTGAGTGTGAGCATGTGTGTGTGTGGCGGGGGGGGATAACCCAGGATAACCCACATCTCAAGATTCTTCACTTGATGGCATCTGCAAAGACCCTATTTCCAAATAAGGCTGCATTCCGGTTCCGGGGGTTGGGACATGGACACATCGGTGGGGACATTTTTAGCCTGCCCCTGGGCTGCAAGTGGACACGGGCTTTGCCCCTGAGGCCTTGGGGAAGGGGCTGGGACCTCAGCCAGGGAGACAGTGGGCATGAGAAGACGGGATGGGGGCCCCAGGCCCAGCCAAAGGGGTCCTCACTTCAGAGCTGGCCAAGGAGCTGCTGTCCCAACAGTGGCAGGAGGGAACCTGGGCAAGGAGGGGGCATGGCCCAGAGGCCTGGGAGAGGACGGACCTGGTGACTGGGTAGGGGCCAAGGAGCCAGGAGAGAAAGCAGTTGTGGGAGGGGAGCGGGACTGAAGGGGCTGGAGGCAGGTGGAGAGAGAGAGGGGTGAGAGTGGGGATGAGGCGGCCAGGTGGGGCGGTGGGCAGCCGCTGAGAGCAGGGTGCTCTCTGTGGCTTTTGTTTCCCAGGCAGTCGTCGGCAATGTGGGAGAGTGGGGTGGGGACGGAGGCCTGGCGTGCCCTAAGGAGGCAGGTCCAGGGCATGGTGGGACAGGCTGGCTTGGGACCTGGGAGGGAGCTGGGAAGCAGAGTGGTCTGGGCCTCCCTGGGTTTGGCTCCCTAAGTACTCCCAGTGCAGAGGACAGGACTTGGTGTATGGGAGAACTTTCTAGCAAAGCTCCCACCTCTTTACTGATGGAGGACCCAAGAGGGGCTGGCCGGTGAGCAAGGATCACCAGTGACACTGGCAGCATTTGCCTGGCACTCAGGTGTCCTCATTCCCAGGCCTGGGCCCTCCCTCTCAGCCTCAGGGCTCTGGGCTGGGAACCAACAGACACAAACCAAGGAGAAAGGACCATCCCCTTACCTGGCCATTAGCTGTTTAGGGGCCACAATTTGCTGAGGACTAGGGACTTCCATGACACTTTGTTCCTTGGCCATCTGACCTTGGCCTCAGTGGGACTCATCACAAAGGTAGGCACCATGGCCAACTCTTGGCTGGATTAGCCATGAGCAGTGCCCTGGGGGCCCGGGGGAGGAGGCAAAGTGGTGGGGCAGGTAGCCCCTGCCTCAGATTTTCTCCCCTGAACTTGCTTCTTCCCCCTGGCCAGACAGGGCCTGTGCAGAGTCTGGGGTCAGAGAATAGGGAGGGGAGATGCATAAACACGCAACCCAGGCAGCAGCTGCTCCAAGCTCAGGGAGATTCCCCCATGTGGATAGCAGCCATCAGTTAAATGAACAGCCTCCATCCCTCAGCATGTTCCCTGGTCCCCGAGGGAAGACAGTGACGCAGCCCAAAGGGACTCTTCTCTTTGCTTGTCAGCTCTCACAGCCACTCCTAAGCCTTTAAGTGTGGGTCTCCCCAGCCCCACACCTGCCCTCCCAGAGCTGCCCACACATGTCTGCTAAGAGGTGCTTGTCTTCAGCCGGGACCCAACCCTTGCCCAAGGGATGCTCCTGCTGGGGGCCACGAAAGGAGGCCAGCTCAGCAGCCTGCTTCTGCCTTTGCTCACTCCAGAGCAGGGCCCTTGGGCCTGGGATGGAAGGACATGACCCCAGGGAGCCTGCCACAGTGTGGGAGGCCAAGAAGGAACGTGGCCTGAATGCGCTGGGGAAAGGAGCTCCTCTGCCCTCCTGTGGTGCCTGAGGGCATGGGGGCAGCTGGCCTCCCGGCCAGGGGCCAAAGTCCAGCTTACAACCTGCTCCGGGTGGGATCCAGTGCCCTCTGGGCCTCCACTTCCCCATCTGGAATGTGGGCTAGTAAGAGGAACGACTCCAAGATGGCAGGGCTCTGGCGAAATGGCCAGAACTTAGCTCATGATAAGTTTCCAGCATCATTGGGGCTTGCTTCAGTCTTGATTTTTCCCATTCGGGGCCATGGGAAGTCACAGGCTGTGTGTGTGTGAGAAGGGGGTGTCCCCATGGCGGCTCTGGGCCCGGAGGAGCACACGCCCCAGGCTCAGGAAAAGCTGCCTCAGAGTTGGAGTGGAAGGGGACTGCGGGAGTGTGCAAATGAATATGTGTGAGAGTGTGAGTGGGGAGTGTGTGTGTGAGTGTGACTGTGAGTAACTGTGTGTGAGTGTGTGTGTATGTATGTGCCCATGTGTGTGCTCACTGGGTAAGTGTGTGAGTTGTGTAGGTGTGAGAGCATGTAAATATGTGTGAACCATTGTGTAACTGTGTGGGCCACCGAGCTTGTGTGGGTGAGGGTGAGTGAGCACATATGACTGTGAGGATGTGTCTGCGTGAGATTGTGAGTGTGTGCATGAGTGTGTGAGTGTGTGTTTGTGTAAGTAGGTGAGTGAGCATGAGTTCATGCATATGAGCAGGTGTGAGTATGTGTGCGTGCATGTGAGTGGGTGTGAGTAAGCATGTGTGAGCGCACACATGACCAGGTGTATGAGTGTGTGTGTGCGTGCGTGCGCGAACCTCAGCTTTCCACGGCACCAGCTGCTTCCTGTGGAAGGGAGGGGCAGTCTGTGGGGGTTGTGACGGTTCCCTGGTCTCAGGGGCAGCAGAAGCTTTCTGTCCTTTTGGTCCCTAGCACAGTGGTGCCTCCTCAAAGAGGCCTTCCCTGAGCCGCCAGCAGCCTCTTTCATGGCTCCCCATCAATGGGGTTCCATAGCTCCGACCCCAGCGGCGTGAGCACATTTGCCATCCGACGGCCACTCCCTGCTTTGTGGTCCCTGCTGTGTCCCCAGTATTCAGCTCTGGTCTGGCACACAGCATGTCCAGGGCCCTCTTTGTCCAAGGCAAGAAAGAATTTGAGGCTGCGTCCAGGCCTCTTGCACCTGCCTCAGGCTCCCGCCCAGAGCCTCTACCTGTGCCCCAGCGAGCATTCTCTGCTCGCTGCTCAGAATGCTCGCAAAGGCCGGCCCTGGGGTCAGAGGCCTCCACAGCCCCTGGAGCTGGGAAGCCTGGGGGTCCACCGGCAGGCACGGGGGTCTCTTTCCAGGTAGGTGGGAACGCGTGCTTGTGGGTGTGGACAGGTGTCTGCACTGGGGTTTGTCTGTGTGTCTGTCTCCACTCACACCGGGGATGTATGTGCCCCTGCGTGTCTGTCTCTGGTGCCCACCTGTGTGCAGTCTCTGTGTTCTGCCTAACGGTGGTGTTCCCGTGATAACCGACGGTGAGGATCTCCGGTAAGCGCCGCTTCCTCTGGGAAGACGCATTTGGACGCCCGTACTCTCAACAGGTAATGGAGTTTGCAGGAGACCACCAATGCCTTGGAGTCCACTGAGGCAAGACCCAAGGACCCCACGCTACACATCAGCCACCCGGCTCTGTGCCCCATTTTACTGTTGGGGAGACGCACCTAGAGGGCAGGGTCTGGAGAGGTAGTGGCAGCCTCAGTCGCAAGCTCAGGGTGCTCTCTCTGCACTCACAGGTGCCATGGTCCCCCAGTTTCCATCCCCACCCACCCCCACTCGGCCAGTGCCCTTTGGGGGCAATGCCAGGCCAGGAAGGGCGGGCACCCTCGCGCGTCCTGGGGACAGAAGGGCGCGCACCGGGCGCGTAGCTCCTGAGCCCCGAGGCCCCTGCGCCGCGCACCGCCCCCCGCGCCCGCTCCCTCCTCCCTCCCTCCTCCTCACCCAGCTCCCTCCCCTCCCCCCTCCCTCCCTCCGCGCTCAGAGCTGCGGTTGGAGCCGAGCGCGCCGCGTCGCCCGCCGCCGGTGCAGAGCGTGGGGAGCACTCGGCCGCAGCCCTCGCCCGCCGCAGAGGGTCGCGTCCCGCGCCGCCGGCCAGGCCGCCCCGTGCCCAGGCCTTTCCATCCTTGGAGCGGATCGTTGCCCGCCTGACGCCCGCCCGCAGCGACAGCGCCCGCCGGAGCCGAGGCCGCGGCGGCGGCCGTGCCCATGCCCGGGTAAGTGGTGCTCTGGGCGCGCGGGCGCCGCCGGGGTGGGCGCGGGCGCGGCGCGGGCACAAGGCGCGGGTGGGGATGGGAGGATGACCCGGCAGGTGGTGCGGCGGCAGGTAGGGGGACACGGGTCCCCGCCCGAGGCACCTGAGCCCCGCGCCGGGCCTGCGTGTCCTTGCGGCACTGCGGCCGCGCGTCACCCCGGGGCCCCAGGCCGGCGGGCAGCGCCCCGCACCCTGCACCCTGCGCCCCGCATCGCGCGCGCACGCGCATCCGTGTCTGAGGAACAAGGCCCTTGGGGGCTGCGGGCCGGGGCTCAGGGTGGGCGCAGCCGGGGGCGCGGGATCTGGGCCGGGAGCCCGCCAGTGCGCACGCACCTTCCCGGAGCCTCGGGCACCCCCTCCCCCCCGCGCCCTCACACTGTATCATCCTTCCCCTCTCGCCTTCCCGCACCGTTCCCCGCACGCCCACGCGGCTGCCCAGCAGACCCCACCGCGGTCATGGGCAGTGCCCACGAGAAGCCGCCCGGGGCCGCACTTAGGTAACTTCTCCATCCCTCCAGGAACGGCTGTCTCCCCCTCCTCGCCTGTGTGACCTTGGCCAGCCAGCTTTTCCTGTGGCCGCCTGCGTTTTCTCACGGGTGAAAGCTCTGGCTTTAAGATTCTGGAATTTGGAATGGCAGGTGCGGCATCTCCCAGAGCCTGAGACGATGGGCTTCTCTCTCTGTGACCTGGTGTCCTTCCTTCTGCTGGCCCTTCTGGGGGTTGGTGGCTCAGCCAGCCGGCTGAGGAGGGGTGGGAGGCAGGGCAGGGGCATGGCGCCGGGGCAGGTCAGGACTGGAGGGAGTCTTGGAGAGCCCGCGGTGAGGGCTCCATGAGGGTTTAGGAGAGACTGTGGAAATGCTCCTTCGCTCACTCAAGGGGCAGGGAAGGGACCAGAATTCCTCAACGAGATGCTTGCCATTTCCTGGCGAGGTCATATAACTTTCAAAGATGAAGCCCAGGGCCTCCGACCTCAAAGGAGTCCCTGCCTGCTAAAGGATCAAGTCCAGCCTGTCCCCAACTGGCCCCCATCCTGAATTCCACTGGCACCCTAAACGTCAGCCGACTTCCCCTGGCTGACTTGGGCACCAGTCTGGCAGGCACCCCCTGCACCTCCTCCCCTCCTTTGCCCACTAGGATCTGTGCCCTCACCCCCTGCCATTGCCCCTCACTAGTCAGTGACCATCTTAAGGCAAGGACTGGCTCTTCATTTGCACAGGCCTGGCACAGAGTGGGCACCTGGTTTCTGCATGGCATATTCATGACCTTGACCTCACTGAATCTGCAGACTCACTGAACAGGAGAGGCAAGGCCTGGATTTTTGTCCCCATTTTTCAGATGGGATCATTGAGGCCCCCAAGAGGAGAAGGGATTCAGCCCTGAATTGAGGCCCCTTCCTTCATGAGCAGATGGCTAGGGACATTCCTATGAACCTGGTGGGGCAGGGAGGCGGGGAGAGGTTATCGTAATAATCAAAGACCAGCCCCACTTCCTGAGCTCCATCTGAGTCTCACCTCAACCACACGAGTGAATGGCTGTTTTCATCCCCAACCCCCACCCCCCGCCGCCACTTTTCACAGATGAGGAAACCGAAGCCATGTGGCTCATTAAAGGGGCACTGGGATGCCGAGGAGAGGGCTGGGGATGCCTGGGCCCCTGTGGGACACAGCTGAGACCCAGCAGAGGGTCCCAGGGTGAGGTCAGCCCCTCAAGTCTGCGCCATCGGAACGGGCTGGGAACTTGTGGTCCCCGGCCATTGATTGTCACTGCTGCAGGCCCCGAGGCGGGGGACAGCCAAGGACACAGCCAGTCTCCATCAGCTCCACCTGGGCCGTGCCCTGCACGGCCAGGTGGTTTGAGTGCAGGAGTAGGCATGCTCTCACACAGCAGGGGGTAACGGGCAGATGGAAGTGGGGCGGGCGTGGGAGGGGGCCTTGCACAGGGCCAGAAGGAGAGCCGGTCCCTGAGGAAGGAAGCCCCTAAGGCAAAGAGCATGCCAGGGGACAGCCACAATGCCAGGTGATGGAGATGCCCCAATCGGCCCCCGAGGGGCAAGGAAGGGGCCAGAGGAGGCTCGTGAGGGTGCCTGGGGCTTCAGTGACAGCAGCCCCTTACCTGATGGTCTTTGTGACCTTGGCCAAGTCCCTTCTCCATTCCAGATCCAGGGAGGGTGGGGGTGGGCCTGGGGGAGCTGGAGCTTCAGAGGTTGAATCATTCACTAGCAGGAGAAGCCAAGCCTGTGAGTCAGTGAGTGCTCTCCATCCCAGAACGTCTGCTCCCAGCCCAGGGATGCAGCCACGGAGTGCCGGGGTCAGCCGTGGAGGACCCTCTGAGAATGTCTTGTGGAAAGGGGCGCCTTGCCTGCCCGGTAGACAGGATGAGGGCGCCCCAGAGCCCCAGGGGCTTCTGAGAGCTGAGTACCCTCTGGGCCTCTTGCAGCCAGCAGAGCCAGGCAGAGCTTCTTCTGGCCTTTTCACCTCCTCCCCCACCTCACAGAGCAAGTCATCAGCACATATGAACTCCCCTCTGATTTTAAACTGATGGCTTGTGTATTTCACCAATGGCCACTGTCTCCATCAGTGGTCAGTAGCACATCAAGTAATGTCAACAATGATAATAGTTATAATGGCAGTCACTTTATGTCAGACACTGAGTGCTGCACAGACATTTCCTTGCCCACTTAATTGAAACAACAACAAATGATTGCAAGTGCTGTTATCCCCATTTTGCATTGCGGCTGAGGCCCAGAGAGGCTAGGTAACTTGCCCAAGGTCACACAGCCAGTAGGTAGCAAATCCAGGGCTGGAATGTAGTCCATCAGGCTCCGGAGTCTGGTCTGTGCTTGTAGCCATTAGTTCCTGTATCTCCAGAAGTGTGTGCGGAAGTCAGCAGAGTAGAGTGTGGTTCGTGTGAACTCACTGTCTCGGGTACTCCCAGCCTTGTGGGCTGAAGCCGGGGATTCTTGGGAAGACCTTGCAGCTCAGAAGCTGAGCCACCTGCACCTCTGCCCCGTCTACCCACTGAGAGAAATGGACAACAGGTGGATTTATATCAGTCTCCAGCAACTCAGGGACCGGTTTAGCTCTGCATTCATGGCCCCTTCAGGGCACCCGGAAGCACTGGCAGTGCACGTAAATGGCAGCTGATAGATGGGGACCTGTGCCATGGTACTGAAGGCAAACACTTCCCTCTAAGCCTCTTGCTGTGACTTTGCAGCAAGCTCCCCAGCAACGCCCCGGGCTGGGTATGCCAGGCAGAGACCTGGAGCATGCACAGGGCTCCTCCCTTCCCCACCCTGGCTAAGCTGGCAGAAGCCAGGCCAAGCAGCGCCTGGCTGGAAAGCCCTCCCCTGCCTGGGCTCCTTCTGTTGGGTGGGCGGTGCTGGCAGTGGGCCTGGGAGCCTGCGGAGAAGGATCAGAGCCACGCGTCACTGGGGCAGAGGGAAGCAGGCTCTCAAATGCAGGGGAATTCGGGCATCCTGGACTGCCCAAGGTTGGGAAGGAGACAAGTCCAAGGTCACATGGCTGAGTAGGTGGCAGGACTTGAATCAGAGCAACAAGGCAAGGGTGGAAATGCCAATGGTTGGGGAATCTTGGGACTGGCAGGACTCTTTTAGAGCACGAGGAGGTTTCCGGAGTCTTGGTTCCAAATCAAAGTTGTACAAAGCGAGTATGTCCGTGTCCTTGAAGAGCACCTTATTTAAAGGGGTCCTGAGCCAGCCTCTCTTGTTCTGTAGGTGGGTCTCTCAGTAAGCGAGCAACCATTTTATTCCAGTGAGAAGTTCTCCCCTGAGGCCACAGGCTCAAGGCACTTTCTCCAGCTGCACTGTCCAAGCAGCGATTTTATTAGAATGCACTTCCTCAGGTGCACCAGCCACATTTCAAGGGCTCAGGAGCCACCCAAGGCTGGTGGCTACCGTCACAGACAGTGCAGAGAGAGAACATTTCCATCACTCCCGAATGCTCTGTCACACAGAGCTGCTCTACAGGAAATGGAAACCCAAGTCCTCACACGGACCCTGAAGCCACCTCCCACACCCACTCCCTGGTGGCACAAGGCCACTAATGCAGCAGCTTGGGCTCCCCCAGAGAACCATCCTGAAGAGAAGCCCCAAAGAGGGCTGACTGCTCACAGAAATTTGAAGAGGTGTTCTGTGGTGGGACAGGCTCCAGTCTGAGAGCTTAACAGGTAGGGACAGAAAGTGCCAGGCTGGGCTTGAACGGGTCGTTCCTCAGAATGGATGAGTGCATTCTATTGTCAGAATGGCGCCAGCTATGCCAGGGGGCCACATCTTATTGATGTGATGGGCATGAGGGACACTGCCCTGGTTCACTGTGTGCCAGGCTCTGTGTTTGCTTCAGGGGAGACGACGGAAAGCAAAAAGCAAACGCAATGCCCTTCCTGCCCTCCTGGAGCCTTTGTGCTTTGCTCAGTGTTCACCAAAGTAAGAGTGCAAACCTGGCTGGGGCCGGGAGGATGGACTGAGGCCACGAGGCCAGCCGGTATCTCCCAGGGCTCGGGTCCACAACCTGAGTCCCCGCCCATCCTGCCCTGACCCCGCCTCCTCAGGTAGCCACACATGGCTGGTGGCTACCATATGGGACAGTGCAGAGACTCCGGGATGTACTGTCACACAGAGCTGCTTTGGAGCAAATGGAGACCCGAGTCCTCACACGGACCTAGACACCCCCCACCAAGCCCACTGCCCCATGCCTCCTTGGAAGGCAGTGGCCAAGCATGTACTCTCCAGGGGCTGCGCAGATACCTAGACAAACACAGACCAGGGAGGAGGGAAAGGGCCTCTGTCCCAGCAGCTCACCGTGCTGTGGGGGATGCCCAGACCTCGCCTCGTGCTGACTCCAGTGGTCCTAGCACACCCAGCATGGGGCAAAAACCAGATCCGGCCACCGCCTGGTCCTTATTAGGCCCCACCATATGCCCAGCGCACTGCCTGTGCTCAGGAAACAGCAGGGAGGAGACGTGGGTTTTTTTTTTTTTAATTGATTTCTTCCTATTTAAAAACAATACTCTTAATATGCTCTCTATAGGAAACGTATAAAACACAGAGAAGTCGAAAATGTAGTAAAGCCATCCTATCATGCAAATGTAAATCCAACATCTCCATTTGATTCATTTCACATTGCTGTCATTATACCATGGGCTCAATTGTGTAATCTGTTTTTTACTTCACATAAGCATTTTCTTTATTAATATAATCCCTTCCTAAATGAATGGTTTTTTTCAAAATGGTTATAGTTTAATTTTTTAAGATTATAAAAGCAGTAAGTGCTTATTGCAAAAAGAAAGAATGATCTTGAACCATGCAAAGAAGAAATTTGATCATTCAACAGTTATTTACCAAGCACCCGGGATGTATCAGGCGGCCTTCAGTAATTACAATTTTTAATGGCTGAATAATATTCTCCCAAGAGATTGTAATTCGCTTAATTATTTGGCTATTTTTGGAAACCCAGGCAGTCAGATTTATTTTGCTCTTATGCGTGAGCTCTGCTGAGGAGCCTCTGTCCTGAGGAGAGGGCCCAGGCAGAGGTATCTTCTGCCAAATTGTTCTCCAAAAGGGCTTTTTCATCGCACTGCATGGTGTCGCTCACTGCAACCTTGCCAGCATTAGATATTTTAATCAAACAAATTGTCATAAGTATCTAGGTCAAAAATATGTACTTTACTTTATATGTCTTTAATTGCTGATGAGGGGGCACGTTTTTCCTCATGTTTATAAGTTGTCTTTTCCTTGTGAATTATCTGTTCCTCCCTTCATTTTTTTTTTTTTTTTTTTTTTTCCCTGAGACAGTCTCGCTCTGTCACCCAGGCTGGAGTGCAGTGGCGCGATCTCAGCTCACTGCAACCTCCACCTCCAGGGTTCGAGCCATTCTCCTGCCTCAGCCTCCCGAGTAGCTGGGATTACAGGGGCCCGCCACCACACCCGGCTAATTTTTGTATTTTTAATAGACCCGGGGTTTTACCATGTTGGCCAGGCTGGTCTCAAACACCTCACCTCAGGTGATCCACCCACCTCGGCCTCCCAAAGTGCTGGAATGAAAGGCGTTTATTGAAGTCTTAGTGTTTCTTCTGTGGGCTTGAATAAACTGTATGCATGAAAAAACAGTGACAATTTAACAGATTTGTTGCAAATAATTTTTAAGACCTTTGTTCTTTGCCATTTTTTTTTTTCATGCAAAAGGTAAACACTTTGTTGCTCACAATTATTTGTGATTTCTTCCATTGTTTCTAGGCTTAGAAAATCCCTTTCGGAAATTTGAGAGCTGTTCATTTCTGAGTTTTCCATGTGTCTTCGTGTGTGTGTGTCTGTGTGTGTGTGTGTGTGTGTATTGGGGTGGTGTAGTTGCATTTTTAAGATACTTAACTCTTTAATTTAGGGATTAGCAAGCTTTTTCTGCAAAAGGCCAGATGGTAAATAGATTTCCAGTTTGCAGGCCACATAGTCTCTGTCCCGACTACTCAACTCTGCATGGTAGCCTGCAAGTAGCCACAGACAATGCGAAATGAGGGGGTGAGGCTGTGTCCCAATAAAACTTTATTCACAAGAACACTGGGCTGCCAGATTTGGCACTTAAGCTGTAATTTGCCAAACCTGTTGAATCCAAATGAGATGTGTCTTAGGGGATAGTTTGAGGTGAGGATCTAAGGTGCATCCTTTGCAGATTGCTAACCAGTTGTCCCCATCTCTAGTAGCAAATCGGTTGTTCCCTGGCTCATTTGCACGCACTGACACTGGTCTGCAGTCAGACCTGGTGCTGGCTGCCTGTCCTGACCCACGGGCCCATCTGTGTGCTGCTGTACCGGTGATGTGCTTTTGCCTCTTGTACCTGGTATCATTTAATACCTGACCTGCCGGCCCCACCTCAGCAATCCTAAAGCTTGCTTCTCTGTCCAGTGGACTTCAGAACCACTTTGTCAAGACCCCCTTCCTCCCTCCCCGCCAAGATAAAGCACTGGGTGATACATTCTCTGGACATCCTCAGAGTTCCGAAGCCGCAGATGAGTCCGGTCCCCATGGGGTGGGGTGGCGGCTGGCTCTGTGCAGATGCTGTGGATTTGACTCTCCGCAGATGGGAGGCGGGTGTGGGCAGTACAGCGCCATCCTGAGTGAAGGCCCCCAGCTGAGGATAGCCAGACGGCCCTGGGAACGCCACAGCCTCCTGACTGAGAAACACGAAAACAAAGCCGGCAGTACAAGAGAGCGCGGGAGATTGGGAAGCCACTGTGGGCCGGCAGAAGATGACCTCAAATGACAGGACTTAGGCCTTTCTGCTGCTCTTTTGGAAATCACTGTCCTGACACTCAGAATTCCCTGCACTCCGGCGTTTCAAATCAAACCCTGAACCGGGTTAAGGCGCATGGAGTGGCCGGTTCGAAACTGAACCTACATTCCCACAGATTGCGGGCCAGGGGTGTGATGGTGGCACAGGGCGTGACCAAATGGGAAGGGGCCCTTTCTCCAGGTTGGACCAGCCCGGCAGTAACCGCTTGGCTCCCTCAAAGAGCAGCAGGAGCAGGAGAGTGTGTCCAGCCCCAATTCTCGGGCAGAGCAAGGGCTCACCAGGCACAAGGGTCCATTCCGCCCCCCACCATGGGCCTCAGCTCCATTTCTCCTGGAAGCATCCAGGACCAGACACTGCCACATCTTGGCTTGGAGCCACAGGCCCAGGAGAGATGGGCTCAGGAGCAGCTGGTCCTGGCTCCTCTGGCTCCTGGGGTCTCTGGGTACCTTCCTGTAGTCAGAGGGCGGCTGCCAGCAGATGGTCCCACGTCTGGTGCAGGAGAAGAGGGAGGGCTGTGGACGGGTAGGGCACGTCTCCCACCTAGTCTCATCTCTCCCTCCTGGCCTGTGGTTCATCTGCCCACAACACTGTGACCAGCAGCTAGGCTTGGAAACCTCTGTCCTGGGGAGTGGAGCAAGAGTCCCCCCTTGTAACCCATCCATGGGGCCAGAGGGTAAGAATGCGCTGACCTGGGGGCCACTGCCCCAGACGCCTGCCCTGGTAGCCCCTAGGGAGGCACTCGTGGCTGTGTCTGTAGGTGGGATGGGGTGGGTCAGGGCTCCCAGGCCACCGCCTGGCCCTCTGCGCCCCATCCACCCTTCCCCGAAGGAGGAAGCTGGGCTATAGCACAATCGTGGGAGGGGGTATCTGAGATGGAGACGGGCAGGGTTGGGGTCTCCCCTAAGGGAGGAGGGGAGGGGGTGAGCACACAGAGCAGAAATCCACCCCTTCAGGTCCTGTCCCCAGCCCAGCTGTGCTCTCCCGGTGCCTTCCCAGTGGGGAGAGCAGGCATCTGTCCATGAGCACAGAGGGGGCGGGAGGAATGGTGCTGATGACAGATGATGATAAGAGGGTCAGGAACTGGAGGAGCAGCTGGTGGTGGGAGGGTAGGGGGAGCTGATGGGCTGTGGGGCGCACTGAGGGAGAGACTCGGAGCCCTGTGTTGGTGTTGGGTCCCGGCCTGAGAGGGGGCCTCTGCCTCTGCACTCCCTTCAGGCACTCCTGGAGCACGGCAGGAACTTGGTGGTGCTTCCTCTGGGCTTTGCTGGAAAAGCTTTGGGCTCGTATGCCGGGTTCCTCGCTCAGAAATAGTGTCTTAGGCAAAATTCAAAAATGAACCAGCAATGCTCAGTTCACGCGATTCAGACAGCAGCCAAGCCCTTGATGACCTTCGCGTCCTGCAGCCTCGGCTGCAGCTTCTGAGGTACCCTCTCTCTGGGCATCCTCGCCACTGGCTCTTCCTCCATCACCACATTTGGCAGCAGGCATCCTGCCCCCTCAGCTGGGGAGAGTGGCACGGATACTTCGGTGTGCTCGTTCCTTGGGTCTAGATCACAGAAGGGCAGGCTTGACTCCCATCTTCAGTTGGAGCCCCCATTTGGAGGTCTGCCTCCCAGATCCTTTTATTGGCCTCTGACCTTGACACCAATGCATCCCCCCAGCCTGTACTCCCAAGGACTTTGGCCTGCTTCCAGAAACCAGGATGCCCTCTCTACTGCCCCTGCCAGGATTCCTAATGGGGCCCCATGGGACTCGTTCCCTAGGAGGACACGTGTATGTGTCCTGGTAGCTCCTTATTTAGTCACTGCCTGTCCAAGCTGGAAGGACTTAGCCCAGGGCCCACAGCCCCATGGCCTCCAGCTGCCTGTAATTTCCTTAATTACCTATTTAGGCCCCGACGGCTTCCGGTCCTCAGAGCTGGCTCTGAGATTGGAAGCGGGCTGGGACGGGCACCGAGGTACCACAGCAGAGCCGGGCCGACTTGGGGCACCTCTCCTCCCATCCACGTGCTCTCTGGCTATGAAGGGCTGGGAGGACAGGGACCCGGCTTCCCATTGGACCCCAAACACGAGGTCTCCGTCCCTTTGTAGGCTAGAGTCTTTCACGCTGGCCACAGCCACAGCGTTTCTAGGTCCCCATGCCGTCCCTGCCTTCGGGGCTGCTGGGCAGGCCCGGGCTGGCAGGAGGGGCGTGGGGAGCACGTAGGGGCAGGGTAGTGGCTGGCCAGGCTCACGCTGCTATGCAGCTCGCACACCCGCTGTAATTGGATAATTAGTGTCATTATGCTTCCTGCTCCCTCGCTCTCTCCTTCTGCAGCTCTTGCCTTCTCTGGCAGGAAACAAATGACTGTCCCCCAACCCTCAGTGTAGACTTCTGGCCCCAATCACAAAGGGGCTTCCAACCTCCCCGTGGGATCCAGGGACACCCAGCATTGTGAGGGCCGCCTGTGTGGGAGACAGGAGCACTGCGGGAGTCCGGGCAAGCTTGGGGAAGCATCCAGAGAGGCACATGGGTTCAGCCCCCGGCCGAACGGAATGTTCTGACTTCACCGGTCGAGCTTGGTCCTGACCTGTGAACTCTGGGGTCCAGCTGGAGTCCAGCTGAAGACTTCAGGACAAGCCTCGGGAGGGGAGCGTGTGGCGGGAGGGGCTGACTCAGCGAAGAGCATTGCCCTGCTCGGCTTCCTGGAGATCTCCTGGGCTTGAAGGAACCTCCGGGAAAATGGGCCCAGTCCCCTGGGGACCAGCCTCAGGGTGTGTGGGCAGGTGGAGCCCTGCCTTCTCACCAACCCAGCAAAAAGGAACGAGGACCATTTCGCAGATTAAAAAGTGAAGGCCCAGAGAGCTTGAGTGACCAAAGCCAGCACCTGCACTCTGGAACCCTGAGGTTGATGGGGACAGATTTCCTGTCCAGTCACTTTGCTGAACTCTTTTCATTGGTTCTAATCACTTGCTCGTTGCTTTTCTGGGCTTTTCAGGGCAGTATAACTTGGCAGAGCAGCAATGTCGAATCCTCTGGAGCTAGACCACTTGAGGTCCTGTTGGCCTCTGCTTCTGGCTTGCCGTGTGACCTTGAGTAGGCTCTCTAACCACTCTGTGCCTGAGCCGCATGTGCTCTTTGGTGGGGAGGGCCACCCCATGCTATAGAGGCTGCTGGCAGAGTGATAGTCATTCTGCCTCTCATCCGTGGCTCTATCATCTCCCTTCTGCCTCAGCTAGAACTTCTAGGACAATATCACCCCCCAGGGAGCTCAGGGGAAAGTGGGGGTTTGGTAGGTCCTGGAGACCTCAGGGAGGCCTCCTGGCTCTCCCAGAACCAGGCTGGATTTGGGTTAGGAGTGAACATTTACTCAGGCTATGGGCTTGGCCTATCTAACAGAGACCCAGCATAACAGTGGCTTCAGTGAGAGAGAATTGACTTCTTTCTCATGTAAGAGTCTAGGTGGGCAACCTAGGGCCAGCGCAACAGCTACTTAGCCCTCAGGAATCTGAGCTCCTTTGATTGTGTCATACATGGACTCCATGTGCAAGATGGCAACAGATAGATAGCTGCGGCCGCACCTGTCCCCACATCAGCATTCCAGCTGGCAGGAAGGAGGGGAAGGGCAGAGGAGAACACATTCCTTCTCTTTAAGGACATGGCCCTTGAATTCGTCCCTGTCACTTTTGCTCATACCCAGTTGGCCAGGACAGAGTCAGATGGTCATGGTTAGCTGCAAGGGAGTTGGGGGAATGTAATCATTAGCTGGATGACAAGACACTTAGCTGAAAATTAAAACATGACGTAGGAGGTGGGAGAGTAGCTAGCAAGTTTCTGCCACACACCTCTGCGGATTCATTAACACCTCCTCAAGACACATTTGAGAAGTGGAAGGTACCCATCTTGAGGCCAGGCTTTCCCCAGGTGACCTGGCCAGCCCTTCTGGGGATGGAATGGGGTCAGTACCTCTGAAGAAGTGCAGCAAAAAGAGGGGCCATTTGTGAGCAAGAGGGCAGGAGCAGTGGTGATGGCCTCTCTCCACTGATCTGCTCCTGTGCCACCAAATAGGGTACCCACCTGGCTGGGCAGGATATGGGTGGTGTTAAAAGTCACAGAGGCTGCAGGGTGGGGGTAGGGTGTGTGGGGAAGGGTCTGCTTGGGTTTCCATATCCAGTAGGGGGGTTTCCTGGAAGTTAAAATCCATACAAGCGAACTGCTGGCTGATTGGGCTGGTCAAGGCAGTGAAACTCCTGCAATCACGGCGTGTGGCTTGGGCACCACGGGAGGCCATTCAGGCCCAGTGTCCACCACCCTGGACACAGGGCGAAGTGGCTGGTGGGGGCTGCTTGCGTGTTCTATTGTGGTGGCATAGACATCACCTAAAATGTACCACGTTCACCATTTTTAAGTGTGCGGCCCAGGGGCAGAAGCACATTCATGGTGCTGTGCAGCCATCACCACCATCCAGCCGCAGAACTTGTTCGTCTTCCCAAACTGAAGCTCTGGCCCCGTTCAACCCCAACTCCCCAGCCCCCAGCCCATGGCACCCACCCTTCCACTGTCCGTCCCCTCAGATTTCACAGCTCTCCTATGAGGCCCTCACAGGAGTGGAATCCTACAGTGTTGGCCTCTCTGTGACTGGCTCCTTCTACTGAGTCCAACGTCCTCAAGGGTCAGCCATGTTGAAGCCCGTCTCAGAATGGCCTTACTTTGTAAGGCTGAGTCCTATTCTATGGCCTGGATGGGCCACATGGTGTTTATCCAGCTGCCTATCCATGGACATTGGGTTGCATCCACCTTTTGGCTATTGTGAGTAATGTTGCTATGAACTTGAGTGGACAAATACGTTTGTGTCCCTGCTTTCAATTCTTTGGGGCCTACCCCAGCAGTGGGGTGGGTGGGTCCTATGGGAATTCTACTGCTTTCCACAGTGGCTGCACCGTCTTCCATTCTATGGCGGTGCTTGTTTGAATGAGAATTCTGGGCCAGCCCTGGAGCCTCTGAAGGCAGGCAAATGTGTGGTCTCGAGCTTGACTAGACACCCAGATCCCCCAGGGGTTGGGGTGCTTTATAGCGTTCTGGTCCTCCCGCTTCTGAATGGGAAGCTCTGGACCCAAGACTCTGTATTCGTGAAGTTCCCTGAGTGGGGAGGGGTGCCCACCCAGGTCTGGCATGGGCTGCCGTAGATTAGAGTAGAGCGCTGGGCCACCTAGGGGCCAGGAGTGCTGCAGAAGTGCATCCACCCAAAGGCGCAGGCTGAATCGGGCAACCTCCTGGGCTCCTGCCACCTCCAGGGTGTTTCTGTGGGTTCCAGAATCCTCCTTGTCTGGACCCTTGTTAACGAGGACTTCCAATGCCTGTGTCTTTCTGCGGCACCCGGCGCCGGACAGGCGGTTGCTTTGGCTTTGCACGCAGCTGCCAGTGGGTCCCCAAGGTGGCCCCTCCGGGGCTGCCCTGCAGGGCAGAGCTTCAGGCAGGTGGGTGCATGCAGGAGTGGGGAGGGGGCGCCATGGTGATGGCTATTGTTTTTGCCCAAAGCTGTTCCAGGCATGAGAGCCACTTGTCATGTGTACAGATTGTACCAGGAACAGGGGGAGGAAGGAACAGAGCACTGGGGGCCGGTGGGGGGCAGAGGGGGAGCCTGTCCCTTTAAATCTGTTTTCTCGGGTTTTATTTCCTTCTCTTTTCCCATCCTCCTCCCTCCACCAGCACAAGTGGAGCCGTGAGGGCCCAGGAGCTGCAGCGACGGTGCCTCTGAAATATTAATGAGGCTGTTCTCTGCCTCAGCTCCTTCCCTCCCCCTTCCCTGGCTGCATGCAGGCCTTGTCCTTGGAACCCTCCTTTCCCCTCCCAGGTGGTCGCCAAGGTGCGTCAAGCAGAGGGGAGGGGGCAGGGGCGGGCAGGAAGGAGAGGGCCTGGCGCAAGGGCAGGAAGATGTGGGGAATCAGGGATAAAAGGGGTCTCCCAGGTGCACACCAGCCACCAGCATCTCGACCTGCCTAGGATCATGCCAGGCCCAGGAGAGGGCAGGGTGGCTGCCAGACTGGGCGCCCTCCTTCCGTGCCCTCTCCCCACCTGCTCCCCAGCTGGTCTAGGGGCCCACCCCGGGCCTGACCTACGAGGCCTGGGCCACACCTCTCGCTGTTGCCTTGGCTTGCTTTTCCTCTCTGGGTTCTGCCGGGCCTGGCCTGTGTTCTAGGAGCCTGGAGGTGGAGAGAGATGGGGGACTATTGTTTTAAGGAATCCCCGTAGTGAGTCACGTCGCTGAGTGATGGGCCCTTCTGAAAGGCGGGCCCTTGCTTGGTGGGTCTGTAGGGAGCAGGTGACGGACAGTCTGCCTTCAGGAGGGCCCACGGTGGAGGGCATGTGCCCAGGTAGGCCCCCAGGCGTCCACCTCCTGCCCTCTGCCCCTGAGTTCTGCTTCCTTCTTGCTTCGGGGCCACGGCATCCTGGGCCTGGCTCTGGCTTCCAGATGGTCTGAATGCCCAGGAGCCGCATGTTCTCATCACTGAGGGTCCAGTGACTAGGGAGTGACTCGGGAGCTGGGACTTCCTGGCAGTACATGCCCCATCATCCCTGTGGGGATATATGTCCACGCAGACCCCAGAAACTGAAGGGGTGCTCGACTGGGGTGCAGTGGGGCTGTTTTCAGGAAAGAGAATGGCGTGAATCCCGATGCGTGCATCACCTGAGATCTGGAGGACGGTGGTGGGATCTCGCCCTCCATCTGTTCTCTCCTCCATAAAGGCGGAGCAGGTGGCCGAGTGGAATGCAGCCTGGGCCTGCTGGGGAGGCTTTCAGGGGTGTCATCAGAGCGTCCCAGCAAGGGCGGCCATGACCCACCTCAAGTCACATGGAAGGCAGGGCTGGGAGAACCAGGGCAAAAGCAGGAGGCTTCCTGAGCCTCAGTTTCCCCCTCTGTAAGGCAGGGAGAGTTCTCCTGGCCCTCGTAGGGTGTTTCCAAGGGTGCAGTGAAAGAAACATGTCTGTCAAGAGCTGGCATGCAGATGTGGGCTCAAAACTCAGTGTGTGCCATGGGGTCCTGAGAGGGGCCCCATGGGAGCGGGGGTGCCCCCTACTTAGAAAGTGCCGAGCCTTCTGGAGCATGCTGGGCTGCCCAGGGCCTGGAGGAAGTCCATGGGGGACTAAGCTGGAGGTGCCAGCAGAGCCCCCAAAGCCAGGGAGGGACAACATAGGGGAAAGAGGACCCCTGGGTCTCTGGTCAGGTGGGTTTGAGTCACTGGGTGGGGAGTAGGCACTCTGAGCCTAGTTGGGAGGTGAGGGTCTCTGGGCCCTGCTGAAGAGAAGAGTCCAGAAGGCGGTTGAGTAATGGGCCTGGACTTGGGCCATCCCCTCCAGCAGCCCCTGGAGGCAGCAGCCAGGGACCCCCCTGGCTGTCTCCCACCACGAGGCCGGCCAGTCTGTGCGGGGATGGTGCAAATGCCGGAAGGTGCGAGGCCCCCTCTGTGGAGGTTCTCATTTCAATGAAGCCAATTAAGGTCAGAAAGATGAAAGAGCACAGAAATGGTATGTTCCCTGCCCTTTTGGTGCCTACAGACCATTCTCGGCAGCCAGCCCAGGCCGGAAACTCTGTCAGGCCTGCAGAACTGATAGGCCTAGTCACTTCGGTTCTTGGCCATCTCGGCGATGGCTGCTGTCTTTATTGGGCCTCAGGGAGGCCACCGCCCAGGCTTATATAGAACCCAGAAAAGCAAAGTATATGCCATTTGGTCTGCACAGCAGCCAACAGTCGCTCTAAATGGGCCTTACTCTAACTGATGGATCCTGTCTGCCCTATAGCCTGTTGCATTCATGAAGACAGTGAGGGTTAGCAGAGCACCCCGACCCCACCCTGTCCTCCAGGATGGAGACTCCACCTCCCAGGACTCCAAGTTCCTCCCCTGTGGGCCAGGCCCCCATTCACTCATTCCTCCAGGCCCCCGGCCACATGCGGGACTGACCACGCGGTAGACTTCCTGCCGACTCCATACCACGTGTCTCAAAGAGCTTAGGGCCCAGCTGGTGGGAGACAAGCTCACAGATCATCGCAGCGCCAAGCAGAGTGAAATAGGAATGGGTCGCGGGATTATAGACTCAGGCGCAATCAGTTTTGGCTGGGGAACTGGCAGAGACTCCTGGAGAATGTTCCACTTGAATTGTGACTAAGAGGATTCATCGGAGGTCAGCAGGTGGAGCTGGAACAGAGGGCGTGCGGTCGGGGCTCAGAGCTGGCAGGGCTGTGTGGCTGGGGTGGGAGTGGGGCTGGGAAGTGCTCAGAAGGAATCTGGCCTTTTGCTTGATGGGGATGGGAGACTGAAACAGGGGCTCGCTGGAGTGATGGTGCCTGAACCAGGAAAGTGGTGACTCACAGCAGGGTCATGACCAGTTGCTGGACTAGAGAGAGACCTAAGAGGTGGTCCACAGGACGTGGAGCTTGCTTGCTGAGGGGTGGGGATCCTGCAGTGGGGAGGGCCAGCAGGGCCAGCCGAGGAGAAGGAAGTTGGCCCCGGGACCATGGCAGAGGGGAGGACTGCCTCCTTGCCCACTGCCCTCCCCATGAGTCACTGTGGGTCCAGTCAGACACAGCCATGGCTGCACCAGTCAGGAGCAGCTGTACGACCTGGTATGGTTCTGTCTGGGCCACCGCTGTGGGGTCAGGGGCAGGGACCGGGTGGGGGAGGACAGAGCTGGCCTTGGGTATGCCATGGTCAGAGGAGGGAGGATGAGCACATGCCAGGGGAGGGCCACCAGGCCTCGGTGACCGTGCCACGAGGAACCCCTGCTCTGAGGAACAAGCATTTCTGTCATGGCCGTGTGCCACCCAAGAGCCTACCACACAAGCCATTCACTCTGTCACCCGCTGGGGGCACAGAGCCTGAACCTGACAGTGGCACAAAGTTGCTACATGGTGGGATTGTTGAGGCATGAGGTGACTGGAGCTCAGGAAGGCAGGGAGAAGGCGCCCTGGCAGGTGCACCGTCACAAGCAAAGGTCCTGGGGTGGGGAGGGGAGGCTGTCTCGAGAAGACGAGGAGTCCAGGTGAGAGCCGAAAGCTGCCATTGCTGCCTTGAGGGGTCAGAAGTGGGACACCCAGCTGTCCTCTGGCTCTGCCACTTCCCCAAGCCAGCCTCAGTTTCCCGCATCAGAAAAGCAAGGGCAATTCGTCCACACAGCACCCCCAGAAGGAGCCCGCCTCACCTGGGACAGCTTCGCTTGCTGTCCTGGCCCCCTCTCCTCAGCTTTCACTCCTTCTAGTCTTTTCCCCCCAATGCCTGTCCCCAGACGCCTTGCCTCACCTTTGCCCCAGCTGCAACCCCACAGCTCTTGGCCCTCGGGCCTGCTGTTCTCCCTGTCCCAGCTAGAGAGGGACGGGGTTAGTTGAAACTTGTTGAGCACCTGTCCCAGCACATCAAGCCAGTGCCAGGCATGTAGTAGCTGCTCGGTGAATATGTGTCAGGTGACCAACTGCAAGACAGGGCGGGGAGAGGTGGGGAGAGAGGACGGCACAGGCACATGGCCATCATTTTGTCCCCACATCTCCCAGAAGTGAAGGCTGCTTCATGTGCAATGTGTCGCGAGAGTAAACGCGCAGGTGCCCACGCTTTTCAAACATGGGTCACTGTGGATGGATGTTTCGTGAAGTATCCACCAGGGCCTCTCCTGAGAATAAGGCCATGGACTTGGCCGTGTCTGCTTTGGCTGCCTGAGGGCTTTCTCCCCTTTCTTCAGGGCTCTGGGCCACTCGTTTCCAACGGATGCTTCTGAGCCAGGAGCTTCCCCAGAGACGGGGGTTCAGGGCCCTGCTGAGCTGCCAGGAGGGCTCTTGGCTGATGTCAAGGCCAGGCCATGTGCACTGAGGCCATTTCAGTTCCATGAGGATGTGACAGGCTTAGCTCGGGCCGGGAAGGAGCGGAGAGAGAGGAGCTGCAGTGGGCCCCGCCAAACACTGTGATGGCTGCAGAAGGGGCAGCCTGGGCCCTAGCGGATCCTTGGGTAAGGTGACGGGGACAGGGAGAGGGATGACAACTTTGCGATGCTCGGCAGAGTGGGGCCAGGGCCGTGGCCTGGATGCTTTCAGTGTGGGGAGACTTTGGCTCCTTACTTTGTCATCTGGAGGGAAGAAGAGCGTGGAGGGGAGTGGGTGGCACCATGCTGTGGGCTGGGACGTTGGCAGACTCACCAGCGACCTGTGGCTGCTTTGGCTTTCTCCTGTGTACCCTCTCCTCCTCTCCTCCTCAGCCACTCCCTTTATCCCCTCCCTCTTCTCCCTCCCTCCATCCCCCTTTCCCTCCCTCTCTTTGCCTTTCCGTCTTGTCCCTCTCTCCCCTCCCCTGTTTCCCACCCTTCCTCCGGGCCTCCTCCTTTCCTCGCCCCTGGCCCCCCAGGTACTCTCAGGGCCACAGAAACCGTGAGCCACTAAGGCCACACCAGAAGACCACCAGGGACTCATGGCATGCCCGCTGCACAGGGCGCATCTTAACCAGGCAAGAGCAGGGAGTGAACCGGAGTGAACAAGCGCAGGACTGGTGGTGGGGCGCGGGCAAGACCAGCCACTGATCAGTCCCAGCACGCTGCCCTCACTTCAGCGTGGGTTCCCGAATGGATCTGGGGGGCAGTGACAGCCTCTGCCTCCAGCTAGCTAGTGTTAACCACTGCAGGGTCCTGGCAGGAGGCATCGACACTTCCCCTCCCCCACCTGGGCAAGCCCTCCAGGTTCTGGGCACCCATGGTGGGCAGGACCCGGGAGTGGCCTGGCTGGTGGGGCCTGGCAGAGCATGAGGGCCACTGGCCCAGCCTGGGAGGTGATTTCTGCACTTCGAGGGTCATGGCACAGACTGAGTGAAGATTTGCCGAGAATATTCTGGAAGATGGGACCTCAGTTTTGTCTCAACCACTCCCCTGGCTTCTTCTCGCCTCCATCTCCCCAGGTGTCCACGCTTAGCAGCTTTCTCACCGCCGCCAAACCTTGCCTGGGCACTGGGACCGTGGGTGGCCGCCTGTCCCTAGCTGTGGCTGAGCCAAGATTGCACTTGTGAGAAGGCCTGACAGGCAGCATGGGCGACATGGCCAATAGTTCCATCGAGTTCCACCCCAAGCCCCAGCAGCAGCGGGATGTCCCCCAGGCTGGAGGCTTTGGGTGCACGCTGGCGGAGCTGCGCACCCTCATGGAGCTGCGAGGGGCCGAGGCGCTGCAGAAGATCGAGGAGGCCTACGGGGATGTCAGCGGGCTCTGCCGGAGGCTGAAGACCTCACCCACAGAGGGTAAGTCCCTCTCAGGCTGCATGCCACCCAGCCCTGCTCCCAGCCTTCAGAGGAGCGACCTGAAGGCATCCTTAGCCCCAAGGCTGGCCAGGGTCAAGGGCCACCTGTGCCCCTCCTCTCAGCCATTTCCCTTGAGGGGGAGATGCCCTGGGTAACCTGACCTGACCCCCTCATCTCCACACCTCCACAATCAGGAGTTCTCCGCTCTATAGAGCGAGACTGGGGAGGGGGAGATGGGAACTTCATGGGACACACACACAGGCGGAATGGGCCCCAAACAGAAACCCTTCCGAGGAACAGGGCAGGGCAGGGCAGGGAGGAGGAAGACAGCCCCATCTGTATATTTGGGGATTTCCGGTGTGCTCAACCCTGTGTTCACTTAAGGGGGATCAGAACAGGAGGAAGGGATGCAGGGTGCAAGCCTTCGGAGTTTCGGGTGACCGGGGCCTCTCCTGGGAAGAGAGAGGATGGCCTGGGGATGGCACAAGCCATTTGGGTCTGGCAGGAAGGGGTGACCGAAGCTGGGTCACGGGAGGCCCAGAGTGCTGATCAGAGGTGGCACTGACTGGCCACAGGCTGTCCCAAAGAGGCACAAGCCCAGGGTAGTGTCGGTCTCACTGCTGAGGGAGGCTCTAGAAAGCCCGGTGAGCACTGTCTAGAAAGATCTGGGGCGGAGGCCTGACTATCCCTGTGGGAGGCAATGTTCCACCCGGCCTTGTGAGGCCTGCCCAGCCCTGGTTGCTGCGGTCTGCCATGAAGCGGGGACCCCCAGGAGCCAGGCCCAGCCCCAGATTCCAGGAGCCACAGCATTCTCTGGCGCTGCGTGCCTGGCAGGGCTGCTGGGGCTATCCCAGCCTAGTGCCAGGCCTGTTCCCCAGCCAGTGCGGGCTGATTTGATCTGCTGCCCATCTGGGCAACGCCTGGGCCCACCCATCTCCTCTGCTCCCAGCCGTGAGGCTCCTTGGCACCTCCAGCCTCCCGCTCTGCCCTCACCCTCAACCCAGAGACTGTTCTCTTGTGGCTCCGGCCTCGGCCCCGTCTGTCTGCAGGTGGCACTCAGGCTGCAGGGAGGAGTGAAGATGGAGGAGGGGGGCTGCGGGCCAGGTCAGGAACTCCAGGGTCTGCCTGGGTCTCCCTAGCTTTGTGCCCTGGAGCTGATGCGCCCGTGACACCCGGCCTCGCCGCCGCACACGCCCTCACGGTGCAGCTGCTGCTGGGGCTGATGCCTTGGCTCTGCTCCCGAGCATCTCTTGCCTTCCCTCCTCCTTGCCCAGCCCCCGAGGAGGCTGTGGAGGGCCATTTATCCACAAGAGCTCTGGCCTCTCCCAGATCAAAGGAAGCAGATGGGCCTCAGCTGTCTGCTCTTCCCCTGTCTGCCAGGCCTTGTTAAATATTTAAAATGTCAAGGCCCCTGGGAACCTGCCCGATTCTGCCATGGAGCTCAGGAGCTCTTGCGTGCCTGTGGAGGCAGGGGCACGGAGAAGGGCAGGTGCACAGGTGGGTGGCTTGGCCTCTGACGGGCTTCCAAGCACCTGGGTCCCCAAGGCCACAGTGCAGGGAGCCGGCCAGGCCTGGATCTGCTGCCCACAGAATGAGCAGCAGAGGACCGGCCCCTCCCCTCTTCAACCCTCAAGGTCCTCGGGCTGGAGCTGTCGGGCTTGAGCTGTCTGGGTGCCAGGAGCGGGTGACTCGCTCCCCGCATCCCCTAGCCCGGCCGTGCACCCGGACCCTGGTGCTCAGACCTGCCTGCCCCTCAGTCCTCCTCAGACACAAGGGCCTGAGCCACGGGGGCAGCTGGCTTTGTTGTGCCCCAAGCCCCATGCCAATCCCCTGACAAGGTGGGCAGACGTGGGGCTGCCCAGGAGGCAGGCACTCCCCCGTGGGGCAGGTGCTTTATGGCGCATAGTGCATTGCGGGAAGGGGACTTTATCTTCTGGCGGTACACTCATCAATCCACTGCCCTCCCTGTCTTGGGAGCACTCCAAGAGGATTCCAGAACCCATCCTGGAAACCGCGCTGCTGTTGTCAGGAAACCTGGGTCTCAGGCTGAACTCAGAGGTGGGTTCGCCCGGGAACCTGGCCCCGCCCAGTGCCCCTCTGGGCTCCACAGGCAGTTCTGGAAAGGAGGGGGCGGATTCGCTGGGAGCCGACACGAGATGCTCCTAATCCAATTCTGATGGCATCTGGCCTCTGCTCCGGGCAGGCCGCCCATCTGTGTCCATGCCAACCGGCCAGCCCCTGCCCCCATGCCCTGGACCTGGACTGCCCTCGGGCCTGCTGGGGAAGCATGTGCTCAGAGCCAGAGGGGCCGCAGCTGTGTTCCTCCTCCCCGTCAATGGGTGCTGCAGTGGGGCAGCCGTCGGGACCCCGAGCCCACAGGAAGGCTAAGGAGAAACGAGCAAGGCTACAGCTGCAAGGGCAGGTCAAGGCCAAGGGAGAGGCTGGCGAGGGCGAGGGAGCTCCTGGGGAATGGGCCAGGGGTCCCGGCTGCTCTCAGGGACAAACTGGGCATGTGAGGAGGGGCAGGCAGGAGAGAGACTCGCATGGAGGCTCCAGGCTAAGGGCAGTGGAGACCCCAGGTGTCTGGGGAGCCCTCCCCTGCTCCTCTCCCTCCGCAGAAGCCCCACGGTTAGCACGTGCTTCTTCTTAAGTCACTTGGGGGGTCTTGTACTCCCTAGTACTGTCCCCACCTGGCTTAGCTCCTGTAATTCCAGGAGACAGTCCCAGTCCAGAGCGAGGTGCACACCCCTCAGTTGGGTCCCTGGTCCCCAGCCCCCTCCCCACCACCCAGGAGCTGAGGTCGTGCGTTAACCCCAGGCTCCCGATTGGGGCAGGCTCGGGCCTCAGCAAGAGGCCTTTGGCTCCTGAAGAAACCTGAGCCAGGGGCAGAGAGGCACGGACAGCTGCGGCTCTTCTGGGTGGGGAGGACGCCATGTGGCCGTCGCCTAGCTGGGGTGAATGAGCCACGGTTGTGCGGGCGGCAGCTTCTGTTCCACTGCGGCCAGGGCTACCCCTGCCCCTCCTCAGAAGCCCCAAGGTTAGCATGCGCCTGTTCTCCAGTCATCTGGAGGGTCTTGTGTGCCTTCCCAGACCCACTGTGAGTGCCCCATGGGCTGGGGCTGGGCTCTCTGGTCATCCCGTCCCTGCAGCAGATGGCAGGCGTGAGCCCAGCTGCCCAGGGCTGGGAGCTGCAAGCTGCTGTCTGTCCACCAGGTGTCAGTGTGGGTCTGGTCACGGCCGCGACAGCACTGGGCGCCGGGTGAGCGCCCGGGAGGGCTCCTCGGGATCAGCCGGGGCTGAGAATCCTGGGGCCAAGGGTGGGGCCAGAGGAGGGTGTCATCCCACATGCCTGCCCCGGTAGAAGGTGGCTGAGTGGGTGTCCAGGCCCGGATGCCAGTCACGCACGTAAGCTTCCAGTACCTTCAGGCCAAGGAAGACTGAGAAGTAAGCGTCCTCAAGGATGACAAGTGACAGAATTGGATAGGGACAGGTGGCTCTGATTGTGAAGGCAAAGCCAATTTGGGGGCTTCTGAGTGGCTTTGGGTGTCATTCAAGTCGCCATGTAGACAAGCTGTGAGCCCTGGCTGAGGGATCAAAGTTGGTGCTGGAGTTGCATTAGAACCAAGGCTGCTGGGTCCTGAGGGCCCTGTGCTCACCGGGTCCTGTCGGGCAGCGTAGGTTCTGTCCTGACCTGGGCCACAGGCCAGAGCTCTGACTCATGGTTACAGGGCCCTCTCCACCTCCGGCCTCAGTGGCCTTGTCTGCACCCTGCAGAGAGCAGCTGATGAGCAGCCCAGGGTGGGCAGTGTCTCCCCGACCCCTGCGAGGCCATGCAGCCCAGAAAAGGCTTGAAGACTTCCCAGTCCCCTCCCTCAGCACCGTGACTCCGGTTTGGCTTCTCCCCGCCTGTTCCCCACCAGGAACCCACTCCCATTCCCGTGCCTCTCTCTCTCCTCGCGTGACACCGTTCTTCTTCTTTGGGTCTCTGGACCCAAGAACTTGCATCTCCCATTAGCTCTCATGCTCCCTCCCCACTGCTTCTTCCCCGAGAAACTTCTGGAAAGTAAGCCTCCGCTCCCTGTTGCCAGCAGCCACAGGCACCCTGGAGACTGCTGATTCCTCGGCACTGGCCGTGCTCATGCCCCAATCCCTCGGGCCCTGCCCACCCTCTTTGCAGGCTGTCCCTGCCCCCACAGGTTGGGCTGTGTGACACTGCCAGTCTTTGGGACCGGCTGGCCCCATCTTACAGAGCTGGGGAGGGGGGTGTTGGTGACAAGCCTGCTCAGGGAATTCATAGGCTGGGAGCTAGAGAGGTGTTTCCTGACAGGCACAGAGCCCTGGCCTAGTCTTTGGCATCTGGTGCCATCCCAGCCTCCCCTGATTGGTGGCCCTCCCCATGTCTCCACTAAAGTCCCCTGGACACTCGCTCTCCTCCCCAGGGGACCATTGGCTATACTCTTCTGTCCTGTCTCCTAGCAACCCTTGTTGACCTGGACATACCCTGCTGGGTCCCCTCTGTGCCCCCTTGTTGGGTCCTGTCCCCTGCCTTCCAGTGCCCCCTCAGCGGTAGTGTGGAGGTGGCCAGGAAAGCACAGGGACCTGGGACCCGCTGGAGTCCAGGAGCCTCCTGGCCTGTTTTGTCATCTGTGTGTCAGGAGGAGGATGGCTAGGGACTCCCCATGACAGCAGCCAGAGAGCCGCATGCTCACTCCCACGTGCACACCCCCAGCAGTCTGCAGAAAGGCTCCTGTCTAGAGGGAGAGCCAGGCGCTGGCCAGACGGCCCCAGAGGGCTGCTGCCACCCCAGGAGCAGTCAGTCAGGGCCACATAGGAGGCCTGGGACACACAAGGCCGACCCGTCCCATCCCATCCTCCCCTTCTGTGCTTCCGGGGCACCATGCAGGCCTGGCGGACAACACCAATGACCTGGAGAAGCGCAGGCAGATCTACGGGCAGAACTTCATCCCCCCAAAGCAACCCAAGACCTTCCTGCAGCTGGTGTGGGAGGCCCTGCAGGACGTGACCCTCATCATCCTGGAGGTGGCTGCCATCGTCTCTCTGGGCCTCTCGTTCTATGCGCCGCCAGGAGAGGAGAGTGAAGGTAAGGCCCGGGGGCCTGGGCTGGAAGGAGGAAGAGGAATGGGGCTTGAGATGAGGGACGGTCACAGGATGGTGATGTCTCCTCCACTGCTTCCCTTCTGTCCTCCGCACAGCCTGTGGGAATGTGTCGGGAGGCGCAGAAGATGAGGGCGAGGCCGAAGCTGGCTGGATCGAGGGGGCTGCCATCCTGCTGTCCGTCATCTGTGTGGTGCTGGTCACGGCCTTCAATGACTGGAGCAAGGAGAAGCAGTTCCGAGGCCTGCAGAGCCGAATTGAGCAGGAGCAGAAGTTCACGGTCATCCGGAACGGGCAGCTCCTCCAGGTCCCCGTGGCTGCGCTGGTGGTGGGGGACATTGCCCAGGTCAAGTACGGTGAGTGCCCTGGTCTTCACCCACCCTGTCAAGGAAGCTCGGCTCCTGCTTCTGGGGAGGGTGAGCCAGAGGAGACCCCCAGCACAGGTTCTCCCCGGTGGCCTGCGTGTCGTCACCTGCCTTAGGAGGCGGGAGGTGGCGGGGGTGGGGGAGGTGGGGGAACACGGGGCAGGGCAGAGTGGTTTCAGACACAGCAGGCCCCCGAAGAATCAACTGTCCCCACAGCCTCCACGGCGGGCTTTCCCCCCTACAAAGGATGCAAATGTCCTCGTTCCCCAGAAGGAGGAGGGCTCCTGAGTCCCTTTCCCAGGCGGCCCATGGCACCTGACGGGACCTCCCCTGGGGCAGCCGGGAGGAGGCGGTGGGGAGAAAGGCCTCTGCTTCCCGGTGCTCTAGGCGACCTGCTGCCAGCCGACGGCGTGCTCATCCAGGCCAATGACCTCAAGATCGACGAGAGCTCCCTGACGGGCGAGTCTGACCACGTGCGCAAGTCAGCTGACAAAGATCCCATGCTGCTCTCAGGTGAGGGCCACCCTCCGGGCCAGCCTGGCACCAAGGGGCGTCAGCAGCCGTGTGGCCCAGCATCCTGTCCAGGCTGCCTGCTGGGCTCAGCCTCCACCTCCACCAGGGCCTTCCAGCATAACCTTCAGGTTGGGAATCTGAAGACTCCGCCCGTCTTGAGGCCTGATGGTGGCAGCTCCAGCCACAGGGCGAGGAAGCTGGCCCTCCAGGCCCGGGAGAGTGCTTTGTGTCCTGAATGGGAAGCCCCAAGCGGAGAGGCTTGCAGGGGCCAGCACAGCGCTGTGCTTCTCTCAATCCAGACCCTCGACAATATCCAGTGGGGGTAGTGTTCCCTTTCCAGAAGGTTTCAGCATAGTCCGGTGTTTATCCCAGTTGGAAACGTAGTGTGAAACGGGACAGGAAGGCTGGAGGCCCTAGGTGGGCCCTGTGGGCCTCGGGGTCTCCTCCAAGCCAGGGAGGAGGCTTCAGCCTAGTTTTAAGGTGGACACCGCGTCCCTGCTTCCGGGAGACCCTGGGAGACAGGTTGTGGGCGCTGAATGTGTCTCCCACTGGGTGATACAAATTCCTGTCTCAGTCTCTGTGTTGCTGTTCCAGGCACTCATGTCATGGAAGGTTCTGGAAGAATGGTGGTGACCGCCGTTGGCGTGAATTCCCAGACAGGCATCATCTTCACGCTGCTTGGAGCTGGCGGAGAGGAGGAAGAGAAGAAAGATAAGAAAGGTAGCGCAGCAGTGCCGCCAGTCCCTGGTGCTGGTGGCGGCTCCTTCCACGCTGCCCATTCTTTCTTTGCGGGCCGGTGCCACTGGGGGCTCAGGGAGAGCCAGCCCAAGTGGGTGGGAGGCCGGGCCCTCTCTTTTGATTCTCCGTGGAGACTCCTCTTCTGAGGATATCCCCCCTGAGAGCCGGCAGGCCAAGGGCCCCTCCAGTGCCGTGGACGGGGAGTTTCCCTGAGACCACCATCCCCAAAGGCTCCGGGATCCCATACCTACCTGGACAGGAATGGCGTTAGAGGGACAGGAGCTACGGGGAGCCTCATGCTTACCCTCAGGGCCCGTGCCCAGTAAGGTGCCGAGGATCCCAGGCCAGCGTGGGAGGCAGCCAGGGAGGTGGGGGTCAGAGGTCAGAGGAGGCTGGGACAGGTGAGGGCCGGGCAGCCCAACTGTGGGTGGTGGCCCTGCCCTGGGGCTTACAAAGCTAGGCAAGCCCGAGCCAGGAGGGCCCATTCCTCGTCCTGTGGCTGGAGCTGCCACCATCAGGCCCTGCAGCGGGCGGAGTCCTCAGACCTTCTAACCTGAGTACTATTCAGGGAGGCCCTGATGGACAAGATTGAATGGCTGCCACAGCCCCTTCTGGCTGGGCAGCCTTGCTCTGGCCTGGACTTGCCTTCTGGCCTCTCCTGCAGCCAAAACATGGTAGGGAGCCACACCCGCATGGGAAAGCTCTGCTTCCTGCCAGTGACCTCCAGCCAGGGCCCTGGGGCCAGTGCGCGGGGTGTGGGGGCGTGGGGGCGTGGGGCGGGCAGTCAGGGCCCGGGGAAAAGGTCAGCCCTGAGCCCAAAGCTCCCTGGAGGCAGCAAAGGAGTAGCTGGATGACCCTCTGTGGCCTAGAAGCTTCGACGAGCCCTGCCTCCTGGCAGCCTGGGCCTGTGTCTCCCTGCACCGGCTCTTCTTTGTGGCACCAAGTCCTGTAGGGCTCAGTGCAGTGTCTCACCCCAGTGAGTGCCCTGGGGGTGCGCAGGCAGATGGGCAGCCCTGGGCCTCGTCTGGGCTGGGCTGGAGTCCCTAGGCCTCTGTCCTGGGAAGCCCAGCTGCCCCTGCCTGGGCTGCCTCCTCATGTCTTGCACACAATGGCCCTCTCCCATCGTCCACGGGAACCCACGCTCCTCTGGAGTCTCCAGCCGCCCTTCTCAGGCTGCTCACCTTCTCTGTACCTTAAATGAGTGTGTCCTTCCTAACTGTTCCAGGCCTCTCCTTTCTTTTTTAAATTGACAAGACCATTCAGCCCCTCCCAGGCCCCACCTGGCCCTCCTCTCCAGCACCCTCAGGCTGTCCTACTTAGGAGTCAGAGCTAGAGGGCTTCCTGGAGGAAGAGAACCCTGAGGGGGCCCTGGAGGGAGAGCAGCAGCTGGCCAGCTGGGTAGAGGGTACCAGCAAGACCAGGGGGCTCCCTGCTCGCCCTCCCCGTCTCTCCCGCCCCATCCCCATTGTTTGGCGCAGCCTGCCAGGTACACGCTTAGGATACTTGCCTTCTACCTGCACCCAACCCCCTATTTCTTGTCTCTTGACCTTGACTCCTATGCACCTTTCTCCAAGTGTGCTTCTCCTCCTCACCTTCCCCCCACTCCTGTCTCTTCTGGCGGGGCCCAGCCCTCCTCTTCCAGCAATGCTCATCCCAGACTTCCCCCTGCCTCCCTCCTCCAGAGGCCTCCCAGGGCCTGTGTGCAGGCTGGGTCCAGAGTCCATGCTTCCTTCGGGCCCCCACGGCCCCAAGGCTCTGCCATCTCCCCTGCTGTGCTGTGCGGTCATCGCACTGCCATCTTGTGTCCGTGGGGGTCTCCCCTCCCTGCAAGAAGGGCCCTCTGTGCCCACAGGAACCCTGGGCGGAGAGGGCCTGATCAATGCCCCACCCCTGGCTGAGTAGGGTCGGGGGGGGGGCCCTCCCTGCTCCCTGGGGACCCCGGATCCCAACCCCAACTGCCTGGGAGTGCAGATGTGGCCCCCAGGAAGCTCCTCTAACTGCAGCTCTCAGAAGGGGTGACTGTGCCCACCACCTGAGCCCCTGGATAGGGCCACTTGGGGCCCAGCCTGGCCTTGCAGGGCTGCTGTGTGCCGGGGCTCAGGCTGGCACTCCTGTGCTGCAGCCCTGGGTTGACCAATGACCTGAAAGCGCCCCGCAGAGTCCTAGCGTCTCATTCCTTTGTCCCTTTAAAACACACACTGGGGCCAGGCACAGTGGCTCATGCCTGTAATCCCAACACTTTGAGAGGTCAAGGCAGGTGAATCACTTGAGGTCAGGAGTTGGAGACCAGCCTGGCCAACATGGCGAAACCCCGTCTCTATTAAAAGTACAAAAATTAACTGGGCGTGGTGGTGTACACCTGTAGTCCCAGCTACTTGGGAGGCTGAGGCAGGAGGATCGCTTAAACCTGGGAGGTGGAGGTTGCAGTGCTCAAACACACACACACTGAGCTAACTGCTGGACGTGACTGCAGGGAAAACCAATCCCTAGGCAAGGGCAGCTGGGTGCTGTCTGCCTGGCTTCCAGGGGTTAGGAGCCATCTAAGTGAACCCCTTGAGCTGGTTTGCAGGGAGCAGACGTCCCGACTTGGGGAGGTTCCAGCTTCCGGGAACCTCCCACTGCCAGCCATGTGTGACCCAGGGCCCTTCCAAGGCTGGCTTTAGGGGTTCACTGTAGGGCTGAGCTTAAGGCCGAAGGGGAGCCCTGGGCAGAGGTCTGGCTCAGGAATGCCAGTGTTCATGGTGACCGTGTGCTGGGAGGTGGTGACGGGGTGAGCCTGGAGAGGACGGGGCATGAAGAAGGCCACCAGCAATCAGGCCCCTCCTCCCCACCCCCTCTGCCACGCGGCCCCCAGGCTGGTGTCCTCAAGCCTTCGTGTCTGTCATCCCTCTTCCATTGTAGGCAAGCAGCAGGATGGGGCCATGGAGAGTAGCCAGACCAAAGGTAACGGGCGCCGCTGCTTGGGCACAACAAGCTTGGAGCCCTGGGGGTGGGGCTGGTGGAGGGCACAGTGTTGGGGGAGGTTCACCTGCCTCGGTGGCAGGAGCAACACTTGGAGACCAGGTGAGTGGGCTGGCTGCACAGTCCCGTCCCAGTGCAGAGGGAGGAGAGAGCACACCCCTGGGGCTGCTCAGGGCATCCTGGCCACAGACACTGCTGGCAGCTCAGCCCAGCCACCTAGAGGAGACCTTAGCCCAGCATGGGCATAAGGATCACCTGTGAGTGGGCGCCCCGAGTCCACTCTGGCCAGATGAGAAAACTGAGGCCCAGAAGGGCTGACTCACCTGAAGCTCTGGGTCCCAGTCAGTGTGTTTCCCAGGCCAGCTTCCTTTCAGCCAAGCCTGAGGACCTGGGAGACAGAGTGGTCGGCTGAGGGCCAGAGGCCCGGCTCTCCTCTCAGCCCCGGACAGCTGGCAGGTGCCGACACCCTGGGGCCAGCATGAGCCTGGCTGTGAGACGCAGGAAGCAGGAGAAGGGGTGGGAGGAGCGGGGAGGAGGCCAGCCGTGGCCCACGGAGGACAGGAGATGTCGGCCAATGCAGCAGCCAGCTCTAGGTGCTGGAGTCCATGGGGAACAAGGCAGGTCCTGACCCTCAGGAAGGTCACAGGCAGAGATGACCCAGGCAACGCCCTGTGCGGAGCTGGGTTTGGGAGGGCAGTGGGGGGACAGCCCGATGGCTGCAGCCCTGGGTTGAGGAGGTGGCAGCAGGTGGGGCACAAAGCTGGAGGGGCCCAGCTGGGTGGGGCAATTGTGTCCTGACGCCACTGGGAAGAGGAGCCGTGGCGAATGGCCTTGGGCTGGCAAGTGAGGAGGAGCAGGAGGAGGCAGAGGTGATGGCGGTAGTGCCAAGAGCCCCAGTGGATCGGGGACCAGAGTAGTGAGGGAGAAAGACGAGTCTGCTCTCCCCAGGTCGCTGCGTCGGTCCCGGGGCAGAAGAGGGAGGTGGGGTGGCCAGGATTACTCTGGGCCGTGGAGTGGGTGCGGCCAGAGCTTGGCAGGGAGGGAGATGAGGAAGTGACAGAAGCAGAGGAGTGGGGAGAGGAGGGAGCCGGAGTGGGGGACACACCACCACCATGTCGAGGGCAGCAAGGATGAGGAGCACAGGACCCACCAGGGAAGAAGGGAGAGGAGCCGTCTGCTCCAGGGGAGAGGCAGGGAGGGTGCTGGAGGGACAGATGGAGCCCGAACAGGCGCAGGGCTGGCTGGTGGGAGGAGAGTGCATGGGGCTTCTGGGCCTCCCTAAGGGAGGTAGGAGGTGGCTCGGACACCAGTAAGCAGATGAGTCAGCTCAGGGTTCTGGAAGATTCCTCGGGCCACAGGCCTCTGCTCTCAGGTATTATTTGGGGCATTCCAGGACCAGTCACCCTGTCTGTGTGCCCAAAAGCCTTGTGCTGTGTCTGTCCTCCCTTCTCCCGAGAGAACCATCTCTGTCCCACCTAGAACAGTGCTGGAGCCACCCCACCCACCCCAAGAGGGCCTGGGCTTAGGAGGCGAGAGAAGGGAAGCTGATAGACTTGGAAATAGGAGAGCTCCACTGAATCCCGTCTCCTCTCTATGGTGTGGCATGTCTTTCCCCCACAAAAGCCCCTTATAACGCCTTCTCCCCAGCCAGGCACTGACCTTGGCCATGGGGTTCCTCTGTGTGCAGCTAAGAAGCAGGATGGTGCAGTGGCCATGGAGATGCAGCCCCTGAAGAGCGCGGAGGGTGGGGAGATGGAGGAGCGGGAGAAGAAGAAAGCCAACGCACCCAAAAAGGAGAAGTCTGTCCTTCAGGGGAAGCTCACAAAGCTAGCCGTGCAGATCGGGAAAGCAGGTAGGGACAGCAGGAGGTGGTGGGCCCAGGCCATTGACTGGGCGTGGAGGATGCTGGGCTCCTGGAGATGAGCCCAGGCTGTGTAGAGCAGGTGGGAAGGGATGTGGCAGGTGATGTGTGGGCCAGGCAGGCAAGGGCACAGGCCAGGCCGGCAGTGGCCATCAGGGCCTGGCGCAGCCCTTCCCTAGTGAGCAGAAGTCCCAAACCCTCGACGAAAGCCCGGGTCACACACTGAGCCACTGCCCATGAGGTGCCCCTACCCAAGGCTCCAGGCTCTGCCCCTGGCACCCTCAAAAGGCAGCTGGGGGCATGCAGGGCTGGTACCCCAACTTCTGGGGTGCAGTGGGGGATTGACTCTTGCTAGTCCTCCCCAGCGGTGCTTCTCCTGCCATCAGACCACAAAGTCCACTCCCCAACCCCAGCAGCACTCCAGAAGAGGCCACACAGAGCCCCCTTGCAAACAGGCCCCAGCTCACCTGCTGAGCCAAACCTGGGCTGTTTATCCTGAAACGCAAGGCAAATCTACAAGGCCTTCACAAATGCCTCCGAGACCGTGTCCATACCTCTTCTTCCCTCTTCCTGTCCCCCTCCTTCCCTCACCCGTGGCAACCCCTTTCGTCTCCTCCCCGCTCTGTGGCAGGGCTGGTGATGTCTGCCATCACCGTCATCATCCTGGTCCTCTACTTTGTGATTGAGACGTTTGTCGTGGAAGGCCGGACATGGCTGGCAGAGTGCACGCCGGTCTATGTACAATACTTCGTGAAGTTCTTCATCATTGGTGTCACTGTGCTGGTCGTGGCTGTCCCAGAGGGCCTGCCTCTTGCTGTCACCATCTCCTTAGCTTACTCTGTCAAGGTAATCATAAAACTTACAGTTGATACTGTTTACAGACTCGGAAACTGGGGTAAGAAGTCATTGGGCGCCTTGGTGGCAGTATAAACTGGGGACGTTTGGGATAGCTCAAGGGAGGAGAGGAGGTGCCGAGCAGGGACCCAGGGGGCAGCTTTGCTGATCTGTCAGCTCAGGTCCCTCGGCATGAGATGGGCCAGAAAGCAGGCAGGCGGTGAGATACCCAGGGGTTCAGCATCTGCACAATGTGGGCAGTAGGACGGAGGGGCTGGGAGGCAGCGGGGAAGCGGAGAATCAGCAGAGGGCCCGGGACACTGGGAGGCAGTGGGAGGAGGTGGGGGGAGCCAGGTGTGGGGTGGTGGGGTGGTGGGGTGGTGGGGTGGGAGAGCTGCAGGGCTGGTGGGTAACTGAGAGGGGGCTCGGGCAGGGGAGGTCCCGGGTGCGCATCCCGCCCCCACCATTGGATGAGGTTGCTGATGCCTTACAGCCTCGCTATTGGCTCAGGGCTGACCAGGTGCCCAGTGGGCTTAGTGCCACACGTGGAGCTAGCTGAGCAGAACAGAGTCACGCGATGTTTGTGTTGACATCTCTCACTCCTCCACCCCAACAAGCACCTGGGCCAAATGCCCACACCCTCGCCCTTTGCAGAAAATGATGAAAGACAACAACCTGGTGCGCCACCTGGATGCCTGCGAGACCATGGGCAACGCCACAGCCATCTGCTCCGACAAGACGGGCACGCTCACCACCAACCGTATGACCGTGGTCCAGTCCTACCTAGGAGACACCCACTACAAAGAGATTCCGGCCCCCAGCGCCCTGACCCCTAAGATCCTCGACCTCCTGGTCCATGCCATCTCCATCAACAGTGCCTATACCACCAAAATACTAGTGAGCTGGGGCAGGAGCGGGCGGGCAGGGCCGGGGGCAGGAGCAGGGGAGGGTCCTGGCCAGGGTGCCAGGTGAGCTGTTGCAAGGTGCTCATTAGGCCCCCCCTTGAGAACTTTTGCCCATCCCTGGCCTCACAGGTGGCTCTGGCTGGGAAACTGCCTGTAGCTAAGGCCGACCTTCCTCTGCTCCCTGCCGCCCACACCCTAACAATGTGGTGACCACGAGGGGGCAGAGCTGGGGCTCCAGGGGCAGCATGGAGGGTGGTCTCAGGCCCCCAGTGCCTGCTAGCCCTCGTCATCTTGCAGCCTCCTGAGAAGGAAGGCGCCCTCCCACGCCAGGTGGGCAATAAGACGGAGTGCGCCCTGCTGGGCTTCGTCTTGGACCTGAAGCGGGACTTCCAGCCCGTGCGCGAGCAGATCCCGGAAGACAAGCTTTACAAAGTGTACACCTTCAACTCGGTCCGCAAGTCCATGAGCACAGTCATCCGCATGCCCGACGGTGGCTTCCGCCTCTTCAGCAAGGGGGCCTCAGAGATCCTCTTGAAAAAGTGAGTGAGCAGCAGGGAGGTGCCGGGGTACGCACGGAGTTTCTGATTCTATTGTCGTGGTAAAAGAGGCCGAACGTAAAATTCACCATTTCAACCACTTTACAGTGTACAGTTGAATGGCATTAAGCACGTTCACAATATCATGCAACCGTCACCACTACCCAGTTCCAAAACACCTCCATCAACCCGGAAAGAAACCCCAGGCCCATGAGCAGCCCTCCCCACGCCCCTCCCCAGCCTCATGTGCTTCCTGTCTGTATGGATTTGCCTGTCTGGACATTTCCTATCAAGGGACTCATACACTGTGTGGCCTTTTGTGTCTGGCTTCTTTCCTTAGTGTAAAGTTTTTCCGTTTCCCTCAGATATTAGACCTTCCTTTCTTTTTTTGTTTTGTTTTGTTTTTTCCCTCAAGCCATCCTCCTACGTCAGTGTCCCCCGTAGCTGGGATTACATGTGCATGCCACCACGCCCAGCGAATTTTCAAATTTTTTGTAGAGCTGGGGTCTCCTCATGTTGCCCAGGGTGGTCTTGAAGTCTTGGGCTCAAGCGATCCACCCACCCGGCCTCCCTAAGTGCTAGGATTACAGGAATGAGCCACTGCCACCAGCCCGAACTTCCATTCTTTCTAAGGCTGAGTAATATCCATTGTATGCTAAAGAGCATTGTGTTGGTCCATCCATCCCTTCATCTGTCTACCAGCACGTCTACCAGCACGTGAGTCGTTTCCACCTTTTGGCTGTCACGAGTCACGCTGCTGTGAATATTCACGTACAAGTTTTTGTTTGAACCCATGTTTTCAATTCTTTTGCGTGGACATCTAGGAGAGGAATGGCTGGGTCGTGGTGTCCACGAAACTGTTTTCCACAGGGGCAGCACCGTTTCACATTCCCACCAGCGACATAGGAGGGTTCCACCTTCTCCCCATCTTCAACAGCACTTATTTTCTGGTGTGACAATGCTGATGGGGGCCATCCTTGTGGGTGTGAGGCAATATCTCCTGGTGGTTTTGATCTGTGTTTCCTTGATGACTAACAACGCTGAGCCTCTTTTGCTGTGCTGACTGGCCATTTGCCTGTCTTCCTTGGGGAAATGTCTGTCCTAGCCCTTTGCTCATTGCTGAGTTGGGTTGTTTGTCTTTTTATTGTTGGGCTGTAACATTTTTTCTGTATTCTGGATCCTAGATCCTTATCAGCTATGCGATTTCTACACATTCTGTCCCATTCTGTGGCCTGTCTTCACTCTCTTGATAGTGTCCTTAGGTGCACAAATGTTTTAAATCGTGATGACGTCCAGTTGATCTATTTTCTTGTTGTTGCTTAGAGATGATGAAAATTTTCTTAGAGATGATGAAAATTTTCTGGAATTGGAGACTGGTGATGGTCGTGCAGCTCTGTGACTATACTAAAAACCATCGAATTATCTACTTTAAATGGGTGGACTGTGTGGTGCGTGAATTATATCCCAATAAAGCTATTAGAACAAAGTAAGGGAGAGTGCACAGCGTCACCTCCAAATGCCCTGGCTTCCCCACTCCCACTCAGCCTTCCCGGACTCCACACCCTTGGCCTTGGCGTCTCTGTCCACAAGTCACCTCGCTCCTCATGACTGCCGTCCCAGGGCCCTCAGGGCAAGGTCCTCTGCAGGACGCCCAGGGCTCCCCAAAGGCCCAGGCCCACGCTCCTTCCTGTGTTCTGCGGACTGGACCACCAAGTGCACCCTGCCTGGCCGCCCCACCCACAGCGCTCTCCCAGAACTCTGCCAGGTGCAGCGCTCACTGCCAGGGCCAGGACCACCTCCTCCCTGGAGCCATCCCTGCTGGTGTGGGGGCCTCAGCCCTCTTTCTGTGCTTCTTTTTTGGTGGGCACTGAGGGACACTGAGGCACTGCGGACAAAAGGCCCAGCCCAGCTTCACTCCCCCTTACTCCCATGCCTCAGTTTCCCTGGTGGCATGGAGATCACAGAATACTTATCTCTGGGGAGGGGTGTGAGGGTTCCGTGGGTGAATCCACATCCATAGGAGGCTCTCCGTCCACACAGCTTCTGTTATGATCATTTCCTTCGTCACCAGCCTCCCATGCAGTGGCAGCACCTGGCACTCACAGCCCCACTGGCTTCTTCCACCATGCCCGCCTCTGTGACCCTCGGCTCCTTTGCTCCCTCCTCTCCCCACCTGAATCCTCCCAAGTCCTGTCCCTTTTGAGAAGCTCCTGGAGTCATGAGCGCTCTACTGAGGCTGTGGCTGCCTGGACGTGGTTATAGCGATTGTCCACAGACTTCAGTTTTTGCCCAGGTTCCACCCGCTTGCCCTATGAAGTCTGTGGTGGAGCTGCCATGAGCCACATGCTCCTGCCTCCCTCCCGGTCTCTCAGCCTGCAGCAGTGCATGAGCGTCCTGGTGCCCTCAAGCAACAGAAATGGATTCTCCCCCAGTTCTGGAGGCCGGAAGTCCAAAAGCAGGGCGTGGGCAGGGCCGAAGCGCCTCCAAAGCATCTCAGAGAGGATGCATCCTGCATCCTCCAGCTTCTGGTGGTGGCTGCCAGTCCTCGCGTTCCTCAGCTTGCAGCTGACCCTCTCTAATCTCTGCCTGTTGTCACACGCCCTTCTCCCTGTGTGTCTGTGTTCTCACACGGGGCACTCCTCTCTGATAAGGACCCCAGTCCTTGACTAAGCCCCCAATCCAGTGTGACCAGCGCTGTTCCTTGTTGTTCTCTCCCCACCTCCACCTCATCTCTGCCCACCCCCTGCCTAGGTGCACCAACATCTTGAACAGCAATGGCGAACTCCGGGGCTTTCGGCCTCGGGACCGGGACGACATGGTGAGGAAGATCATCGAGCCGATGGCTTGCGATGGCCTCCGCACCATCTGCATCGCCTACCGGGACTTCTCTGCAGGCCAGGAGCCCGACTGGGACAACGAGAATGAGGTCGTGGGTGACCTCACCTGCATAGCTGTCGTGGGCATTGAGGACCCTGTGCGGCCCGAGGTAGCCACCACCTTCTCTGTGAGCTGCCCTGGTAACTGTGCCCTCTGCCCGAGCTTGTCCGGACTGGTAGGGGCGGCCTTCCTTCACACACAGCTGCTGCGGTCCCTCCGTAGTACACTTGAGCCCCGTCCTGGGTGCTCTCACCCTGACACCCGCACAAAGGCTCTGTCCTGCCTGCTGGAAAGCCCTTCCCGCTTGACCTATGGGCCCAGCTCAGGCTCCACCTTCTACCAGGTGAGAAGGTGGCAGTGGCGGAGAGACCGTCGACATTTGGGATCTGATCCACCCAGGACCGATGGACTGGAGGTGGTGCTGAAGCCTGAGGGGACACAGGTTTGGGGCACAGGGTGGGCGTTTATTGGTTGAGGGTTTGGCTGGGGCTACTCTACGGTCAGGACGTCCTGTGGCGAGCTCACAGCAAAGGTCCTGGCGGGAAAGGGAGCCCAGAAGCATATCCCCATATGGACGATGCCACCAGGGGAGTCCAGATGAGGGGACCTCGAGGGCCGCGTGGCAGATGCCATGGCCTTGACACTGGGAAGTCACTTTGTTGTTGAAAGATCCCAGACCCTGGAGAGTGTGGAGGATGGCCGGCCCCGGAGGGAGAATGCAAGGCATGGGGTGCCCCTCTGTCTCCCCAGGGCCTCTGCATGGCACCCACCTGTGTCACAAGCAGGGCCACTGTGACCCTGACAACTTGTCTTTGTAGGAGCCACCCTGGGGGTGCAGGTGCAACCTGGGAGGAGAAGCTTCTGGGCTCTCCTTCGGGAGACAGGCATTCATGTATTGGATCATGTAGCAAAAACACTCAATTCAAAGACAGTGCGTCTAAACGCCAGCCATGGCTCATGTCAACAGAGCAGCCCCGTGCCCCGAGGAGAACATGGTCACTGCGCCCAGAGAGGGAGCACCTCGAGCTTGCCCTGGGAGAAAATGGGTGGTAGCGGAGGACAGGGGACAGAAGTCCAGCGAGGGAAATGGGCCCCGCAAAGGCGGGCAGCGGCATGAGTCCCGGGCCCCACTGAGCCTGGGAGAGCAGAAGGAGAGGGTGCTGGTGAGGCGAAGCAAGGCCACACTTGGGGACAGGAGCCATCGAGTCCCTCTGTTGGACCAGGGAGCAACTGAAGCACAGAGCAGAGGAAGGAATCTTGCCAGAGGGGCCTGGGGAATAGGGACAGCTCCTTTCCAGCTTAAGAGTGGCTGAGAGAGAGTCCAAGGGGTAGACCACAGTGACAGGGCCAGGCTGCGGAGGCTGGGCAGACCCCCACAAAGACTGGCCAGCCTGGTGGTGGCTGAGGAGGACGCACAGAAGGCCCAGCGAAGTCCTGGGTGCCGGCAACAGGCAGTAGGACACAAGGGCCTCACTGAAACCGCCAGGGTGCTTGGAGATGCGGCACGGCTGCAGCCAGAGGAGGGCCCGTGAGGCTGGGCCCTGGGGAGCCATAGGAAGCCTGTGGCTGGGGTGGTATTGATGCTGGAGCTGGGCCGGCCGGGGGCACTGGCAACTTCTCCAGACACCTGGCTGGCTGCTGTGCTGTGGGGCCTTGGGGAGAAGGCAGGGAGCAGGGCTGAGCAGGCGAGGAAGGACAGCCTGGCCTGGCCCTTTGGGGCCATGGGGAAGGAACTGGGCTACACACACTGGGCCTGAGGAGGGAGGAGGCCTGGGTTCGCAGCTGCTGGTTTTCAGGCTCGTCACGGCCACTTGGTGGCAGCAGAGGGGTGGCTTCCAGACTTTTCAGGGACAGGCATTCGCTGGCTCAAAGGAGAATTGTCTTCTTGTGGCTCGTGATCTTGTTATCCAGCACCCCAAGATCCTCAGAGAGTACGAAGTGTCCCCGAGGCTGGCAGTGAGGCCACTTAGTGGTATATGCTGCAGGAACCATTGGATCACCCTGTCACAGCTTAGAGTGGGGCCCCCAGCTGTCTCCCTGGCAAAGATCACAGCCCCCCTGCCCATGGCCTCAGGGGGCGCCAGGATTCAGGGACTCCCAGGTCAATGTCCTCCCCTGGTGTCTCCCGGCTGCCCTACCCCTGGCTCCCACTCCTGCGTGTCTACTCCCCACCGCCGCAGGCTCCCCAGGCCTGGCGGCTCGGCCACACCTAGGCTTCTACACTTACCCGACGGTGCTCACAAGCCCCACTGCCTAGGCTTGACCTCCTCATTCAGGTTCCCAAACTCTGAACCTGGCTCCTCTTCTCCTCTCCCCCTGCCCGTCTACCTCAGTGGCATCAGCTGCCTGACCCTGTCTCTCTGTCCCCGAGCCTGAAGAGCCACATACCTCTTCATTTGGGAACTGTCTTCCCTGTCCCCCCACCACTGGGACAATGCCACCACCTCCCGGCCAGTCTCCTGGCTTCCCGCTCTCAACCCCTTGCAGGCTGTTCGCTTTCCACTCAGCACTGGGGAACCTCTTTCTCTTTCTCCAGAATCTAATGTGATGCAGGTGGTCCCCAACTTTTAACAATTTTGTAACTTGGTGCAAAGGTGATGCACATTCAGCAGAAACTTTACTTCGAGTCCCATGCTTTTCCCTTTCAGTGCAGGATTCAATGAGTTACATGAGATAATCAGCACTGTATTCCACAATAGGCTTTGTGTTCAATGCTTTTGCCCAACTGTAGGCTAACACAAGTGTTCTGAGCACGTGAATCGGATGGCTTTACTCTCACCTCTGCTGGACCTTGGGCCACCTGCAGATCTGATGGAGGAAGGGGTACTGCCTCAACCCAAAATACGTCTTGCCTCGATGGCCCCGCCCACCTCTCTTGTCTCTTCTAGGTCCCTGAAGCTATCCGAAAATGCCAGCGTGCTGGCATCACAGTCCGCATGGTGACTGGGGACAACATCAACACGGCCCGGGCCATCGCAGCCAAATGCGGCATCATCCAGCCCGGGGAGGACTTCCTGTGCCTAGAAGGGAAGGAGTTCAACCGGCGGATCCGCAATGAGAAAGGCGAGGTAGCACCCGGCTGTCTGCCACCCCAGACCCCCCTTCTCCTCACCCCAGCCCCCTGCGTGCCCGCCTTAGCTCTGCAGCGTCCTTGTGCTTCCCCTCCCCAGATAGAACAGGAGCGGCTGGACAAGGTGTGGCCCAAGCTGAGGGTGCTGGCCCGGTCGTCTCCCACCGACAAGCACACACTGGTCAAAGGTAGCCGAGCCCCCACACCCCTTTCCTGGGGTGGCCAGCCCGAGGTTGTCTGCTTCCTGACACCAAAAGCCAGGTTCCCAAACAGGTCCCCAGGGCCTGCCTAGGAAGCTGGGTCCATTTGTCCCATTAGCCCAGAGCAGCAGGGCAGGGGCCCATGAGGGAACCAGGGTTCGGGGAGGGCTAGTGACTCACTCCAAGTCACACAGTGAGTCTCTAGAAGCAGTGGGTCTAGAGCCAGGGACCCAGGATTGTGTCCCCAGGCCCTAACCAGATCCCTATCCTCCCACCCTGGCCCTGTCACTCAGTGAGATTTGCTTACTTATTTGGGGATAGGAGATGATCCAGGTGACGGGGAGCACAGATAATTGGGACAGTCAGGACGGGGTAATCCCAAAGGGTTTTCACAGCCAACCTACCCCCATAGCTCCCTGGGCAGGGCTACACAGGGTTGTGGTGACAGATGGCCCCAGCCCTGCCCTGCCCTGATCTGTCTTCCAGGGATTATCGACAGCACCACTGGTGAGCAGCGGCAGGTGGTGGCTGTGACAGGGGATGGCACCAACGATGGGCCGGCCCTCAAGAAGGCGGACGTGGGCTTCGCCATGGTAAGCCACCTGGTGCCCGCCCAGCTCACCACGGCAGATGGGGCCTGCATCTGTCCCATGGACATTAGCTTTGTACCAGGAAGTGGGAGCCAGTGTCGGGGCAGGTTACAGAGTGCCTGAAGGTTCTTTCTTTCACATCCTGGCCACTTGGGCCTGCGTGGGCTCTGCCAGTCGGGGGACATGTGGTTAAAGGCATCTGCTGTGATGCCCAAGGTGACAGTGGGCCCCAGACATACTGTGGAGAGGAAGGGGAATGGGGGGTGGGGGCTCATCACTGATGGCATTGCCCACCCCCGTCCTCTCTAAATGGACTCTCAGCCCCAGATGAGGTGAGCAGAGTCCCCAGATGTGCTCTTCCTCTGCACTTCCTTCCTGTTGCTCACCCACTGAGCAGGGTAGCCCTGCAGACGCCACCCACATGGCTGGTTGCGGCCCCTCAGTGGCCCCACAGCCACTGAACGCAGCAACCTGGTGAGCCCCTCTCCCTGCCCTACCGAAAAGGAGTGTCACCCAGGGAACCCAGCCCAGTCCTTCCCAGCACCCGTAGCCCAGAAGGGAGCTCCAGCCCAAGCTTCGAGAGGTGGCAGCTCTCACGGGGCCAGGCTTGGGGCAGAGGAGAGGACTGCGCAGCTTGGCACAGCTGCAGCTGCGCCTCCATGGGACAGGGACTCCTCTGCAAGGAGCCGCCCCGCCCAGGGTGTCCCCATGCAGGACTTCCCAGGGCTCCTTAGCCAGCAAGCCTCTCTGGAGTGCTAAGAACAGACCACGCTGCTTGGTGGCCACGTGGTGGCAGCTGGGCTTTATGTGTAAAGCTGTGTTGATGCCATGTCATCAGCACCCTCTGTGTTTATGAGCAAAGCCCCCCCCCCCACCGTGACATGTGACAACTTACTGTTTGTAGTACAAGAATGTGTTGCATTAAAAAAAAGCAACAAAAAACAGTGCTGTTCTTGGCTTTGGGGGGCGGGGTGGGATGTTATTCAGAAGGGGAGAGCAGGGAGCCAGCCCAGGCGGGCCAGGTGATCAAGGGGGGCTGGGGAAGGGGCCCCCACAAACACTCTGTGTGAGTGTGTGTGTCACCCCCCCAGGGCATCGCAGGGACCGACGTGGCCAAGGAGGCCTCCGACATCATCCTGACCGATGACAACTTCACCAGCATCGTCAAGGCAGTCATGTGGGGCCGTAACGTCTATGACAGCATCTCCAAGTTCCTGCAGTTTCAACTGACGGTCAATGTGGTGGCTGTGATCGTGGCCTTCACAGGTGCCTGCATTACTCAGGTGGGTACTGGGGGCTGCCATGCCCCAGCTAGGACACCTGGGCTCAGGCCTGAGGGCCAGATTGTGAGAGTGAGGGTTTTGTTTTCTTTGCTGCAGATTATTTTAATTGAGATCAAATTCATATGCCAAAAATTCACCATTTTCAAGTACATAATTCAGCACTCGAATTTGTAGGACATTCACCACGTTGTGCAACCATTGGCTCTATCTAGTTCCAGAAGATTGTCATCATCTTAAAAAGAAACCCTGTGCTCTTGAGCAGTCATTTCCCCATTTCTCCCCCAAACATCCCAGCCCCCGGCAACCACTCACAGGCTTCCTGGGTCTATGGATTTGCCTGTTCCGGACATTTCATTCCTATGGGATCAAATAATATGTGGCCTCTTGTGTCTGGCATCTCGCTTAGCACCGTGTTTTCAGGCTCACACACACCGTAGCATAGGGCAGGACTTTCTGCCTTTTCATGGCCTCATAACACTCCACGGCACAGACTGCCACATTATGTATGTCTGCCCTGATGGACACATGGCTCGTTCCCACTTTTTGGCTCTTGTGAATGGTGCTGCCAGGAGCATCTGTGTATGAGTTTCTGCGTGGGCTATGCGTCCCATGGGAACCCTTTCTCAACAGTCCCATTTTCCCCATTGGTGAGTGTCCAGATTTTCTTCACCCCGCCTTAGAAAGGGGGTGTTTAAATTGCCTGCTGATCAACTTGGTCTTTTCAAAACAATTTTTTAAATTGAGATAAAAAATCACATAACAAACTTCAACAGAACCATTTTAACCTTTTGAAAGTACATAACTCCGAGGTTTATATCCCTCCACTGTCTATTCCCAGAACATTCTCATCACCCCAAAAGGACACCCAGACCCCGTGAGCAGTCACTCTCTACTCCCCAAACCCCAGCCCCTGGCACCCACTCATCTGCTTTCTCTCTCTATGGATTTGTCAGTTCTGGAAGTTTCCTATGAATGGAATCAGACAGTACGTGGCCTTGTGTGTCTGGCTTCTGTGAGGCTGATTTTTAACGAACAACTCAGAGGAGCTGAGAAGGAAGGTCCAGTTCAGAGTTTCTGCCTCCTCCTGCCCCTGAGGTGCAGGAGACAAGGAGAGCAGCCCTCACTCTGTTGCCCCAAATGGCAGACCCCATCGTCGGGCTGTTTTGTGGTCTGGGGTTTTTCACCTCCTGCGAGGGATTTGGAGCACACCTGCTGCCAGGTGAGAGAAGGGAGGCGGGCACGTGACAGCCCAAAGAAAACGCCCCACTAGCGTAAAGGCGATGTAGGGATGGAGATGTCTGTTTTCATGGGCATGAAATCCTGGTGATGTGGACCCCATGAGGAGCCCCCAGGAGCTACTGGGTTTCCACCCCCAACCTTCCCGGGCAGGCGGCCCATGGAAAGGTGACTGCCTCCTCTCCATAGGACTCTCCTCTCAAAGCCGTGCAGATGTTGTGGGTGAACTTGATCATGGACACATTTGCCTCTCTGGCCCTGGCGACGGAGCCACCCACAGAGTCGCTGCTGCTGCGGAAGCCGTACGGCCGCGACAAGCCCCTCATCTCCCGCACCATGATGAAGAACATTCTGGGCCACGCCGTGTACCAGCTCGCCATCATCTTCACCCTGCTGTTTGTCGGTAGGCTGGCCAGGGGCACCCGGGAGGACTTCAGGACACTGTTGCCACCACCTCGGGCTCAGATTCTGTCTGGTGTGTCTCCACCTGTGTCTCCGCACCCAGTACGGGGTGGGACGCTGCACTTCCTGACTGGACAGCACACAGGGGAAGGAGCAGATGGGCCAGGCTAGCAACCCTGCAGCCAGGCCTGCTGGTGGCCTACAGCTCTTTCGCAAGCCTCTCCTCCCAGGCCGCTGAGCAGCTGAGAAACAGTTCATGTCTTGACATCCTGCCCACGGCTGTGTAGCTGTGTAGAGTAGGCAGCTTCTACCCAGCCCCAGAGTGGCCACGGTAACCCTAGGAACAGAACAGCCCACATTTACCCTGTGAAGATTGCTCCTGTGGAGTGACTGGGGTGCCGTGCTGGAAGCTGTGAGGTGGGTGGGGGGTGACCGCAAGAGAGAGGAAGAGGAGGAGGGCGTCCGAGGAAAGCCAGCCTTAAGAACTTCCCTTCTTAATCTCTTCCTTCCTGCCCTCAGGCTCAGGGTCTGGCCCCTGGCCCAGAGGGGTCTCAGGACTCTGGTTGGTTGAGCCTGGGGTGGGTGTGGCTGCCTTGGGCCTTGGCCGTGAGCTGGAAGTGGCCATCCCCTGGGACAAGGGACCCATCTCGGGAGCTACACACCGAAGTCTCGCTCCTGAGTAATGCGTCATGCGCTGAGATGACTGTGCCTGAGTGGGGAATGTTGCTTTCCAGGGGAGCTCTTCTTCGACATCGACAGCGGGAGGAATGCGCCCCTGCACTCGCCACCCTCAGAGCACTACACCATCATCTTCAACACGTTCGTCATGATGCAGCTCTTTAACGAGATCAACGCCCGCAAGATCCACGGCGAGAGGAACGTGTTCGACGGCATCTTCAGCAACCCCATCTTCTGCACCATCGTTTTGGGCACTTTCGGGATTCAGGTAGGAGGGGCGGCTCCACTCTTGGCCTCTGCCACTTGCAAAAAGTGGAGGTGGTGGGCTTCAAGACCCCTCGTCCACCCCTAGTACTGGCCTCCCCACCTCCACTCCCAGAAGGAGCCCCACCCCACCTGGCTTTCCTGTAGCCCCCGTCCTCTCTGCATGTCGGAGAGGGCCTTCTTCATCTTCCAAACATTGCCGGCCTTGCCCTGGGTGAGCGCGCTGGCTTCCAGAAGGGTTTCGTGAGCCCTCATCGGAACGAAGTTTTCTCACAGATGCTGGAAGGAGTCCTCCCTGGCTCCCTCTAGGTCTGCCATTCCCATTTCTAGCACTTAATTCCTTGGCATGAGGCTGCCATAACTCCAGAAGTTTCTTTTGGAGATGACCTCTGTGCCCAGTGCTGACACACTAACCTCTGCTTCCCACAGTGCTGTGGACAGGCTGGTCAGCCCCACTGTCTAGGAGGGGCTAAGTGTTCTAAAATATAGTGTATTTGTAGAAAAATTGAGGTATAGTAAGGCCAAAAGGTCAAGAGACAGTTGCCACTGAAAGACAGTTTATGACTCAGAGACCCCAAGAGGAGGACACATGCCACACCATAGGGGCCCACATGGGAGAGCGCCAGGCAGGAGGTGGGGTGTGAGAGCTGTGGACAAGAGCCTTTGCTGTGGTTCCCTCGGGGAGGAGCAGGTGAGGCAGGGCTGGTAGGCTCAGGACTGGCTAGGTTGCGTCATTGCAGCGGTTCCAGGGCATACGGGTGCTCCCTGGCTGTCTGGTACCTGGTCCTGGGTAATGAGTGCAAGGGGATAGTGGCCCGGAATGTGACAGTCCAACAGAGGACGGGGTCAGTTTGCATTTGGACAGCTTGCCCCTGCAAATTGGATGCCTCCCGAGGAGGCAGGAGGCCAAGACAAGGTGACCTCGGCAGGTTCTAGGGTCCTCCAGAATGAGGCATGTCCAGCGTGCCCGCAGGGTGGGTGTCACAGCCTCCGTCTTGCTGAAAATAGGAGCATGGTCAGTGGAGCTGGGCCCCACTCCGAGGCTGGAGTCAGTAGGTGCCTGGCACCCAGGGGCGCTGGGGGCCATGCACTGCTCTGTCATCACGCCCCCGGCCTTGTGGTCCTCTCGCAAGGAGCAGCCCGTGCAACTGGGGGAACCAACCAGGGTGGCTGGGTCTTCAAGGGGTTGGAGGACAAGGGTGGCTCAGGAGCCGCGGCTGGACCTGCCTCTCTCCCACTTGCCCTTCGCAGATTGTCATCGTCCAGTTTGGCGGGAAGCCCTTCAGCTGCTCCCCACTATCCACAGAACAGTGGCTCTGGTGCCTGTTTGTTGGTGTTGGGGAGCTGGTCTGGGGACAGGTGAGTGACAGCCCTGCCCCTCATTTCAGACTGCCCTGCAGACAGCTTCTGTGATGGGCCCACTTGCCCTAACCCTGCTTCAGAGCCTTGGGGTCCTCACCCTAGGAAGCACACTGAGGGCTCAGGCCTGTGACACACCAGGACCCAGGGACAGGACGCAAGGGAAGGTGTCAGCAAAAGAATGCAAAGGAACATGGCTGGGATGTGACAGGGCCCAGGAAAACTGCCCGCAGCTCCCCTTTCTATGATAAGAGCCAAAAATTGCCCCTTCCAATTGGGTGGGTAGCTTGGGAAATCCCCACATATTTTAAATCAATCAAACAGCACCCTGATCAATAATCCATGGGGCGAAAAGAAAGTCTCCAGAGAAATTAGGAAATATTTTGACCTGATGGAAAGGACAGAGAGTCCCACATCGAGCTCTGTGGGCTGCAGCTGAAGCCGCACACTGGCAGGTTTCTAGGACCCCACAATTAGATCAGGAAGAAACAGCCTGGGTATTTAGGATCCGCTTATCTCTGTCTTCATCAGCTCCGACTGCCATAGCAAAATACCATAGACTGGGAGGCTTAGACAACAGACACTTACTTTCTCGAAGTCCCGGAGGCTGGATATCCAAGGCCAGGGAGCCAGCGGGGCCAGTTCCTGGTGAGGGCTCCTTCCTGGCTTGCAGACAGCCGCCTCCTCACTCTGTGCTCACATGGTGGACAGAGGGAGCAAGGTCTCTGGTGTTTCCTCTCCTAGGAGCATTAATCCAGTAGGATCAGGGCCCCACCTTGGTGACCTCATTTAACCTTGATCACTTCCTTACTCCAAATCCAGCCACACTGGGCACTAGGACTTCAACACATGAACTGGAGAGCACAGTTCAGTCCATAGCATTCTGGCTTTTCCTTTTTTTTTTTTTTTTTTTTTTTGAGACAGGGTCTTGTTCTGTTGCCCAATGTGGAGTGCAGTGGTACAATCACAGCTCACTGTAGCCTCGAACTCCCAGGCTCAAGTGATCCTCCTATCTCAGCCTCCCAAGCAGCTGGGACCACAGGCACATGCCACCACACCAGGCTAAGTTTTGTATTTTTTGTAGAGATGTGTTGTGCCATGTTGCCCAGGCTGGTCTTGAACTCCTGAACTCAAGTGATCTGCCTGCCTCAGCCTCCCAAAGTGCTGGGATTACAGGCGGGAGCCACCATGCTCGGCCTGGCTTTTGTTTCTTGATCTCTGTGCCGGCCACAGGGGCTGCTGCAGCTGCTGCAGATGCCAGCCTTCTTGCTGGCCCCAGCATTAGTGTCCTCGGGGACAGCCCACCCAGTTCCTGTTTCATTTTCAGAATTCTCCTTTCCCTCTGCTACTGCACCTCACCTCCGAATCACACTTGAACCTGGTTGCTCCATGGAGTCCCTTCACTTCCCGAAACCTGGACTCTAACCACAGCCCAGAGGGGTGCCAGGCCCTCTTCTTGCTCTTCAAGCTCCCAGGCCACTGGCCTTCTGGTCCCCCCAGGAATGTGGCACCAGCCTGTAGCTCGGCCTCTCAGGGCTACTGGGTTGTCCTTTTCATTTTTAACCTTGTTCAGTTACAAAGATAAAACATGTTCAAGAGAAAAACGAAAAGAAGGGAATCTCTGTGAACCAGTCCTCAAGTCCCCTCCTGGCCATGTTCGACAAATACACTGGCATAGACACACAAGACAGACGAGACGTCTTGCTCTAGAACTCCAGATGCCCATCATCCCTTTCTGTGGCTTCCCCTGCGTCCTTCTAGACTGTTCCCCCCACTTCCCAGTGGCCTACAATATGCGAAGCCATGCCCTCTCTTTACTCCTGCCAGGCTCCTTATCCAGTCACCCTTTCCAGCTGTCACCCTCCTTGTCACCTCCCACCCTCTCTAGCCCCCAATGCACAGGTCTTCTCTAGGCTGGTGTTCCTCCAGGAGATGCCCTCTCCAGGAGAGACTAGGCCAGAGCTCCAGCTGTCCTCTCCCAGGGGAGTTGCGCAAACAGCGCCTGTGTCTCCCAGCAACGGTGTGGAGCGACATGCAGGGAGTATTGTCAACCAGGGCAGCTCACCCAGGCCCCGGTGTCCAGGGCTTTTCTTGCGGTGGTTCACAGAGCCATGCTGTGGTCACGTGGCTGGCCTCCATCTCCAGCCCTCTGGAGGTCCAGCTGTTAGTGTAGCCTACGGGGCACGGTCCCCAGCCCCCTGCCCCACTGAGCCATGCTGCTCTCAAGCAGGATGTTCCAGGGGCTTAGCGATCCCTCCCAGGAGCCCTTGCTGCACCGCGTTCCACTCGGGCCACTCCCTGGGCCCTTTGGCTGAATGGAGCTCCATGGAGGATCCGCTTATCTCTGTCTTCATCAGCTCTGACTGCCATAGCAAAATACCATAGACTGGGAGGCTTAGACAACAGACACTTACTTTCTCGAAGTCCCGGAGGCTGGCCCAGAGCTCCACGTACTCCTGAAAATGCATCTCAGCCCCCCGGGGGAACACTACGCCAGTTCTCCAAGGGCTGCCAGTTCCCGGGGGGACTGCTCTAGCTTTACTCCCTTTGCTTAGTCACAAAAACAAATGACATCCTTTGGAAGAAGGAGGCCGGCGTCTCCCTCTGGAGAGGGACCTTACACCAGGCAGATGCTGCTCAGCCTGGCTCTCACGGCCACTTCCGTGTGGCTCCCCCAGGTCATTGCCACCATCCCCACCAGCCAGCTCAAGTGCCTGAAGGAAGCCGGGCACGGGCCCGGGAAGGACGAGATGACCGACGAGGAGCTGGCCGAAGGCGAGGAAGAGATCGACCATGCCGAGCGGGAGCTCCGCAGGGGCCAGATCCTCTGGTTCCGGGGCCTGAACCGGATTCAGACGCAGGTAAGCCCCGACTCGCTCTCGCCCTGGCACTTCCACCCCAAGAGGGTAGAGGCAAGCTGGCCAGCAGCAGCCGAGAGCCGGCCGTCTGCACCCGACACCCACAGGGAAACCCTTTGGTCTTGCTGCCAAGGTCACAAAAGCAGCTGCCAGTGTCCCCTTTGCCATTCCGGGCTGTGCCCGCTGATGGCTGTGGCACTGAGATCGCCTCTCCCTGACAGCTCCTTCAGAGCCCAGGCATCCCCTGTAGCTAAAGGTGTGTGTGGGTGACTAATGGCTCTCTCAGAGGCACAGGCCAGCACCGTCCTCATCACTGCTGGGGCTCCCTTCACTTGGTGGGAACGGCCCCAGGTCATAGGCAAGTGACAGTATCGGGAAGAGAGGCCCATTTCAAACAGCCACCAGCGAGCTCAAGGTTCACTGGTTGACACTGTAAATGCGATGGGGAGACTTCATTTGGGAAGTGGACTCTGGCCACCGAGTTGGTCCTTTCTGGTCATCCAAATCACCAAGGGTTAGGGCCGGCCAAGACCAAGGGCGTCAGCTGTGTTCCTCTCTGAAGTCAGATGGCCACCACTGCCACCAGTATCAGGCGCTTGCCAGAGCTACCATGCTCCCTTGTTCCCATCTCCTCCCGGCCAACAGTTTTGCCAGAATGCTCCAGACTCGCTGTGTCTCCACACCCCTCCCTGGAACTCTCTTGTGATCCCACTACAGCCTGGCCTCTGCCCACCACTCCCCAGAAACGGCGCTCGCCTAGGCCTGCGAGGCTCCCTTCCGGCTCGTGGGGTCGGGCTGTCCCTGCATCGTTCCTGCCTGCTGTGGGCACTGCCTGGAGACTTGCTGTCCTCACCCGCCTGGCACCCCCACCTCCTGCTCAGCCCTCGCCCCACCCTGCTGTGGCCCTTGAGTGCTGAAAATCCTGGCCGGGGAGGAAGAAAGGGCCCATGGGGACCCCACCTGCGGCCTGGCCCCTCTCCCACCGCAGCCCCTGCAGCCTCTCCTTCATGGCCTGCCCCTCCCCCAGCAGCCTCCAGAGGGCCACCCAGCATGCTTCACACTCCACCTCCTTCTGCAAGGCCTGGGCCACCATCTCTCAGGTCACAGCCATCACTCCCTGCCCCTCCAGGCCCTGTCCAGGATCCCCAGTTGCAATGCCCCTGACATGGAGCGACTGACCCTCCTCCCTGAGGTCCTGCCAGAGTAAGGACACCACTGCACACTTGGCTGCGGAGCCAGGGCCCGCCTGAGCCACCAGCCCCAGCTCAAGCGGGAATAGGCGGGGCCTGAGGCCACACCCCTTCCCAGGGTCAGTCACACATCACCAAGGGCCTGTCCCAAAGAATCATCCATGCAACTTGCACAAAGCTGTTCTTGGTGCCCTGGGTCCTGTGTTCCCTCCCAGTGGTCTCAAG